>NC_000005.10:96473443-96776473 GCF_000001405.40 Homo sapiens | reverse complement strand
GAAAACATCGGTTGGATGGATAAGAATTTTGATAAAATCAGAGTGTGGCTGCAAAGTGAAAAGCTTGAACGTATGTAAAAATTCCTCCCTTGCCAGGTTCCTGTTATCTCTAATCACCAACATTTTGTTGAGTGTATTTTCAAACTAGAGATGGCTGTTTTGGCTCCAACTGGAGATACTTTTTTCCCTTCAACTCATTTTTTGACTATCCCTGTGAAAAGAATAGCTGTTAGTTTTTCATGAATGGGCTATCGCTACCATGTGTTTTGTTCATCACAGGTGTTGCCCTGCAACGTAAACCCAAGTGTTGGGTTCCCTGCCACAGAAGAATAAAGTACCTTATTCTTCTCATTTTATAGTTTATGCTTAAGCACCCGTGTCCAAAACCCTGTACCCCATGTTTATCATTCATAAACTGTTTCATCAGTCTCCTCGAAAGACTCTGAATAGTCGACTACTGAACAATGAACACCTGGATCTGAGACTAAGCCGGACGATGACTGGGTTAAAGCTCTCCCGGCTCACCCCTCCAGACCCGCTGCCCATCCCTCTTCCTTGCTCCATGCCCAGGGGCTGACTTGTAAAGGCCAAGTCATCAAGCTTTCTTGCCCTTTGGATGTTGGTCAGTGGGGAGCCGGAGAGCTGGAGCTGGGGTCGGAGGAGGTAGTAGGTGGAGGTGTTCTTCCCTGATTCCCTTGCGGGATGCCTCGGGCTGGCCTCCCCTGAGGGTCTTAGCTCCGAGAGGGGACCCTCTTTTCCACACAGCCTTCTCCACCTCTGGATTTTGGTAACTGCTCCCTCCTCATCCCTTCAGGATTAGTGGCCTCAGTGGGAGTCTGGCTTTTACTAGTCCTGGCGGACTTGTGGTTTCTACATAATGTGCTCGCACTTTTGCAAAAAATCTTTTTATAGAACCCTCCTCAGATAATTCTGAGTGAGTGTCATCTATTTCCCTGACTGGTACAGTATCTCTTCTGAAAAAGCAGAGTGCATTCAAGTCTGTAGGAAAACCCTTTTCTTAGGGAGGTGATTTTTTTTCTCTCTCTGCTTCTTATTTGGCCTACTTTACAATTTCTAACTAACTAGTTATTGGCATTTACTGACAGTAAATTATTGCAGTCACCAATAAATGATAGTACATTGTGAAACAAAATATTTGCTCATATTAGCAAATAGGACATTCTTTGGCTTTGAAGTCTTTCTTTCTTTTGTGAAGACTTCACACACGGTTGCTTCAGCACACAGTTGCTGCTCAGGTTTTATGTATAGATGATAATAATAGAAAGCACAGTTTACTAACATGGTAAACCAACGGAGTTCAAGTCAAGTCAGTTAATACCCTAAGAATTAGATTTTATTTCTTATTCTGAAAACTTGCTACACAGGGACTTATCTAACCCATAGTGTGCTCTGTTGCTGACTTGATTCAAGTTGCAGCGTGTTTTGCGCTGACTCTAAGGTGCGGAAATCCTCACACCTGGCAAAGGAGAATTCAAACTGAACTTTTTGAATATAAGGCAAAAACTTCAAGATAAGGGAATATGATTGATGATTGGTACGAAAAATGTCAAAATGTGTTCCCCTAATACACGACAAAATAGAGTGACTTCTGGACATAAATCTGCCATTTATTAAACCATTCACTACAACAAATAAATAGGTATAAAAGTGGAATTGGAATTTTTATACTTATTTGTTGTAGTGAATGGTTTAATAAAAATAGAAATCACTGGTAATTTCCACCCCAAACTAAACTATTTCCCTTCTTTTAAAAAAATACACAACCAAGATTTTAATGTAAAATATTTTGCTTTAATTGTATTTTATGCCTTGATTAATGAAACATGGAAATATTGATTTTCAGTTTTGGTCACCTGAGGAACCTATCTTTGTTTGCTTTTGGAAAAGCCCATTTTCTAAACAGATACAATATTGCCACAACAATGTGCAGAAACCTTTTTGATAATAAAAAATTGTTCTTTGCCTCTAAGTGGATATTTGCAATTATTTTCTCTCTCCTAACTAGACTGTAAAAAGGGCTGCTTTAGATCCTGTAGCTTACTCCAGTTATTAGTTATTAACAAACACCCAAGTCTCGAAGATATTTCTAATTAAAAAAGAAGGCATATTCAGAGTTCTTTTTAAATAAATGTTGTTTACTTTTATAGGCATCTTTAAACTTCTGGATTTTGGTATGCCATTTAAAAATACTTCCAGATACACATGGAAATTAGTAATACTGAAGCCGTATCCTTGCAAACACATCTGTCAGTGTCAAAGGTTTCAAGGTTTTTCTTAAAAAAAGAAAACAAAAAAGCAAACACCTATACTGCCCAAATGGGAGGATTAGATACATGGTTAGAAATCCCTCAGGAAAAGTGTTTTTTCTTTTCTTGTTGCTGCCTTAAAAATAGAATAATGACTATTTCTGATGGATAGAGACATAGCATTTTAAGCTGGTGGTGTGTAAAATCCCATAGGTATGTGCATGACTTTCAGAGAGTATTTGGGGGGGAGGTTAACAAGATGTGGTGCCATTTATAAGCAGTGTTATTGTTTTTGCTTGCCCCGCTGCCACAAGTCAGCTAAGTCATAACAAAAGCTTCAAACTGATGCTAAGGAAGGCCATGCCCTTTGGAAACAATAAATTCCCAATCTGTTTTATGTTATGTACCTGACATCTTTTCCTGCATTCTCTACCAGGAAATAAAGATGAAATTAAATATCAAAATTCTAATCGATGATATCAGTGCAATGTTCAGGAACTATTCATTAAGATATTAGAAAACCATTCAAAGTGGTAGGACATCAGAGCCTACTTCTTACATTGCTGTGGGAGAAATGCAGGTTTCAAATTTAATATATATATATAATTTTTTTAAAAGCAGAAGTTTCTTTTTATATTTGGTAAACTTAAGTTCCATAAAGCCAGACGCTATACAGTGCAAAGGCTAATGTGGCAATAGCTCTAAAGACACAGTTGCTGCTCAGGTTTTATGTATAGATAATAGAAAGCACAGTTTACTAACACAGTAAACCAACAGAGTTCAAGTCAGATGAGTACCCTAAGAATTAATTAGATTTTATTTCTTATGCTCGAAATTTGCTACACAAGGACTTATCTAACCTTTATTTTGCTCTGTTGCTGACTTGATTCAAGTCTCAGTGTGTTCTGTGCTGACTGTAAGATGCAGAAGTCCTCACACCTGGCAAAGAAGAGTTCAAACTGAAAAGGGGTTTGGTGCTTCCTGGTTTGTCCAGGTTACCTGTTATTAATTTATTATTAGCAGCCCAAGAGGAGATATGTGCCCAATGTACAATATCTTATGTTTGACTTATAAACATTATCCCAAAGCAACATCAAATACAGTTCAAAAGCCCAAGAGGAAAGGGGGTAATAAGAAATCAGAACACTGAAGAATGTTTAAAACATTGTTTTCTAAACACTAACAAAAAAAATTAAGGGCAAACTGAAAATACAAATGAGATTTACAGGCACTGTGTGTAGAATGTGCAAAAATTCACTTAGCTTTTCTTTTGTTTTTTTGGTGTTGCTTTAAGAAACTTTATCAAATATATTTCTTACAAATATAAAGCTTTCTCTCCCAATTGAAGGCAATTAAAAAAATTCAAAGTTTATCAATACTCAGTACACAGGTGAACCAGTCAAATTCATTTTCTTTCTGGAAAAGAATAACAAACCAATATTTAGGATGTTCAGAGACTCAACAAAAACCATTCTAGAAATCACCCAGAACAATTGTTTTCTGTTGCCAAAGCCTTTTGTTCTTCAAAAGTCACCATCCACCAGCTGAAGATTTTACATGCAGATACCTTAAAAATTTCAAATAAAAAATGCAGTGAATCATTTAATATGTAATTTTCTTGTTACAGACATAGTAAATATACCACTTAGCAAAAGCATTGTATAACAGACAGAAGGAATTTCCTATAAGTAAACATGAAAGTGGATTAATAGAATTTTTTTTAATTTTGGGAAAAATGTTAGAGCAGTTCTACCTAATATAGCTCCTTTTTTCCTAGGAAATAAACATGGATCATGGTGAGAGAGCTGAACCCGATTTAACCTATACTTTGATTTCTTTTAGGCTTTGGTCAGTAAGTGCTTGTATGCTTTTAAGGCTTACATTAAGCCCTCTCCTTTCTGAAGATTAAGATAAGGGCCCAGTTCTGAAGATCTCAGAAATCCCTTCAATCTGTCCAGTTTCTTCAGCAATTATAAATTAGAATCAAACACAGTACTTTACTTTCCAAAATAATGACAAATAAAAATGGCCAATCTTTTCCTTTGCCCTTGTTCCCAAAACCCTGTAATTTCCACCAGACTCTAAAGGGTACTTCTCCCCACCCCACCATGTATTGGTATTCTGGGGAATGCCAATGTCTTCAGGACATTTCGCTAAGTTGTAACATGCTAATTTTGCTTTGCCACAATAACCTGCAGTAATGAGCATTTGGATTTCAAAGATTCAACTAGCCTCAGATGGTCATTCTAAGTGCCTGGCCTAATATTTTTAAAAGCTTTTAATTATAAGATTAAGGTTTTTAAACATTTCAATAGCAAACTCATCCCATTTAGTGCTTTCAGAGAATGACCAATTACTCTGTAGATCTTGCAGTATGCATTTCATGCCAATACTGTAAAGTGAGCATGAATTACTCAAGAGGTGGACTTCACTTCTCTCATCTATAACACATAAATTGGCAGAAGATACAGTTGTCTTCATTTACAAATAAACACCCAACTTACCAGATACCTTAACTTGTATTTCTTTAGTCATCTTTTGGCTTGGAAGTTTCCTCTGTTGTCTAAAAGGGAAAGCAAAACCATCCGTGAGCTTTCTTTTCTGTATTAAGTATGAGGAGATGGCCTTCTCAGAATTAGGGGACAAAAGATGGCAGTCAGTGGGGAAAAATAAGATGGTCCTTTCAGTTTCTCTTCTTCATCTGGCCACAATATTGTGAGTTCTTCCTCCTCAAGCTTATAAGCTAAAAATAACCTTAAGTGATCCTGATCCTAAATGTATCACTCTCAGCTTTATTTTTTTAAGGCTAGGGTAGGTTATAAAATATGCATAGGTGTTCTTAAATGGCAATGTTTCATTCTGTGGTGATCCTTCCTTTCCTGTACATAGGGTCATGGCTGTCCAGTAAATCCACTCATCATAAAGGGTTATTATGCTTTCTATTATTTGTTAAAGGGCTGATTAAGTACTTCGTATAACTGAAATTAAATAATAGGCAAATAAGTATTTAAACTGAGATATAATGGCATAACTGCCAATTATCAATGCTGTTTCCTATATCCCTTAAGGGAATCTACTACAGGAAGATTTTAATATATTGTTTTAAAAGCTTTGGTGTAACTGGACTATTGTCTTTAAAGCTACACCTTTAACTCCTCCTTATAGCCAGGGGATCATAGTAATAATCATTTAAATCATATGTTCTTGGAATTGGAAGGGACCTAGAAGTTGTCTAATCCAATTTTCATTTCTCATCACAGCTTGAGTAATTTTAATAATAGGAAGTTTCCAACTTCCATGTTCTAAAATCTATATAAACCACATACTATGGTGGTATTTTAATTAGGGCAAGAAAGACAGGCAAAACACAGGCAAATTGGGTTGTGTCAAGAACATTCATTTAGGATTTTAAAGCACCAGTTACTTAAAAATATATGTATTTATACAAATTCAATTACTTTACCAAGCGATGCTATGGGATAGATAGTACTTTAAGAAATTTTATTCTAAATAGATTCCAGTAGGAAACTAAATGACTGAAATGATAAACCCTACTCTGTGTAACTGCTAAACTAATTTGTAGTATATTTACTGCTCCATTTACCTTTGCTGAATCCTTCGCTTTACCTCCATTCTTAGGTGCTTTGGAGCTGGAAGCAGCCTTCTTGCACTTATCCTAAAGCAAAGGAAATGTAATGAGGCTATGGCTATCACCAATCCATCTAGCAATTAACTAGGCTGCAGTTAAATTAATCCAGACCATTCTGAGATCTCCAATTTAATTAAATAATGGAAGACTTTGGGTGTTTTTTCATGATTTTTTTTGAACAACGGTGTCAGAGAATTGTTTAAAGCAGGAGGGAAAAAGGATAGAAATAAGGAGGGAAATGTGGGTGACATTGATGCTCTAATTCCCGTGGTGCCTGACTCACCCAGACCTTATTTTGCTAATCAAAACAGAGCTTGTCAATAGATAATAAATGTCGGCAAGGGTGTGGAGAAAAGGGAACCCTAGTACACTGTCAGTGGGGATGTAGATTGGTATGGGCTATGATGGAAAACAGTATATAGGTTCCTAAAGAAATTAAAAGTAGAACTACTGTATGACCCAGTAATCCCTCTTCTGGGTATATACCCAAAGGAGATGAAATTATCACCTTATAAAGATATCTGCACTCCCATATTCACTGCAACATTACTCACAATAGCCAAGATATGGAACAACCTAGTTGTTGATGAATGGATAAAGAAAATGTCATGTATATATACATAATGGAATATTATTCAGCCTTAAAAAACGATATCCTACTATTTGTCACAACATGGATGGACCTGGAAGACCTTATACTAGATGATATAAGCCAGACACAGAAAGAAAAGTGATTTCACTTATATGTAGAATATATATAAAAGAAAAAGCTCAAAAACACAGAGAATAAAACATGGCGACCATGGTAGGGAACAGGAGGAGGAAACAGAGATATAGGTCAAAGGATACAAAATAGCAGATATGCAGAATGAACAAGTGTAGAGAGTTAATGTATAACATGAGGACTAAGGTTAATAAAATTGTATTAGGGATTTTGTTAACTAAGTAGATTTTAGCTGCTTTTGTCACAAAAAGTAGTTGTGTGAGAATGATAGATATGTAAATCTGCTTCCCTACAGTAACCATTTTATTATTTCTATGCATCCCAAACTACCATGTTGTAAACCTCAAATATACACAATAAAATGTATTTAAAAAACAAAATAGAGCTTGTCTCGATCAGGACTGGCTTTTGTGTACCAAAAGGCAAAAAAAAAAAAACAAAAAAAAACCCTGTTTTCAGTGTTATGGGAGAGAAATGAACAATGGGAAACAACCGAGGAAAGCTGGAGCAGGTTACGTATAAAAATAAAGTCCATTCACCAAAAAAGGCATTACTTACGAGTTACCAGGGGTGAGAGATAGGATGCTGAAGTGGTCTAGAAATTAAGCTACCCAGTATGGAAGGGCTGACAATTCAGTGATCGAGAGCAGTGCCTTAGAACAGCCAAAACAATAGCAAACTGAGATCTGCAGAATTAACTCTCCTGAAAATAACAAGGAGGTACTCATTTCACGTTTCCTTCTATTTGATTTACAAGAGGGTGTAGCTTGAGGGAAAATGCCTCACACTTGTTGAATTACACAGTTGTTTCTCATTCACTTTTAATCACGTTTTGAGCACCTGCTAAGTACCAGGCATTTTGCTAATGAGGAGCACAGAGGTAAAAGACACATCACTACTGTATGAAATGCGTAGCTCAGTGGTGTGATACACAAGCACAGAGAGGTAACAGAGAGCAAGGAGGGCATGGAAGAGAGGCCTCTAACTTTGGACTGGGAAGGGAGAAGATGTAAGACAAGAAAGTCTTCCCTAAGGAGCTGATGCTTGAGCTGTGCCCTGAGGAATGAAGAGTAGACCAGTTGGGCTAAGCAGACAGAAAAGGGGAGGAAGCTCCAGAGAGCAAATGAGCATGAGAGTGCCTGATGTAGTTAGGGCCTGCTCTCACTTTAAATGAACACAGACATAGCATTATTGTGGCACAACCATATAGTGTGGAGATAAAAAATGGTGGCTATGGAAATTACAAAGTAGCAGTTAAGAAATAACGTTAAGCAGTGTTTTATAAGTGGACTGTAAGTATAATTATGTAAAATATACATATAGAAAAAAAAGGAAATCCACAAAATAATACTGTTTTGGGGGCAGTGGAATTATAGGCATTTTTTCTTTTCTTCATTTTCAGGTTCTCTATATCATCGTTTGATTCATTCTACAGTTTAAAAATTGTAAGGGCCAGGCGCAGTGGCTCAAGCCTGTAATCCCAGTACTTTGGGAGGTAGAGGTTGGCAGATCACTTGAGCCCAAGAGCTCGAGACCAGCCTGGCAACATGGCGAAACCCCCTCTCTACAAAAAAATACAAAAATTAGCTGGGTGTGGTGGTGCACGCCTGTAGTCCCAGCTACTCAGGAAGCTAAGGTAGGAGGATTGCTTGAGCCCAGGAAGCAGAGATCGCAGTAAGCTGAGATCACACCACTGCACTCCAGCCTGGGCTATAGAGTAAGACCCTGTTACAAGACAGACCGATAGATAGATCAATCAATAAATAAAACTTATATGTATGTACACATACACACACACACATTTCAAAGAGTGAAATGTGAAAAAGCACAGTACCTTTGCTGTGTTCTGTGAGGTTTCTGTAGTGGAGGGACAGCTGTCCAGATCTCCTGAGAGAGCATCAATGGGGTCTTGGTCATCTGCAGGTTTCTGAGATATGAGTAGAAATAACCATCAGTGAAGAAGCAGAAGGCAAAATGCAATATGGGGTCTTTTCCCACATCACTTACAAATAAAAGATGTTTCTATAAGAAAAAAACTGACTGACATTCTTTATTAATAATAATGTATTGTAAAGGAGATAGAAAAACAAGAAAATCTTGATGGCTTTTTTTCCATCTACTCTTTAATACACGTTGCTTAGCATTCTCTGAGCCTCAGTTTTCCACCCTAAAGGGCTTTTGTGAAGACTAAAAGAGAGGTAAACAATAGTCACACACATTTATATGCATGCTTTGACAAAGTACCAGGCACAGAGTAGGCATTCAATATGTTTTAGTTTTCTAAAATGCCAAATACCCCTATGGCTAGAATAAAACAAAATTTAATGGAAATATGTTCCTATGGTCTTTACCTTTGAATCCTCTGATTTCTTTGTAGGTGGCTTCACTGGTTTGTCCTTAAAAAGAAGGCAGACTATTGGTTAAGCATAGATATCTGTAAAGGTTTACTTAGGTTTAGGCAGTAGAGAATCTATTGTCCCATGACTTGACTTGGATAAAATGGAGTGTAGACTTGCAATAACTAATAAACCTGAGTCCCCACTATTTCTTTACCAGCTTTGCTTAATTACTATTCTTTATAATCATTTGTGTAGACTTGGGGGAAACATATGAAAGGGTCTGGTCCTGGAAGTGAAAGAAACACTATTTGTGAACCTTCTGCCATCATGTATTATCACTTATAATTCTACTTAAAGTGTTATAAAAAGTTACTTGTGTTTTTACATCTTATTTACTATAGCTTATTACACTTAGAAAGTCATCAGGGATTTTTCCCAGCTTCAAAGGCAAGGGCCTTAAATAATAAATTTCCCAAAGAACGCAAGCAGGGTGAGTTGGTACTATCAAAGTGGGAAGGGCTCTAGCAGGATGTGGAATTGCTATCTTGAGGAATACTGAATGCAAGCAAGGAGAATTGGTTCCTGTAATAGGAGACCCTGAAGCTGACACTGCTATTTAAACCAGGAATCATCTTACTCACCAAAATGAATCAGTACAGAAAGAGAAGGGTGTAATTTGGTCTTCCTTGTTTCTTATTTGATGAACAGGCATGGAAAGGGTTATTTATCATCTAATTGACTCAAAAATTAGAAACTAAATAGGAAAGAGGTGGGGGACAGGCCTGGTTGACCTACGAAAGACTGGCCTCTATCATGTGGGAGACAAAAGGCCAGGGACTTTTTGGCAGAGAAACAGGATTTGTGATTGGGAATATTGCTTTGCCTGTCTTCACTTGCAATAGTGCTGATGATGATGCAGGAGAAGATAGGGAGACCCCAGGTCTTGGAGCTGCCTTATTAATTTTCCCTATTAATTATCCCAACACCAGCTCCTTTTCTGCTCTCCTTAAACAGAGATTGCTTCCTTTGAAATCCTATCACCTTAGTCATTTTTATAGCCTTTTCTTGAAAGAGAGAATCACATTTCTTGGATCACTCTTAAGCATCTGTGAGTGACTGAACAGTATTCAACCCTGTTTATACCACAGAGCCTAGCATATGCATATATAATGATATTGGCTCAAATAAATATTTACCTGCTGGTCGGCTTTGGTGACACATTAGAAGCAGTCAGTCATGGTATGTTTTATGCTATTGTAAAGGAGTATAGCTACTATTTATTTCAAGGGAGGTTTGAATTTAAAGATCTTGGTAGCATAAATCCGATCTAGCAATTTGCCTCAGTTTACCTGTCCATTATCATCCAGGAGATGTCTGTATTCAGGTGGGATAGTGTCATCTCTTTCTCCAAGCTTGTCTCTATGTTCAGCTTTAGCTTTTTCCTATATCAACAGTGAGCAGATAGAATTAATATTCATTTCCTCTTTCACTTAGAAAATACATTGTCAAATGCAGCATTCAGCATTTGTTGTACTTTCATGAGGCAAAACATATGGTCTGTTTTTATTTTTTAAGCAACAGAACAACACAGATGACTTCAACAGACTGCTAGTTGGCTAAAATATAAAATCCCGTATGCTTCTGTATGTCAATTCATATCTGTGAATTTTCTAGCTATATTTTAAATGGAAATAAATGATTAAATAATTATCTTCAGAAACCATGTTAGGAGATTAGAACCCAAAGGTATAAAATATCTTTTTCTTTTTTTCTGTATGGTTTCACTTTTCTAATACAAAATCAGGCCACTGTACCTTGCCATTTAGAGAGGTCACATTTACAACTTTGCCTATTTATAAGCAACCCTGAAGGACAACAGCTAATTTGAATGGATGTGCTGACTGCTTGTGTTGCATGGGAGGAAGCCATGCATACCCCACACCTACCTCCCAGAATCCCCTCAGGGAGGCTCCGCTGGTATCTCTGTCACAGATTCAGTGACCTTCCCCTCCAGTGGAGTACAGATTGATTTTTCTATTTCATTATAATTTCATGTTTAAAATATAGGTTAAGTTCACATCAATATTCCTATGACAATGACAGAGTCAAGACCCAAGGATTAAAATTTCACTATTAGTGAATTTTTTTTTTTTTTTTTTTTTTTTTTACCTTTACTTTATCTTCCATTGGTTTGTTCTCATCTGGGTCAGGCTGCCTTTGTCCTAGACTGTCAGAGAGTTTATCCAAGGCATCATCGAGGTCTTTGTCACTCTGCTGAAAAGTAAATAATGCTGAATTAGTCACTCATTAGCCAAACTGTATCAGAGGCAAATTAGCCCAGGAACTCCATCTTTTCAGGAGGGAACCTGTTTCCTTGGAAGAAAAAGACATCTGGGGCTGGGGCAGGGGAGTAGACAGGGTCAGAGAAGAGAAGCCTAGGAATGGAAGATCAGGAGAAGAGCGGCAGTATCTGTCACCCTACTGGGGTTGGAGGGCCAGCACCTTCCACCCAACCCTGCCCATCTCTTGGTGAAGATCCCACCAGGTTAAGGAGGTCTTAGTGGCAGCCTCAGGAGCCATATCCAGTGGGTGACCTGGAGGTCACATAAAGGGTCCAAAAGCAAATGAACCAATCATGTGTGCCTTTCATTTAGAAATTAAACACCATTAGAAAACTGGATATGAAAACAAACATCTACTAATGTTGTCAGATGGTTAGGAAGCAAGATTCTGCAACTATAGAGGGTAAGTGTTTCTTTGGTTCTGTGGGTCCTCTCTAAAACTCTAAGATCTTGAGGGGTGCATTTCAGAAAGTGCAGCGTGACCCGCAGTTTGTGGGAAGCCATGGAGCTCGGCACTGCCATCCTAATACTTCCTAAAGCACAAAACCCCAGAGACAATCTGGGGTCAGGAGAGTGGAAGGGGCTTGTCTGCCACACTGGTGATGAGTGCCCTGAAAGACTTCAGAGAATTTCTGAACTGGTGGGGAAACCTCTCTTTTCATCTTCAGGAAGCTCATGGAAGTGAAATTGCAGAAATGGGAGCTGGTATTCTAGAGGAAAAAAATTATGGACAACAATATCACTGTAACTAAGATAGCTTATTTCCTCTAACATTTATTTACTGTATGATTCAGGCAGCTTATTTAACCCCTTTCAGCTTCAGTTTCCTTGGCCGTGAAATGTGAATAATAGTAGTACTTATACTCCTAAGTTGCTGAGAAAAGTAAATGATTGAAAAGGCATTTAAAACAATACTAGTTGTATGTTAGGACCCAACAAATGGTAAATTATTATTAGTATTATTATAGCAAAATCCATATTTTTCAACACATTGCATTCAAAATTCCACCTCTAAATGAATTCAATTAAAATGTGTTTAATATCTACATTGTATAAGACACCATGCTGAACTCTGTCCAATACTGTATAGAACTTTCCAGTTGATTTTCAAAATGTTTTCACATACACTATCCAGTTTTATTTGATGCCCACAATGGTTCTCAGTGAACTAAGCAGGCTTTTTTTTTTTGAGGTAAAAAGCTCAGGGAAGCTAAGTCAGTTGCTTGAAAACAAATTGTTAAAAAGTGAATAGAACCCAGGTCTTGGGACTGATAAAGCTTTTCCCTGTCATGCTTAGTCACATCCATGATCTTCTATTTTCTTTGAAGCAGTTTTCCTGTTGGAGTGATTTTATTACACAGATCTTTGAAATCATGTCTTCAAATGCTTTCAGTGTATGTAACACTGTTAGTAACAATCTAATAATCACAGCAAAGAAAGCTCCCGTGAATTATCATGGTTTATTTGACTCTTCGATTTCCTAATATTTTTATCTAAATAAAGCTTTATACCTTGTTTTAGTGACATCTTCAAATAAAATGTTAACTAAAAACAAGCCTCTCTGATGGGAAATGTGATCAGAGAAGTGTCATTGTAAAACCTACTTCTTAAAGGCAAAAAAGTTTTTGATTGCAAATGTTTACTGATAGCCTTCATCAGGGCAGAATCTCTGGCCTGAATATTAAGAACTGAAGTGTAAACGGCAGCCTAGGCTATTAATGATTCTTCCTTTCTGTTGCATGGGGACTTTCTTCATTGTGGGTGTGTTTACATACACACATGCACATGCACATGCACATACACACACACGGGGCATTTTACTGGTTTTAAGTGCTTTATTATAATCCAGGATTATAGCTGCTAATGGTAGAGCTGCCCGGGGCCAGGTCTGGGCTTTGTCATTTGTGCCTCTGGATATTTTCAGATGATCCTGAAGCTGACGCAACAGGATGAAAATCCATCAGAATCTCAGACTACAGCACTAAATATGCTTTGATGCTACATCAAACGGAATGGAAGCATAGCTGACTTCGCTAAAGTTACTTCATCTCCATCTAGCAAATGAGGCACTGTTCTCAACCAAAGGAGATGGGGATCTGGTTTAGGGCAATCCCTTTATAATTTGATGTGCTGTGGTCTCCTTGGTAATGTATAATTTGGTATTGCACAGGTGATTAGTCAAGGAAGTCTGGAAAAGCTTTGGTCCCACAGCCTTGCCTCACAGCATGTAAATAATTAAAACAATATTGATGCTGAGGTTCTTCTACTGCTAGTATGAAAGTGACAAATTTTTACTGGTGTGAATTGGGAAGAAAACAATGCTATTCCATGACGTTTGTAAAATGTTTGTAAAAGCTCAAACATGACGATTCCATAAAATAAACTTGAGGTTAAATAATGGGTAGTAAATTATAGAATGTATAAGAAAAAATATAAAGGAGAAAATCAATTATCAGGAAAGCTAAAGAACTTTTCAAATCTAGTAATTTGAATATAGACACAATGCACTTTATTGCACTTTCAATTCTTATAAAGCAACAATAATATTAAGGTCCTTGACTATGTGTACAATGTTTTCACATATATAGTTTCATTTAATCATTTCAAAGTTAATCTCTGCCATCTCGCTAAATCATCAGTCTCGGCTCTTCTGAAATAGAAGGTGCCTGATCTTCCTAATAATTCTGCCTATTTTCATTTGCTTTAAACAGGCGCCCTATTTTCTTTCTAGTTGTGGCTGCGCAAAAACATTTATCTCCCAAATAAGATGTGCTGCTTACCGAGGTATCACGGGGTGGGGCTCCAGCTTGGGTCGTTGAAGCTGGGGTTTGGGAAACCACTTCAGAGATGGCAGCAGCAAGTTTAGCATCTTCAAATTTCTTTTATTGAAAAAAATTTTATTAGTAACATGTTGTATATAAAATTATGAGCACAATGCCATCACTTAACTATAACTCTTAAAGATAGCTTAATGACTGTTTATTCTCTTGACCAAATAGACTCATAATAACATATAATTTTAAAAGAAATTTAAATTCTTTCTTCTCTATTGTATTATTTTATACAATTTGCTATTTCTATTTCCTTCTCATATTGATTATTCTAAATACTATGCAATAATATAACTTAGAGTTCCACGGTTTGTTTACACATTTCCTGTTGTACATTTAGGTTATTCAAAGTTTTCAGCTCTTTTAAAATTGCTCTGAATAAGTTCTAGTGAGTGAGTTATGGTGCTGGCTATATTTTGCTAAACTGCCCTCTCAAATGTTGCTAGGAATTCATACTGCGAAAAGCAATGAATAAGCATGCCTGTTTTCCCATGGCCTTGCTTGCCAGAATTTGACTTTTATTATGATAATCAGTGTAAAATGATATACTACTATTGCTTGTATATTGTGGTATACGGTGTCAGGTTTCAGGGTTTTTTTTCAACGTTAAATATTCTAGAAACTTTCTGAAATAATTTCTGTTTAAAAATATTGAATATTTGCTTCATTTCAAATACTCCCTTTTGACAAAAAAACTTAGGTATAACTGTTGATGAAAAACCAGAAAAAAGTCCAGAACTCTTTGGTGACTCCAACTATGGATAGCTTATTTTGAAAAAGGAGAATTGCAAATTTTACCAAAAGATGGAGAAAAGCACATTAAAAAGATACCAACATTCAGAAATTCATTTCAGCATGTTATTATTGGAAATTATTTAAACTAATTTAGATAACTATAAGATACTTATTGTCCATTTATACCCTGTAAAGCCGTTTTAGAATGTAATATTTTAGGTAATCCAAAATGTACTAAATTAAATTCATTTTTAGTTATGAGAAATCTTTGCTTATATGACAAATGAAAAGAATAACAAGTTGTCAAATGAAAAGAATGACATTGAAACATTTGTATTGTCTCTTCTTAAACTATCTTATTGACTTATTATTTAAGCCTTTTAATACTAAGTATGAAACAACCTATGGTCTGGAAATTTGTATCGCAAAGCTATATGTGCATATGTTATTTAATTCATCTAATGCTACACAAAAGCATAAAATAATGATTTTTCACTCTCTTTAAAAATACTAAATCATTTATGTCCATTTCTCAATTTTTTCATTGATCTATGCTTTGAGTTTGCTTTCTCAACATTATTGTATTTTCCACTTATTATTACTGTATAACATATGCTAGTGTTTAGTTGGATTAATCTTACCTAAAAGTACTGAAAAATGCTTTTTAGTACTTTTTCATATTTTATACATTTATTTTCCGAATGTATCATTGAATAATTTTATTGAGTTATAAAAGTATCTTATTGCTATTTAATAAAAAATTAACACATAAAATGACTTGAATTGTCATCATTCTTTTTAAGATATTTAGTTAAACTGACTTAATGTATGGCCTTCAATTTTTTTGTGTCCTTATTTTTCTGATCATTTCTCCTTTTATAGTTTACATTAAGTCTGATCTCATATTAATTACATTTTCTCATCTGTTGTTACTAATAAACATGGCATAATGTTACTTACAAATGTATTATCTACAAGTAGTGCTATCCACAAATATATTCAAATGTTCCCTTTTAATGTTTGTCATTTTTTTCATGTGTTGTTAATGATTCTTCCATGTGATAATAAGCAGAAATGACAATAAACTTTTCATAGTTTCTGCTTTTAAGGAAAATGCCTCCAGCATGATATTGAATATTTGATTCTGAAAACTAAAGACTCTTTAACAGATTAGGGGATTGCCTACTTTTTAAAAAGTTTTTATTTATAATATGAGTATATGTAAAATTTTAAATAGATCTTTTACATGGACATGATTATTTGTTTCTATTTGATATACCACTACAATATATTGACAGTTTTCCTGCTACTGAATCAATACTTATAATGGCAAATAATTTAACTGTTTGTTATATTCTATGTATGCTGTATGTAATTTTTACATCTACACATTTAAGTAACTTTAGCTGATACCGTTATATTTGTCAGATTTTAAGATTAGCACCATAATTACTCATAGAAGCAACTATGTGACCCCATCTTTTTCATGACATATTTATGCCACATAAGAACTGAGTGTTCAACAGTTAGAGTCATCTTTAAACCTTCAGTAGAAGGACAGTTTGAAAATCATTGCAATATTTTCTTCAGTCTTTTTTTAGGTTTTGTGAATTACGCAGTTTAATATTTTTGTTTAATCTTAGAAAATTGTTGTACATAGTGTTTCCTAATAATTTATTTGTGCTCTGTACTGATTATTGTATTTTCTCACATTTATGTTAAATTTTATTAGTAAGATTATTTTCTCTATTTATCAGTTTTGTAAAATGTTAAAAATTCATAAAAGCCAACTGACTATTGGCTTTAAACTACCAATAATTTAGTTGATCTCTATATTATTATATTACTCTGTTAAAATTTAATTGTATTTTTTGTAAGGTTTTTTTTCCTCTTTTATATTTGCTAGTATTTTATAAAGTATTTGTTATTTCAAAAGAAACAACTATTGGCCAGTTAACTTTCATGCCGCTATTTTCATTTCCTGGTATGCTTATTGCTACTTTGTTTTTGGTGGCTACCTTATTAAAACTTTTAGAAATTTCAGTTTAAAATTCAATAAGCATTTAGTTTATCAGGTTTCTCTTTTTCTCTTTCTCTACTATTGATAAAGGTGTTTATGACAATGTATCACAGGAATACTGCTTTGACTGCTTCTCAAAGACTTTTTCTTGTAATATCTTTGATGTTTTAAAATAGTCTATTATCAATGTGATCTCAGTATTATTAGGGGAATAGTTTTAAGTGTTTCTTTTTATATAGCATTTCTGTTCTATTATATCAAAGAGCATGGTACGTACAGGAGCTACTCTTTTACAGATGAACACTAATTATGAGCCATATGTGATACTTCTCCCCCAAATTTCTTGAAACTTTCCACTAAATAACTATTTTGATTATTTGGTTCTCATGATGATTAGTTATTTCTACTTTATTAACTATATTGTTGGCACTAATGTTTCCTTTGCTAATTTTCTAAGAGTAAGATTTTTTTTAAAGGTTGTTTCATCTCACCATTTCACTGCTACATATCTTTGAAGGGGGCATATAAATCCATTGTTACTTTTTCCAAATCTTTGAATTTCTAAAAGAAAAAACAACCCTAACAATTGTAATAATAATAATGATAGGAGGAGGAAGGGAATTGAGATCTTGTTCCCCACTATTTGTTCATCTGTTCTGCCTCAGTGTAATGCTATGACTCCACATTCCTGGCGTACTCCTCACATTGTATTCTTCCCCATGTCTTATGGTTTCTAAATCAAGGCTGGAGTGCTTTGCTGTGATGTGGTCTGTATGGAAGACGATGAGAGGAAGGTCACGGGATGAGGTGACTGAGCAGCACGGTGCTTTTACAGGGGTACAGAGAATAACATGCTCTGGTTAGTAAGCTCTTCTTTGAGGGGCTTTATTGCTTCATTCAGCAAAAGTAACAACTTCAGGCAATTCCAAAGAATCATTATTTCTTCTAGTTGTCATTCTGTCTATTCTCCAACTGATATAAATATATTTTCCATGCCACTGTCATAGAAACTGTTAATCCCTTTCCAACTGACTGCTAATAATACATTCAGTGGTTTAAAAACTGAGTTCCCAGTAAACAGATAAACCAGACCCCACAAGAAAAGGTTCTGCAGTTATTAAGTTTGGGAACTCTAACAGACTCACTATATATTTGCATATAAAAAGCCATGAAAATCCTACAGTAGAGAAACCTGCTTAACATTACCCAATATTGTCCAAACTTTTCGAGTAACAGAGTTCCCTTTGAGGGACTCTATATTCCACATGGAGCTAAGTTCCCTTAGGAGGCAATTTGGGAAATGATAAATTGTAGAAATATCAATAGGTAAAGTTGTCTGAGGAGTAATTTTGGATAAGCTTACATTTAAATTCTCTTTTCATAGGGGTACTGGTACTTGATATTAGTTACACTAATAAAAGCATCCACTATGTTGGGACAGTATTTCATGGTGCAACACATTTTTAATGGCTACAGTGGGTTGAGGGCCATTAATTTTATGATTGTTCCTGAGTTCCCAAGTCAGATTCTAAGTCACCAGTTTCCATTTATTTCTGCCACTCTAAAACTAAAGAAATAGGCCAGGCGCGGTGGCTCATGCCTGTAATCCAAGCACTTTCAGAGGCCGAGGTGGGCGGATCATGAGGTTAGGAGACTGACACCAGCCTGGCCAGCATGGTGAAAGCCCGTCTCTACTAAAAATACAAAAATTAGCTGGGTGTGGTGGTGCACCCCTGTAGTCCCAGCTACTCAGGAGGCTGGGGCAGGAGAATCGCTTGAATCTGGAAGGTGGAGGTTGCGGTGACTGAAGATGGCACCACTGTACTCCCGCCTGGATGACAGAGCAAGACTCCATCTCAAAGGAAAAAAAAAAAAAAAACTAAAGAAATAAAACCAAGAGTTTTGGACTTACAAGAGATGAAGCATTTTGTGGACCAGAGAAGTCCTCAGACAAAGCATCCAGAAGGAAGTCTTCACTCATGGGCTGCAAGAACCAGGAAATGTATCAACAAACACCATTGCAATCAGGGCCAAAAGGAAAAGATATCCTCAGAGAAAACTGGTTTGCTTACTGGAAGCTGTTCCTTAGACTCTTTTGGCAGGAGTGGCTTTCCATCTTTATCCTATCCGGGGGGGAAAACACATGGCATGAAATCATTTTACATTTTATCCAAAGTATGAAACCTTGTAAACATTACAAAGGGTCTACAGGTTATACTTGCTGTTGTACATTTTAAATTAGATCCATCATGTCACGAAGGATTCTCTCACCAGAGAATATGCTCTAATTAGTTCATGGCAACAAACAGCTCACAAGCACCAGGCATTCCTGAGTCACGGGGGCTGCACACTGGATGAGGTATGGCTTGTGACCTCAGAAGCCTAGAGACTATCACAGCAGGAAAACGTGAAAGTCAGCATAGTGTGGTATGTGGTGCTGTGACTGGGGTTTGCAGGACAGTGTGGGATAAGCCCTTTACCTACATGGGGGTGGGCTTTGTAGAGGTTGTCTGGAAAATGCTGGTTAACCTTGTAAGCCACACATCTAACTCATATGCAAGGACTACATGCCAAGCCCTGACCTAAGTAAGCATTGGCAATACAACAGAAAATCGCACAAAGGCCTTGCCCTCAGGGAGTTTAACCTGTCAGTGAAACGCTCTGCAACTTATGGTTCAGATTAGGTCAAGCTGTTTATGACTCCAAGTGCCACATTTGAGTAACACGACAAAATGAAGAAAGCATGCGGGGCTCTTTAGTAAAAGGAGATCTATATACTAATAGTAAATCCCATTTATCCACCTACACAAAAATAAGTAAATACAAAGATATACATATATATGAATATTTCACCTGAGAAACTGGTTAAGGTTGGTTTTTGTTTCATTGAAAATGTGAAGTGCAATGGTTTAGAGGTACAAGTTGAGTATCCCTAATCTGAAAATCTGAAAACAATTTAAATGCTCCAAAATTTGAAACTTTTTGAGTGCTGACCTGACAACTCAAAGGAAATGCTCACGGGGGCATTTTGGATTTTCAGACTAGGGCTGCTCAACAGATACGAGGCAAATATTCCAAAATCCAGAAAAGTCTGAAATCTGAAACAGTTCTGGTCCCCAGGCATGTCAGATGAGGGATATTCAACTTGGATCACCTGTTTCCCTCATGACTGACTTTTGCCTTCTGACCATTCTTCAGGTACAGGGGAAAGCTGAACCTGGGCTTGTTCTCCACCATCTCTTAGCTGTAAAGGCAGAAAATTTCCTAAGTGATGCCTGGGACTCTGGGAGCACTTTTGCTCCCTACTCAAACTGAAATCGATTTTCCATCACTGCGTCATTCTGCGTCTGGAAGGGGAGGTTGTGGCCTGCCCTCGGGGAGCCAAATCTCACTGAGGAGACCTGATGGGAACATAGCTGGTGAATACCAACATAGGATTTAAATGAGATGAAGCTAGTGCCTGAAAATGTTATTAATAGGTAACTAATAACGTGTGAGGTAAGTCAGAGGAGGATGAAATGACTACAGAATAAAGTGATCAGGGACTGTGAATCAACTGCTTCCTTAAACACTACTACTAAATTCAGTAAAGGGAGAGAGCAAATCACCAACCAATCACCTATCATGAAGAGAGTTTACCTGCACTTGACCAGCCTCTACTGAATGGGCACTCAGTGGAGACAGAACATGTGGCCCTTAGCATGCTCTCTAGGAACTTTGCAAAGCAATGTACAAATGAGCCCAAATTAATAGAAACGCTATGGCTGCAACTGAATTGTAAAACTCAGGAAGCAAATATAAAGGTTTCCAGAATAATAAACTTTCAATCACGGATAGTTCAGTCTAGTTCCCGTGTCTGCTAAATAAATGGGCTAGTGCACATGGATGAGTGAGAAGCATGAATTTGATTTTCTAGAATTGTTAATGAAGTTTAGTTGAATACTCTTTCAAATCCTGGCCTGCTACAAAGATGACTGACATTGTTCAACTGTCCACGAATCCGCCTCATTTAAGTGACTGCACTTAAACCACAGGACTCATAATGGGGTCTTCCCCCTTGTTGTGTACAATCTGTACTTTCAAAATAGAAGAAATGGGGCAACTTAACACTATACTCAATGTTAAATAGGTTCTCTTATTTTTCCAACTTATATCTGAAAGTTGCAAATTTTTCTTATATAAAGTAATTGTTCCTTATTTTATTTTTTTTCATTTTTTACTTCTTTTTGAGTTAGGGTCTCGCTCTGTCACCCTGGCTGGAGTGCAGTGGTACGATCATGGCTCACTGCAGCCTCTACCTCCTGGGCTCAAGTGATCCTCCCACTTCAGCCTCGCAAGTACCTGGGACTACAGGCACATGCCACCATGCCTAATTTTTTTGATTTTTTTGTAGAGACAGGGTCTCATTATGTTGCCCAGGCTAGTCTTGAACTCCTGGGCTCAAGAGATGCTCCTGCCTTGGCCTTCTAAACTTCTGGGATTATAGGCATGAGCCACCATGCCCGGCCTATTCCTCATTTTAGTTCTCCTATCTACACAAGGTTTTTTAATATTTCTGGTATTGTAACAAGCTGTGGGTTAGAAAGGAAAACATTAGGTAGCTTAGACATTAGATTTCTTTCACTTGAGGATCAAGTCTACTTAGGAATATTTTAGCTTTGTATCTGGTGTTCTAACACTATTAGTAGTAGACTAATACTATTTGGTGTTTGAAATATGAAGAAACAAGATCTTTATATTCCAGTTCTGTTCCCAAGTACCTTTGTTCTGTGTATGAATTCAGTATGAATTAAAATAAAATAGAAAAAGACTCCAGCCTGTTTACCTTGACCTCTTCTAATCTATAATCAGGAGGAATTGTTTCTTCTTTTTCACCAAGCTTTTCACGGTCTTCTTCTTTGGCCTTCTCCTGAGAAAAATTATACCATTTTCATTGTTAGCATGTTTTTTTCTCTCCATAAAATTCATGCCTGAGTGACTAGATTTGAGGTAAACAAATCTATCATTAGGTTAGGAAGTACATATGACCGTATGCTTAGTGCTCCTACAGCAACTTCATCTGGCAGACTCAGGCACCAGCAGAAAGCCTGCTGGGATGCAAGACAGCTGTGAGGAGCAGCAGGCAGCTGCCCCTTCCTTCCCAAGTCCCAGCAATGTCAATGCAGGTGGGCAAAGATGAGACTCAGAGGCCTCCGGTCTGTGCATGTCGACCATCCACTGTGGGGGTTCAACACTGCAGCTTATTCAGGTTTAGCTTATTAAACAGGATATGCACAATAATAGAAAAAGCCAGCTGGTCATGTTTTACAGGAAATATAAAAAACAAAACAAATGACTAACTTATTTGCAGGGGGAGAAGGTGATCAATGATATTTATTTTCCAGAAGCATCTCAGTTGCCATTACCTTGACTTTATCCATCACAGGTTTTCCATCTTCTGGATCTGCTTCCTTTTTCCCCAGGCTATCAGCCAAGGCTTCTACAGCATCATCTGGCACTGTGCCCTTCTGAAAGTGCATTAGTGGATATATTAAGTAGGTGGTTAATCACTCCCTTTAAAACATATGCTATCAATTCAGAAAGGCATATCATTATTTCAGATAAAAGGCACACGCTATCTTTTAATAACTCGAGTTATCAACTGAATTAGAATCTATGTTTAAAAAACAAAACGTTTAACATTCGAGCAAATTTCTTATATTAAACATTGTGTGCAAATTATATGTTGATAATGTGAAACTTACGAGACCTGACCCAGAGTTGGTTTAGAAATAAGAAAGACAATGGACTGAGGTGTATCACAGATAAGTTGCATACCAGGAAAAAAGAAAGACGTGGTCTTTATGGAGATCATTCCATAGACGGCACAGGAAAGATTTTCAGAGAGCCCACAAGAGGCCATTCCTCTCCATTTCCTGTGGGACAGCCTGGCTTGTCTCAGAAGAGGAGGCTCGGAAGCCTGTTTTCTCCACAGGGCTTCTACTGACCAAAGGAGTTTCAGGGCTGGTTCTGATGACTCTGCCTGTGACCAACTAACCTGAATGGCACAGTGAGAACTGTCTACCTGTGGTCCGATTGTTCAAAATGAAATGTACTCCCCCAAATGTAATGAACTCTGGCCATGCTGGTATTTAAAATCACACTGGTGAACACAGAGGACGAATGGTGTCAAGGGAAAATAAAGGGAATCGTCTGTACATTAGTAGGTCATAAGAATCAACTTAATGGTTCATGGCCAGGACTTTTCTTTTTTAATGAAGAGAACAGGACCAGGCACAGTGGCTCACACCTGTAATCCATCACAGCATTTTGGGAGGCCAAGGCAGGAAGATTGTTTGAGCTCAGGAGTTTGAGACCAGCCGGGGCAACACAGTGAGATCCCATCTTTACAAAAAGTTTTTAAAAATTAGCCAGGCATGATGGTGCATGCCTGTAGTCCCATCTCCTCAAGAGGCTGAGGTGGGAGGATTGCTTGACCTCAGGAGGTTGAGGTTGCAGTGAGCCGAGATCATGCCATTGCAGTCCAACCTGGATGACAGAACGAGACTCTGCCTCAAAAAAAAAAAAATGTAAGAGTGTGTGTGTGTGTGTGTGTGTGTGTGTGTATAAAATGCATCATACATAGAAGGGATAAATACTATTCTTTAAACTGTTGCTTCCAGTGTATGGGGATGGGGTTGCAATATCAATGAATTTCCCACTGTTGGTCTTGGTCAAACAAAAATGTAAAAGGCCTTGGGTCAAACAATCTCAGAGTTTAATCTTATTATTAAAATCTCTGACCTCACAATGAGCACCTATTAAAATTTTAGAGTAAAACTGTATTTCTGTTTTATATTTTAGCCATGATTTCAAGTAAGAAAAGCTGTTTTTCTGATAAACTGCACTGCAAAAGGAAAGATCACCAAAGAAAAGTGATTTAGCACCACCTAGTGGCTGAATACTGCATGGGTTTTATTCCCAAGAGCTACCAAAAAAAAAAAAAAAAAAAAAAAAAAAAAAAATCCCTGAGGTTATCCCTGAGGTTTCTAACCTGTTTGGGATTATACCTAAATTAAGTATTAAGTATTAAGAGTTGCAACACTCTAATCAAGGATATCAAGAGTTGCACTGGTACCCAAGTCTTATGCAAGCAATGTGAGTTGCTACATGATTTAAGACACCTGCTCACACTACAATTCTGTTTTCTCATACTCTATGCTACAGAATCTTTGGAAACCACTGCTTCCCCAAACCTGTGCCCTTTGCCAACCTCTTGCTTAAGAAATTACTGAAACAGTTAAAGAAAACCTAGGAGAAGAAGCAGACTTAAGAACAAAGGAATCTGGAAACAGGAGTAAGGACTAAAACTTCTATTTCTGTAGTATTTGATATTATCAAATTCACAACTACAACTCAGGTCTCTGGGTTTCCTTAATAAATTTTCTTTTATACACACAAGAACCACCTAGGGAACGCATTCATCTCCTTCCTCTGGTCTGTCTTCCTTTACTCTCTAATCTTCATGCCTTTCTTGAGTCCTCTGACCTTTATTACACTCTACAGCTATTCTTTCTGGCGTTCGAGGGTGTCACAATCCCAGAAATGCCAACTGCCTCAGTGACAGTAACCTGGGCAACCATGGCCAGAGTTGGTGGGGTTAAGGCCCTGGAAAGGAGGACGGGGAAAGGGAAAACAAGAGCTTTTTGTTTTGTTCTGGTTTGTCTGCTTTCTAACAATCCAATGCTCAGCTCTACAGTCAGGGTAAAGTTGAAAAGGAATTGAGCCCTCTAAAGCCCGGGCAGTCACACTTGGCAGATGAGGCAGGTGGTGCAGGTGCAGGTTTTGGTTACAAGAGTTCTACTGGGGAATGCTGGCTATTGTTGTTTTGACTCCAATCACAGCCTCTTTGCCTGCTTTCTTCACCAGAGTCCTCCTAGAGTCCCTCCTCCTCTCCGGTTCTTTACCACTGTGGCCTAGCACACATGCTGTAAAAAGTACCTGAAGAGTACCCTGAAACCCCAAAAAACTGGGGAGGGCTCATATCCACACTAGTCTTGAAGACAGCTGAGAGCAGGGGCCATATCTTTCATCTCAACTGAGGCTCTGAAATATCAAGTGGATCAAGGTCAACTCAAAGCCTCATTTCCCTTATCTATTACAGGAAGATGATCAGGACAGACTTCATAGTGTCCTTGTGAAAATTTAATGAGAAGACATTGCAAAACATCTAGAGCAATGGCACAGCAGATGATGAAAGGTAGGTGTTCAGAGGGAAGATGTGCTAATTCTGTAGTAATGAAATACAATTGAAATATAATTCCATCAGATGTTATTCCCTGAGTCAAATTCAATCATTAACTAATGGAAAAAAAACACTAAAATCAAAAGGAAACAAAGATTCACCTTCTTAAATATCATACTTCATGTGAAAATTAGAAAGTGAGAGAGAAGCACGAAAAGAAGAAGGAAAGAGAAAGAAATTGAGTCAGTTTCACCTCCTGCAGTGGGAAGAGTGGGGAGGAATCATAATGATTTTACTGCATGTTATTCTACCAGGAAAGTCAGTAAAAAAGTAACTTTGGGCTTTCGGTGGAAATCCATATAGGCTTAAAAGATGCAGAGAAGTGAAAAGGCAGGATTATCCACAATAGCTGAGGAACTAGAATTTCAGAAGAGTAGAGAAAAATACAGTTGGGAGTAATTTAATTAAAAATTTAAATCTTAGTCTGAATTTCTACGACACCCCTGAAGCCCAAAGAAACAACAGATACTATAATGATATCAGATTTTATTTTTAATTTGTCAGGATAAGATAAAATGATGGTAATACACAGCAGAGAGTGACAGGAGGAGGCAGAAAACTTTCTCAAGCCACTGCTCAAATGCCCAGGGAGTCACTCACCAAGGTAGCCGGCTCAGGGGGTGCTGACTGTATACTACACATGGAGGTCCGACACACAGCCTCCGACACAGGAGCTGGAGCAGCGGCCTTAGATTCCTGAGGAAAGACACAAGTACTCTCAATAAGTTTAGAAATATTTGGTTAATAAGACTGAGTAATGGTAGACCAACAAGACACTCCGCTACATTATATGGTGTGAACATGATTCTCTTGAATACCTAAGGATTGCTAAATAGTAAATAAGTCAAAGCATGCTAAAACTCTTCAGCTGCCATTTTTTTCAACTTGGTTTTACTTCTCACCTTAGGCAGGTTACTGAAACTCGTGAAACTGAGTTTCCACATGTGTAAAATGAGAACAATGACAGTATCCACATCTGAAGGGTTGGTAAGAGGCCTATATAAGACAATGCAGGCAAAGTGCTATGCATAGTACCTGGGAACACAGTTAGCTCAATACATTTGAGCAATTATTGCTATTATTTCTATTATTTATTTGTCATTATGTATAACAAATATGCCTATTATGTAATATAGCATTATGTAAAATATTGTATTTATATAAACCTAAGAGCACTTTATATACAGCTATGTAGGAATGGAAGGTAGTAGTAATAAGCCACAAGTTTTGGAAGTGTAATCCCTGAACTAACAGCCTCAGCACCATAAGGGAACCTAGAAATGCGGATTCTTAGACCCCTGCCCCATGTACTAAGAAACTTTGGGGGTAGAGTCTAGCAGCCTGTGTTTAAAAAAAAACTCTCCAGATGATCCTGATGCATGCTAAAGTTTGAGAACCACTGTCCCATCTTATTTTATCACAAGAATAAAGTTTCAAGGCTGGGTGTGGTGGCTCATGCCTGTGATCCCAGCACTTTGGGAGGCCAAGGAGGGTGGATCACTGGAGTCCAGGAGTTTGAATCAGCCTGGGCAACATGGCCAAACCCCAGCTCTGCAGAAAATACAAAAATTAGCCAGGCATGGTGGCATGCACCTGTAGTCTCAGCTACTCAGGAGGCTGAGGCGAGAGAATTGCTTGGGCCTGGAAGATTGAGGCTGGAGTGAGCCAAGACTGTGCCACTACACTCCCAGCTGGGAGAGAGAGTGAGACCCTATCTCAAGAAAAAACAAAACAAAACAAACAAACAAAAAGAACAGAAGCAAACCTTTAAACAAATTGTTTTAAATCTAGACTTTTATGGAAGCCTATCCTATATGCAAGGTGCTCAGCAGATGGTCATTAATAGGATATGATCTCTTCGTTCAAGGAACTTACTACCCATTTAAACTTGGCATAAATGTTAGAGTTAAAGAGGGACTAAAACAGCTAAACTCTTCTTTGTAACAAAGGCTTTAATAGTGATATATAAAAAAAGAACTACAGATCCTCTGCCATGTTGTGTTCTGCTTAATAAAGGTTGGATGGATATAGCTTAGGGAGGGAAAAGCAGCAGATAAAGCCATATTTCAGCAGAGCCTTGAAAAGATGAGTAAGACTTTAGTTGATCTAGCATTAGAAAGAAAGGTCAATCAAGACAGAGGAACCAAGTGAGAAAAGCCAGGGATGCACACATACTTATTGTTCTGTTTACTGACACAGGGACACAGTTTGGTAGGAAAGAAAACTGGGTCAAGAATATGGTAATAGGAACTTTTTTTTGTAGGGATGGGAAACTCCTGGGGATAGAAGCAGAGGAATGACATAACTACAGACATGCTTGAGAAAGAATGAGTCCGGCGGACATGAAGGAGACTGCAGAAAGGCCACTGCAACCCAGAGGGGAGGGGTGGTGACAGTTCCAATCAGGTCAGTTACAGAAGCTGGGATAAGAAGGAAGGCATGGGTTCCAGAGCTTTCCGAAGGAGTCATTGCAGGACTTCAATTGCAAGAATATCAGGGTTAGGTTGGGGCAGAAAGCACATCCAAAAAGGAAGACAAAAATGACATGGAAAAAACGATGGCATATTGGGCTTTCTAACAGACTGCTTGATGCTAAAACAGTCTGTCTCACAATTTTTTTTTAAGATCACAAACCTCAAAACTAGAGATTTATATGTTTAGAAACATACTTCTGTCTTTTCAGTTGGCTTAGATGGTTTCTCTTTACATTCAGACCGGTCAAAATCTTCTGAAAGTTCATCAATGAGTTCTGATTCACTCCGAGGCTGTAATATAAGAAGTGCTGTATATTACAAGGGGACTCTTTTTTATTTTGTAAAAAAAAAGTTTTCATGGAGCAATTTTTTTCCTGATTAACACATATGAGGCCATACTTAACACCCAAAGCTAATTTATAAAGGGCATATTTTTTCATTTATCAACGTTAAGATAAAATTTTCATGAAACAATTAAGAAATACTAAACACCTCAGGACCAAAGTATTAATGGTTTATTTGGTCAAACATTCCCTTGATGTTTCAGTTTCAGAAGAATTTTGTTCAAATAAAATTGCCTGTTCTCTACAATGAAGATCTGTATAATTTTTTTAAATGTGATTATTATTTTCCTATTTCCTCATGACTTCTCTTCTGAATAAGTCAAAACACGGATGATATACTCCGTTTCTATGATTATGCAGGATTTTGGCAGCAAAGTTCTGCTACCCCTTGTTCTTTCAGGAGAGTGGTATTAGTTTAGGGCATGTGGAGATTGTCACTAACAACAGTAACATGATAGAAGGGCATGTGATTCAGACGCTGGGACTCAGACCAGACAGCCTGAGTTCTAAGTCCTGGGCTTGGCTTGCTATTTTATAGCCCCTTGACCTTGGGCTATTTACATAGGCCCTCTGTGTCTCAATTTCCTCACTGTAAAATGGGAATAATAACAGTACCGTCCTCATTCATTGAGGACTCACAAAGATAATATCCAAAAAGCATTTGGTGCAGTGCCAGGTGCATAGCAAGCGATTAATAAATGTTGCTGATTGTATGTGACAGGTTACTACCAACTTAAGGCAAAATAGAATCATTAGAGAATTTGATCAGGATGGAACTCTAAGTGCTAGCTTAATCTGACTTAAGGGCCCTCTTGACATCAGTTTCTAGTGTGCAATAAATTTTACCTAGAAATTTATAGTCTAGTAATGATTTATGAGGAAGATCATCTTTAAAATATATGGAAAGGAGCTACAGGTATCAGCCAAGTGTTACCATCAGAAGTTCCCCTTTCCTCTGTACTAGGTTAGCATGCAAGTCTGCACAGTGAATTCCAGACTGTCAAAATTATCTTAATTCATACTTTACATGTCTATTGTTCTTTAAGTATCAGAAAAAAATGTATTTCCTAACCTTGGGTTTTTCTTCAGGCTCTGGCAATAGTGGTTTTCCATCTTTATCCTGTAAATGAAATTAAAATTCATTGGAAATGAAATAGAAAATTTTGCTTTCATGTCCCATCAAGTTTGTTTCTGGGAATTCCAGGATATGAAATGTCAGCTAATTTTTTTCTTAGATTTACATGAGTTTGTGTTTCAGATTTACTTTTTATAAAGTATAAAAAAAGGAGTTGAGCTATAAAAATCGAGATGTTACCAAGCAGAATGCACATTTACTTTAAGTTATTAAAAATGTTTTTAATCTGTTGGGTAGAGTAATAGGAAAAAAAAGTTCTTTGGCAATAAAGATGTAGCTATGTTAATCGAAGCTTTTAAAAAACCCCAATTCTCCAACCTAGAGTGAAGAGGTGGATATCATTCCTATAACACTGTTTAGTTTTTTTGGATATGAGGTTTCATAACTTAGAATTGTAACTATATTCCAACATGTGTTTATATGCATGATTTCAAAAGTAAATGACAAATGTAATGACAGGAGTTAGTCTACCATCCTCACCATAATCAAAAACAACAGCAACAAAACCACCTTCACTTAGGATACTGGTAAACCCTCGTGCATTCATATCTACCCCTCAGAAGACCTATGGTGCTTTTATCCATATAGCAGTTAGAAAAGAAATTATCCCCAAATTGTTCCTTCTGAGTTTTGGGATCTATTGTAAGAACTGTTAATAAACGAAACATTTAAATCTGTGGGAATTTAAATGAACACATGGTCACTACTTAGGAAGCCAGGCAGGGACAAACCATCCCTCAAGGGGTCTAACTGTAGGGAGCAGAGAAAAAAAGGTTCAGGGTTTTCAGAGTTAATATCTGAATGGGGGACAGACATGTCCTTTGACAATGTCAAGGGTACAGATACAACAAAACAAGATGCAAAGGCAAGATGCTGTTGTCATGCACTGTGGCTAAAAATTTACCGTGGCTGGTTTTAATCTGTACTCAGATGGGATTGTTTCATCATCCTCACCACACTTCTCTAGTTTTTCTTCTTTAGCTTTTGCCTGATGAAAATGGAGGGGAAAAAAAAAGTAGTTGGATAATGCACATAATGAGATGATATCACTTCCTCTGTGTACTTCTCGAGTGTTATAGAGAAGACCAAATCTGGTAAAAGCATCTGGAAGAGCCTTGTAAACTACAAAGCACAAGACGATGGTGGGCAGCTGTGAGAAAGGGAGCAGTGGGTGACTGAGCAAAAGTAGCCCAGCCAGGGATCCTGGGCAACTGCCCTGTTCTGCTCCCAGCTGCTGTGACCTTGGGAAGCCACTTAGCCTTTATTTGGTCCAGTTTCTTCAGCTGTAAAATGTGGCTACTAATAACCCTTATCTAGCTCACTGACTTGTGAAGATCACCAGAGAAAAGTAAATAAAAGATCCTTTGAAGACAGTAAGCACAGTGCAGCAGTTAGTTGCAATTATTTTAATGGCCTTCATCTGTCTTACTCAACGAGGCAGCTGTCTAAGGAAGGGAGAGGAAACACGACTAATTTTCACATTAAACCCAGTTCAGATATGGGAGAAGCGGCCCATCACAAATCTTGGCTGATCCATGGATAACTTGTTTTACCTCTTTTAAAAGGACTCTCTTCAATAATGCCAGGACTTCTCTAGCTTACTGAACCATGAACAACTAGCTGCATTACAAATAAAAGCATAGTTCTATAGTAGATCACTGACTGCTAGGACACAACACTTGCAATTTAACCTGCTGGTGGGTAGTGTGAAGTTCCATAATATGTAAGAATTTGTACCTATATAAAGGTGTGGATTTAATTTACTAACCAAGGTAGGAGGTTCACTTGGCATATTCCAACCCAACCCACGGCCCCCATCTGCATCTTAGCCTAAGAGTGTGGTTCTTAAACAATTGTAATTAGTAACATTTAAACAGGATACGCACAATAATAGAGAAAGTCAGCTGGTCATGTTTTACAGGAAATATAAAAAACAAAACAAATGAAAACATTTAAACATTAAATGTAACTAAACCCACTGATTGGTTAGTTGATTAATTACTACTTATTGAGCACTTTTAATGGACCAGGCACTGTTCTATGCTTTGGGATTAGTTTCACTGTTTTATAGAGAAGCTCTCATTAAAGGATGAAGTCATGGTTTTCTTTTAAACATTTCCAGTCACGCTCTATTTCGGCATCTGGAGAAATCCTGTCATGGAGCAGCACTCCCCAGGTCAAGGCACAGCGGCCTTCATGAACATCCAGGGTCACCTGTATTAAGACGGTCCTCCCCACTAATCTCAGGCTGTGGACAGTGAAAGTTACACATGCGGCCAGAGCTTTTATTTTCCTCTTTGATCTTTATAGTCTTGAAATGCCTGCTCTGGTTTGTATACAGTAGGCATCGAAAAAAAAGAGCCTACTGAATTGAAATGGCACTAGACTAGGCAGCCACACCTAAAAATGTGGGAGACTTATAATGGGCTATCATTAGAGAATAAAAAACTTTTATTTTATGTTATGGTAGATGATGGGAATACCAAGTAGGCATGGGTTTCCTCTCTGGAGTATTGTGTGGTTTTCCACAGATAGCTCTCTATTCTGGGGTATGCTGGGGTGGCAGTGGACACTCCTACAGGCTGACAGTGACCTTCCTGAGCCTTCTCATCACATCAGACTATCTAGGATGTAAAGGACCCACTAAGTCGGGTACTAAGAATTCAGGTTAATAATCTAGAGGACTGAAAGATCCTCTTTAGAAACATTCATACTTTGTATATGATTAAAAAGGAAAACTAGTGATATGCTTTGGCTGTGTCCCCACCCAAATCTCATCTTGAATTGTAGCTCCCATAATTCCCACGTGTCGTGGGAGGGACCCAGTGGGAGGTAATTGAATCATGGGGGCGGAGCTCTCCTGTACTGTTCTCATGATAGTGAATAATTCTCACTAGATCTGATGGTTTTATAAAGGGGAGTTCCCCTGCACATGCTCTTTTACTTTCCTCCATGTAAGACGTGACTTTGCTCCTCATTCACTTTCCACCGTAATTATGAGGCCTCCCTAGCCATGAGGAACTGTGAGTCAATTAAACTTCTTTCCTTTATACATTACCCAGTCTCTGGTATGTCTTTATTAGCAGCATGAGAACAGACTAATACAACTATTATGTCATAAGAGTGGAAAAGAGGAGTTCTTTTTGCTGGAATTTTAGTTTGCTGCGACTCTGAAGTTTTCTAGAGGGAACTTAATACATTCATATGCATTCCCAAACTAGTTACCCACATGTTTAAATAACTTATTTTATGTCACTTTTTTTCTTAACATCTGCTTATCTGCTTTTAGTCACTTTTAAGACTCCTTTGATCCTGAGGTTTATGACATGTTTATACCCTCCCTTCCCACATTAATTGTCTCTCCTTAAGTGTCTGTAAGAAGCTTGGGGCAGAAGTGCAATATACTTGTGGCCCTGTCGCCCTCAGGTGGTAAAGCCACAACTCAGCTTGGCCTCCTGACTCCCCCCAGGATTCTGCCAACACCCCGCTTTCCTCAAGATGACACTGCTTCTGTCGGCTACTCTAAGTAATGTATATCTCACATTGTGTTGTAATCAAGTTTCCCTTCTTCCCAATACATTACTTGGTCCTGGAAGATACGAACTGCTTCTCTTGCTCCTCTGCGTTCACCGTCACAAAGCTTATCGTGCCACACTGTGGCCGGTGAGCCCTCCAAGAAAGTCGAAGATAGAAACTGGCCCATCTTAGGCCAGGGCAGTCCCAGACTCAAGGATTGTTGCTGGAAGTCAGGGAGACTCCCCTTCCCTGATGACTCAGAACAGGAAGTGACAGCAGAGATGGGGCATTGTGACAGCAATGCCTGCCAGCACCCCCAGCCTGAGCTGATGGAGGTGGGGCGGGCTCCTGGGGATCCCAGGCTACCTTTCCATCTCCCCACAACACTGCCTTGTCAGGAACCGGCAACTCTCTCCTTTCCTTCCTCTTTCACCCCAGAGGACTGAGTTGAAAAATTCCACAAAAATTATAATTTAATATTAAAACTTTCGTACACCAGATGTAAGCTTGTTTTGGTTCAGAAGGCTTGTTAAGATCTTGGAGTGTGGCGGGATAAACACTCATCAGCATTATTCTATAAATATGCAGGAGCTCTAGTTAGGGTAATTGTTGCTTGATTTTAATTTGAGACAAAATTTTCAACATCTTTCCCCATAGTGATAAATGAAGGATCTTCCCACTCCGTGTATAGACATCTCCTTCTCTTATAAACAGAAGCACCCAGAACCCTTCTGAAAATACAAATTTCCAATTGCCAAACTTCACTATTTCCCACCAGGCATTGCCTCCTTGTTACCTTGTTTAGTCAAGGGTCATTTAAGCTCTAGCAAGGGAGATTCGTGTTCATTTCAAATGTTAAAATTCTAGCTGTTTCACAAGTCAGTCATGTAACTATCCCCCTTAGTTGCTAACCACTCAGCAATAAATAAGGCACAATGAAGAATGCTCACTTTTACTCTCCAATAAAAGTTGTGCGAGAATTCTAAACATGCAGAGTGCATTCGGTTTTGTAATGTGCAGACTAACAAGCTTTGTAAATCAACTCTAAGGTCAGTACCTCATCGACTTCCTTAATTGAGCGGAGGTCGAGCTCAGGTTCTGCTTGCCGGGTGCCCAGTGAAGCCGACAGAGCCTCGAGTGCTTGATCACTCATTGTATCCTGTTAAAAGTAAAAAATCCTGTGCATGAAAAAAGACATCTCTGGAGCCCGAACAATCCATTTACTTCTTTGTAAAATACATTTTAGATTATAAACTGAATATGGATTGGGGAAGTGCTCTAGAAAGGCAATTTTATTTGAAACCTTGCAAAAGAGAGAAAGGAAAAAGAACTTACCAATGAGTGGAAATTGGGGCTAAGACACGTTTCTACAGTAACAGCGTTCTCTGGGGCACACTTCACCCCTTATTTGGTAAGCTAGACATAAAGCTATAGTAATATTACTATAAAATACTCTAAACAAACAAAAAAAAAAGAAGCAAGTAGTAAACTGTTACCACACTATTTTTCTTTTTCTAAAAATGTATCTCTAAAAAGGCTTCTGACAACCTAAGCTTAGGAAGCAGGGAAGCTTGAAGTGGCCCCTGCTGCCTTCTTCTCTGAAGGCACAATGGCTGATCGTTGTAGGAACTCCCACTCTCAGGGGTGTGGTACTCACCACTGTTCCCCAGCCTGCCAGATAAAAATAAACTGTCCACTCCAGGAGGGGAGAGGCACAAGCTGCTCTGATAGAAACCGTTCCTGAGCATTATCTTGACTGTTTGCAGAGGAGACATGTGTTCCCAGCCAGCACAGAGCTGCAGGATTGCCTTTTGCGATTTGTGAGAATTATGTCATAGTGAAATATAGTTGAGAATGCTGGGCAGTACCAGCTACTTGGTGTCCCTCTAGTGATCCTCAGGGCTCAAAGTCCTTTATACAATCAAACTTGAAGGTTTTATGTTCCAAGAGTGCAATTTCTCTGGTTTCTGCCCTTCTGTGTATCATAATGGTGAGATGGTCTTAGATGATGACTGAGACAACTGTGCTAAAATCATTCACAAGCAGTTACAGAAACACACAAGGCTTGCCTGGAGATGATCAACATAACCCTCATTGGCTTCACTATTCCACATAGACCTGAGAGGGAAAAAATCATGGCTTCTCATCATGGGTTATGTGCTACTGGCAGTTTCCTGAATGAGCTAGATCAGGCTCTGGAAAGCAACTGCTGTCAGGTAGACTGTGACTATACCTTCTCCACCTTTCTTTTCTTCTCTTGGGGTGGAGCAGCACTTCTGACTGTCCCTGCTGACTGAGCTTTTAAAACTTCTGTAGATTCCTGAAAAACAAAATACAAAAGATTAGACTTACAGATGAGGAAAGTTTAACTGTAATAGCCTGAACTAAAAAGTTATTCTTTTAAAGTTCAAAATAGTTCCTAACAAGTTTCCCTTAACAACACTAAAAACAATACCTCTTTTTCAGTTTTCTTTCCAGCAGCTGTAGGCGACCCACAGGTGAAGTCAGATGACAAGGCGTCTATAGCATCATCTGGCCCTATGGGTTTCTAAAGAAACAGGCACAGTGATGGGTAACTTACGGGAAGCACTCAAGTGGAAGAATGGATCATAAACCTAGCAAATGAAGAATGCACTTTTCCAATTCCCTTGCTACCAAATGAGGTGTGTTAATGAAACAACTTAGATCAAAGTGTATGTTTTGAAGAGAGTGGCTACTCATTGAGTATTATTTTCCACTTCCCCCTTTCAAAAGGAGTTACATTCTCATTCTATTATTATGAACATGCATAATATTCTATCCTAATACTTTCTCGCCTTCTTTCTCCTTTCCCTCAAAAAACCTACTTATGAGACTCAGGAGCACTGAGACAACCCTCCCACCAACCCCTTTCTCTGAACACACAGAAACTCCATTTGATTTGGAGATGAGTTAAGTCATAATCCTCAAATATAGAATTGATAGCCCTGTTCCCCCAGCCAAAAATATAAAACTATTAATTTAGATCAGAAGACATGTATGTAAACTCACCGAAGAGTCTGCAGGAGGCCCTGTGATCCCTTCCTTTTTCTGAAACAAATATTAATTTGATGATGTTGAGAAGGTAGAATTAATCCTTAAGATCGGCAAAATGTATTGCCCGTTGTGGGTTGAATTGTGCCTCCCACCCCAGATCTATATGTTCAAGTCTTAACCCCAGTACCTCAAAACGAGACCTGATTTTGAGATAGGTTCCTTATAGAATCAAGTAAAGGTGAGGTCATTAGGGTGGGCCCTACTCCAATATGATGCGCGTCCTTATAAAAAGGGGAAATTTGGACCCAGAGATATGCATAGAAGCACAGAAGGAAGACGGTGTGTAGAGACACGGGAAGAAGACGGCCATCTATAAGCCAAGAATAGGCCTCAAAGATACCTTTCCCTCACAGCCCTCAGAAGGAACCAGCACTGCTGACACCTTGATTCTAGACTTCCAGCCTCCAGAACTGTGAGACAATCAATCTCTTGTTTATGCCCCGATCTGTGGTACTTTCTTAACAGCAGCCCCAGCCAACCAATGCAGCGAGCTTCATAGTAATGACAATTTCACAAGCACCATTATATTTTCTAACTTCTAAACACTGTAAAAATATTGACATGAAATTATTTTCTAAAGAGGAAACAGTGAAATAAAAGTAAATGATTATTTAACTTACAGCCAATAGTTCCCTATATTTTGGAGGAATTGTGACTTCTCTTTTACCCAATTCCTCTATGTAGGTGGAACTCATTGGATCCTGGAACAAAATCATACACATAGGGATATTATATAATTAATTACCTGACAATGCTATATGCATATTCTGAAACTAAAGCACTATTCCATTATTAATTTATGGAAGTACTGAGATGAACGATAAATCATTAAGAAGCCAACACTTTATACAACTACATTTCTAAGTTTACACAAATACCCATATTTAATTGGCTTAACTCATATGTAATGCTAGAAAATATTCAAAATACTAAAGTTGACTTCTAAATACATTTTGTTTTCAAATGTTTTCATTATCTAAGGTTTCTAACCAATACAAAAGAGCAGTTAATAAGATAATGAGTTTATGTATAACCCAATACCCAACTCTATCAGCTTTGTCATTTCTAAGAAAACAAAATCATAGAGTGGATGTCTCCTGTTTAGCATTCTCAAACCTAATTCCCTTTCCCTGTTAATCAGAAATAGCCACCATTCTGAACTTTAGCATATCAATTTAAAGTTATTTTAGAACATTTTTTACATATGTAGGTAACCATAAACAACGTCCAGCATTACTTTGCATATTTTCCAATGTTATATAAATGGTATCATATTCTACATATCATTCTGCATTTTTTATTCAAAATTATGTTTTTGTAATGTATCCATGTTGATACATGAATAATCCATTTTAACCACTATAAAGCACTGAATTTTATTATCCTGTCCTCTATTGAACAAAATTGTTTCCAAACATTTCACCAGTTCTTATAACTCCTTGCACACATGGGCAAGGCTCCCTCCTGGCAATCTCTCTACAGGTGGACTTCCTGGTTGAAGGGAATGTTCATCATGAACACCCACCAGCTATAGGAAAACTATAGGAATTGTCAGACTTTCACGCTTTTGCTAATCTGATAAATGCAAAGCAGTGTTTCTTCTGTGTTTTAGTATCATTATCCTAATTACTAAGGAGAGTTTCATTTTACTTGCTTATTGGTCAGTCAAGTTTTCTCTCGATTTTCTATTGGGTTGTCTTTTTCTGTTTTTTATTCTTTATAAATTCTAGAAACAAACCCTTTGTTATGTCTGTTGCAAATATTTTTGTCTAGCCTATGGCGTGTCTTTTTTTTTTTTTTTTTGAGATGGAGTCTCATCCATGTTGCCCAGGCTGGAGTGCAATGGCATGATCCCAGCTAACTGCAACCACTGCCTCCCGGGTTCAAGCAGTTCTCCTGCCTCAGCCTCCTGAGTAGCTGGGATTACAGCCATGCGCCAACATTCCTGACTAATTTTTTTGTATTTTTAGTAGAGACAGGGTTTCACCATGTTGGCTAGGCTGGTCTTGAACTCCTGACCTCAGATGATCCGCCTGCCTCGGCCTCCCAAAGTGCTGGGATTACAGGTGTGAGCCACCATGCCTGGCTGGCATGTCTTTTTTTTAATACCAAGGAAAATATAATTTTAGGAATTAGGAATAGGGATAAACTGAGGGTGGTAAATATCGAGAAATCAAAACAAGTTCTAGTCCATTATACTTAAATCTTGAGGATGGAAAATAAGTGTGTGACCCAGTGGACCGTGTCCCAGTGTCAATCTTAGCACAACAACAAATGTTTGCTAACTCAATGTTATAATGCAGCTGCCAAAAGACAATTTCCATCCCCGATACTAATTTTTAGTTGCTGTGTTGATGTTGATACTGACATCATCCTGTTTCTATGCAAATGACAGAACACTAGATACTCTTTTTTTTGAGATGGAGTCTCGCTCTGTCGCCCAAACTGGAGTGCAGTGGTGCGATCTCAGCTCGCTGCAACCTCTGCCTCCTGGGTTCAAGTGATTCTCCTGCCTCAGCTTCCCAAGTAGCTGGGATTACAGGCGTGTACCACCATGCCCAGCTAATTTTTGTATTTTTAGTAAGGACAGGGTTTCACCATGTTGGCCAGGCTGGTCTTGAATGCCTGACTTCAAGAAATCTGCCTGCCTCGGCCTCCCAAAGTGCTGGGATTACAGATGTGAGCCACTGCGCCTGGCCTCACTAGGTATTCTTTTGTACTTCATGACCATGGCCTTATTTGCTCTCCTACCCACTGAGTATGAATTTTTACAGATATCATGATCACATACTGAAACTTCTGGTCCAGTATACGTTGTATTTTCTTCTTCAGTTTCTTCAGGTCCTCCTAAAGTATCTATTAAGTCATCCAAAGCAGCATCCATGCCTGACTGGAAAAGAAAGAACAGATATTTAAATGTTATTTGTTATACATATTTCACCTTTAGTTTAACTACAAAAAAAGCCATTCTGTGTAGAAAAACCACCAAACACCAAAAGTTCTTCAAATAGTTCCCCAAAATAGTTAAAATCTGGTCTTTAACAGACTTTACTATTTAAGTCTCAAAGTACAAATTCTAGGTTGGAAAGATGAAAAGCCACATTCAGGCAAGAAGCACAGTTTCAACAAGTCTACAGGCATTACATACATGAACAAATGTACAAGTTCATTAAAGCTGCCAGTCCGATGCACTGACAGTTAAAAAAGGAAAAACAAAACAAAACAAAACAAAATACAGGGAATTATAACCATGTTGCTCTAAGCGATAAGGGAAATGCTTGGTATTTATTGCTTATCAATACTTTTCCAGAGTTTTAAACAAAGAACCCCTAAAAATCTCTATATAGTACCTATTCCAAATAGAATCTATTTCATGAGGGAAATCACTCTGTATTATTTCATTCATGTTTTTTTTTGTTGTTGTTCACTTGCTTGCCTGAAGAGGTTTACAAAACAGAAATTACCTGAGACATTAAACTTACAAGAACTCACAAGTTTACTCTGCCAATATGGGCTTAAATCAGTATAACTGATATGGTTTGGCTCATGTCTCCACCCAAGTCTCAACTCCAATTGTAATCCCCATGTGTCAAGGGAGGGACCTATAATCCCCACGTGTCGAGGAAGGGAGGTGACTGGATCATTGGGGCGATTTTCATGCTGTTCTCATGATAGTGAGTGAGTTCTCATGAGATTGGATGGTTTTATAAGTGTTTGACTGTTCCTCCTTCACATGCTCTCTCTCCTGCTGCCTTGTGAAGAAAGTGTCTGATTCCCTTTCCAGCATGATTGTAAGTTTCCTGAGGCCTCCCCAGCCACACAGAAATGTGAGTCAATTAAACCTCTTTTCTTTATAAATTACCCAGTCTCAGGGAAGTTCTTTATAACAGTGTAAACATGGACTAATATAATAATAAATAAGAGTGCTTCTATCTATTTTTTATGTTGATGACTCGTTATGAACAATAACCTGCATTGAAAGGAGAAAACAACAATCTAGGAAAGGACCTTGTATTATTTGATTTAGATGAAAAATAATTATTTAAATTGTCTTTTTTTTTTGCAACTACCATATTCCCATGACAATTTTAGGACTCTCCTGATCATGGATATGTGAAATACAATCTGAAGGCTGTTAGGCTTACACTGATTCTTTTAGGAATTTCAGAAAAAAAGAAGTACCTTACTTCTTTAGTAATACCTCTGGTTAAATAAAGTGTATTTGCAGGAGAGAAACTGGAATGTAAACTCCATGGGATGAAACTGGAGTTTGTTTGTTTTTTTTTAAAAAAGGGGTTATAATAGCAAGTGTTACAAACATGAGTGTGAAAACCATACTTCCAACCCACACTTTCAATATTAGCTTGAAACAATAATTCATTAAAATGGTCCTTTAAATTACCCCCCTCATATTATTTGCCCACAAGAAATCAGATTATGATAAATACAGAGCATATGAGTAACTGTCTCATGTAGAAGGACACTGTTGTCTTCATACCTTTCCCGATGGTTTATCCGGTTTAGATTCAACTGGCACAGCTGGGGTTAATGATTTCTTTTCTTTTTTCTGGTGAGAATTGAGAAATTAACAACTCCTCACATACCTTAATAAAACTCAATACTATTACAAATTTTAAAATAAATTCATTATATTAACAAGCATTGATCATACACTGAACATCCGCTCTACAGCAGAAACTGTGCTGTGTGTTTTATATCCTTTTTCAGAAGGGCTTTAATTATATTAGTCTCATTTAGTGATGGGCAAAGCAAGGCTCAGATTAGGCCACTTTCCTCAGGTTACACAGTAAGGGACAGAATGAAGATTTGAATCCAAGACTGTTTCTTTCCTCGCTGTTCTTCTCCAGGGCCCACAGCCAGTTTTTACAACATCCATGAATTCTTTCTATAGGCTGCCACTTCTGGCTTTGCTCTCTGGCTCTTTGCCCCCACACATCAAGACTTCCATATCCCTCACTTCGGCATCTCAACACCTCCTCTTTCCTTAAAATGAGTTGATCGCTCATCATTGCTTCCATTGCTCTATCAAAGACTGCAAACAACTTTTCAATCTGCAGTTTCCATGCTTTTATCCAGATGTAATCTCTGAAATTTGACCCTTGGAGCATCTCTCCCTCCCCATTGCCACCTTTCGGCACCATTCTGATCCTATTGTGGCATCTATGCCCTTTGTTCTCCATTACCTCTGGCATCTCTTTTACTTTGGTCCCCACTGTATACACTCTGCACATTTCTGCCCTGTGCTGGTGGTCTTATCCAAAATCATTCTCTATGGCCAGAGGCAAATGCTTTCAGAGACTGGCAGAAACTAAATGGGTGAAGTTGTTGGGTTTAAGATAAAAGGGGACCATTTCCCATTTGAAGGTATCCAAACTCAGGGAACAAAGCACAGGAAGAGCACAGGCTCTGACTGCCAAGGTTTGCATAACAGTTGAGACATGCATGGCTGCTTGAGGCTTTAGCAAGTCACTTCTCCTTGGAGATATTAGATAAGTGAATCTATACGAAGTATGAAAACCATTGTTTGGCACATGCTCAGCACTATGTAAGTACTTGCTATGTAATTGTAAGTGCTAAATAAGTGACTGTTACAATTGCAATGCTAGAAACACTGTGGGGGCCACTAGGGTGTGAGCCTGAGTCTGGATAATTGAAACCACTTCCATGATTCAGCCACTACCTCATGCAGATATTCACTCATGTTCTCTCCCCCACCTTCCTCTTCCTTCTCAATGTCTCTCTTCCCCTCCCTCTCTCCCCACTATCTTTCTATTCCATCCACTCTTTCTCTTCCTCTCCCTTTCCTCCTACTTCATTCTTTTCTATTAGAAAACAGTATTTTAATTGTCTTGCTAGACATATTTCTTTGGACACTTCAAACACTTAAATTCAGCTTGTCCAAAATTAGAGACACCTCTTTCCTCCTCAGTTCCTCTGACATCTATCTGTACTCCTGCCAATGGTACCCAGGGAACTTAGGGACTGGACTGCAAGGTGCCCAGCTCACAATTTAAAAAGGCACTCATTCTCAGGTGCCAACTCTGCACTTGCACAAACCTGACAATGAGCACCTTAGGGGCCTCCTTTCCCTTACCGTGTGGCTACCAACCTCCTGCAATCAGACTCAGAAGCACCAGGTTATCTTAGATTTTACTTTGTCTTTGCCCACTTCTGTCAATCATTTCCTAAAACCTGAAGATTTTTGCTCTGCAATTCATCTTGGATAACTCCCCACTTTCTTATTCTATCACAGCTCTAATTTAGGCTAAAATATGACTCATCAGGACTACTGAAACAGTCCCTGACCAACCTTCTACCTTCCTATCTCTATCCCATCCACCTAACTGCAGTCCCTTAATCCTTCTGCAGCTCGGATTCAATTGCATCACCCCATCTGTTCTCTCAGGTTCTCAAAGGCTACCCGCTGTCAGCTGAATCACCACATGTACAAATTCACCTTAGGGTTCTCCACAGCAGTGCTCAACCTGTCTTTCTGGTCTTACAGCCCCACCATTCACTTCCTCTGTGCTTCACCCACGTTGGAATGTACTTTGTGCCCAGAACACATCTTACACTTTTCAACACCTGCAATCCCAGCTATCCTTCCATGCCTAACTGAACTTGGATCTACTCTTCCAAAGCTCTTGTGGATTCCCTGAATTAGATAGAATCCCTTCATTCCTCACCAAATAACACCTTGTGGGGGCCTTTCTTCATCTGATTGAAATACAGCCCCAGGTACATTGTCTTTTCCCCACCCCCTAGACAGGCCAGCCTATAGCTAGTGCATCCTGCAGAACCAACCATGGTACCTTATTTAGTTTTTTATTTTATTTTTTTGAGACAGTGTTTCACTCTTGTTGCCCAGGCTGGAGTGCAACGGTGCGATCTTGGCTCACCGCAACCTCTGCCTCCCGGGTTCAAGCAATTCTCCTGCCTCAGCCTCTTGAGTAGCTGGGATTACAGGCCTGTGCCACCATGCCCAGCTAATTTTTTATTTTTAGTAGAGACGGGGTTTCTCCATGTTGGTCAGGCTGGTCTTGAGCTCCTGACCTCAGGTGATCTGCCTGCCTTATGGTACTTTAAACATGCTATGTACTAAAATAAGAAGGCAAGTCATTAAATCCTATTTAATGGGAGAAGAATCAGAGGCAACGTAAAGTAAAATGACTTGCTGCAAGTTCCAGCACAAGTCAATGCACGGCAGACTTCCACATAAGCCTCTCCTAATTTTATTGTTTAGTTTTCACTTATAACACTGGTTAATTTACATTTAGCTCAAAACTGTAAATTTTGATTACATTTAAAAATCTATTTTAGCGGGCCTAATCCTCTGCCTTAAATCTATCCATTTCCAAACTGAAAACATTGATTACATTTAAAAATCTATTTTAACGTATCTAATCTTCTGCCTTAAATGTATCCATTTTCAAACCATTTCATGTAAGCATTCCTCATTGGTGCAAGAGAGTGCTGTGTCTTCCTGGAGTGAGGCTATGAGTCTCAAGGTAGTATACAAGTGATCTATTGCAAGAAAAAACAATTTTAAGTTTGATATTTTCATTTAAAAGTTTTTGTAAATGTTGCCTTTGCTCCATAGGAGACCTGTATTAATTTGGATAAAATAATGTGCCTTTTCTCCCAAAATCCCAGAAGGAAAAAAATGATGTTTCAGGGAGATGTGCCATACTTTTACCCTAAAACTCATTTTCCCTATGACCTTCTTTACCATTTAGCTGTAGCAGGATATCTGTCCCATTTACAGAAGCAAAAGTATAGATAAATCTATATTACTTTTACATTTTTCATTCCCATCTTCTCATTGTTCCTTCACTTGCTTACTTGTGGCTTCAAATTGATTACATGCTCTCCAAACTGATTACTAATTCTATATTGCTTTTAGGTCTAACGTTTAAGTCTTTAATCCATCTTGAATTGATTTTTGTATAAGGTGTAAGGAAGGGATCCAGTTTCAGCTTTCTACATATGGCTAGCCAGTTTTCCCAGCACCATTTATTAAATAGGGAATCCTTTCCCCATTGCTTGTTTTTCTCAGGTTTGTCAAAGATCAGACGTTAGACCTAAAACCATAAAAACCCTAGAAGAAAACCTAGGCATTACCATTCAGGACATAGGCATGGGCAAGGACTTCATGTCCAAAACACCAAAAGCAATGGCAACAAAAGCCAAAATTGACAAATGGGATCTAATTAAACTAAAGAGCTTCTGCACAGCAAAAGAAACTACCATCAGAGTGAACAGGCAACCTACAAAATGGGAGAAAATTTTCGCAACCTACTCATCTGACAAAGGGCTAATATCCAGAATCTACAATGAACTCAAACAAATTTACAAGAAAAAAACAAACAACCCCATCAAAAAGTGGGCGAAGGACATGAACAGACACTTCTCAAAAGAAGACATTTATGCAGCCAAAAGACACATGAAAAAATGCTCATCATCACTGGCCATCAGAGAAATGCAAATCAAAACCACAATGAGATACCATCTCACACCAGTTAGAATGGCAATCATTCAAAAGTCAGGAAACAACAGGTGCTGGAGAGGATGTGGAGAAATAGGAACACTTTTACACTGTTGGTGGGACTGTAAACTAGTTCAACCCTTGTGGAAGTCAGTGTGGCGATTCCTCAGGGATCTAGAACTAGAAATACCATTTGACCTAGCCATCCCATTACTGGGTATATACCAAAAGGACTATAAATCATGCTGCTATAAAGACACATGCACAAGTATGTTTACTGCGGCATTATTCACAATAGCAAAGACTTCGAACCAACCCAAATGTCCAACAATGACAGAGTGGATTAAGAAAATGTGGCACATATACACCATGGAATACTATGCAGCCATAAAAAATGATGAGTTCATGTCCTTTGTAGGGACATGGATGAAATTGGAAATCATCATTCTCAGTAAACTATCGCAAGAACGAAAAACCAAACACCGCATATTCTCACTCATACGTGGGAATTGAACAATGAGATCACATGGACACAGGAAGGGGAATATCACACTCGGGGGACTGTGGAGGGGTGGGGAGAGGGGGGAGGGATAGCATTGGGAGATATACCTAATGCTAGATGACGAGTTAGTGGGTGCAGCGCACCAGCATGGCACATGTATACATATGTAACTAACCTGCACAATGTGCACATGTACCCTAAAACTTAAAGTATAATGAAAATAAATAAATAAATAAATGCAAAAAAAAAAAAAAAAACCTTAAAGGATAAGGTAAAAAAAAAAATTCTATATTGCTATGGGTAGAAAAGGTAGATAACTTCTCATCTTATATTCCTGGGCAAGTATTGGAAGCAGCTCTTCAAAAAATCTAAGGAAGTTATGCCCACAATCACCCAGCTCAACACATCTACTTCATCCTGAGAGGACTTGAAATATTTCCTTTGAAAACTTCTCATATCCATTCATGTTGATGTCATAGTTGTGATACACTAGTATCAAGACAGCTGGCATCAGCATTGAAAGCTGAAAAAGCCGATTCAAATGCTCCTGGAAATTGTATTTGCTTTATTTCATATCTATACATTTGGAAGGGAGAGTCTGAGTCAACTCACATTTTAATGTCCTTGGTATTGATATCAGTACGTTATATATGGCATGTACTCAGTAAGCAGTTATTGAATATATAAATTTACAAATTATTTTTGGTATCTTGTTCACTCTCTATCCCTTAAATGCATGCTCTTCACAAAATTTTACATATAAGCAGTGTTCAGTTTTGCCAGATGATAGGTTATTTGAGCATACGTTTCTCATAAAAGAAACTTGAGAAGCACAGAGGCCCACGTTTCCGTCTGCTTGTGTGTGCTCACCTTGTCACCCGGCTTGCCAGATATTGCAGTGATACCAGCAACACTCTCTCCACCAGCAGAAATCATGTCTTGTGGTTTAGTCTAAGACAGTGAGGATAAAAGGTTGACAGAGCTAAGTATCTCTGCATGGCTATTATCAAGATCATGAGTTTCAAATGTCACTAACATCTGCCAGTTCACCCTCACGGACACCATAAGGGAATGTTTGCTCACTTCTATTGTACATGGTGCAGTGCTAAGCACCACATAAAGCTGGACTCAAGAGCCTAAAACGTTCACGCAGGTAACTTGCGTAGGTCAATCAGGCTAGGTAAGGATTGTGGTAAACTGGAGCACACATACCAGGTGTAATGGCTCTAGTCAATTGTTGCCACGTGAGCTCACTCTTACTAGATAGTCTGATTTTTCAAGAGAAGTTACAATTTGGGATGTTATGTGAAATGCCCTGACTTTGATTGCTGGCAATTAATTAAAAATAATTTTTTAACAACATTGTAAGCCAAACAAAATATACATGTGGCATTTAAGTGGTAGATCACAAATCTGTGATCTCTGATATAAAATATACTGTGAAGCAGACCTCGTTATTATCTTCCAAGTGCTCTCAATGAAAAAGTATTTCTTGTAGATGTTAATTCTTCTAAAAGGTGGCTGCTATTAACTACAGAAGTATGGAAGCAATTTCTAATTTTTGGCTCTGTAAGTTCAGCTCTTCTACAACACGACCCTAAAAATGCTTTAGGATTTCCATTTAAAGAACCAGATAATTCAGGGCACATATGTTCCCCAGCCCAGGTGTGGGGGGTCCAGGAGGCAGCCTCAATCCAAAGCTGCCTGTCTGGGAGACAGCAGAGCCTGCTGCCCTGCAGTCACAGCTGGTTATTGCTGGGCAGTAGGAGAAGGACGGACAGCGCATCCCCTAGACCAATCTGATGCCCTTCTCAAGCCATCCATGCATCCAAGTTCCTACAAGTCTATTTGAAAAACCAACAAAATAATAATACCAAATCACTATAATACAAAATATATTCAGCACAGCCCCATAGATTGAACTACACACCTCAGTGTGAACAGGGGAACCGTATCTTATTATCCAGTTGATGTTAAGGTTTTCCTATCAATCTGCTTCATTTACCTTTGGTTCTGTTGATTTCTCTGATGGCTGCTGTTCAGCTGATCTGGAAACTGCTTTTTTATTGTGAGCATCGTTACTTCCTGTATCTGATGCCTGCTTGGGTAGGCTTTTTGGCTGAAAGTACACACACAGGTGCCCACACACATATAAAGACATTGTTAACAAGATGGTAGTCTTAAACATAATACTGATACTTTTCTCTATAGAATAAAAATTGTTCATAACAGTTGTGCTGTCTGTGGTTCTAAATTATGTAAATTTCAATTAGTGTGATGTACATGTGACAATTTCACTTTAGGTACAAAATTTGAAATAGTGCAAATCCTTCCCCCAAAATTCAGCAAGAATCACATAAATTGTAAACACTGCTATTGCCACAGGATGGCACCATTTTAGCTGAAAAAACTAATATCCAACTATCCATTGTAGGGATTAGTTTTGAATTAATGAAAGATTTTAATTATATCCCACCAAAAGAGGTTGCCTTATAATTAAGTCCTGATGATAATCATTTACCTCTGTGTGTTCTTTTGGCTTTCCTTCTTGGGATTTTTTCTCATGAACCACAGACAGCTGTCAATTTCAAAAGATTAAACTTGATTACACTGGAATCCAACTTGTAATACTTTCAAACAAGAACAAGAACAAAATTCCAACTAAAACATTCTGCCTTTTTCAGGAAAAGCCCGCTTAGGCCCACTCAGGCCCACTCTTTAGGATCACAGAAGTAGACATGTGGTATCAGGTCAATAGTAACCCTGTCAGCAGTCTCTGAGAATGGTGATTATCAGAATAATGAAAAATTCAGTATTTCATCTGAATAATATTTTCAAATACACGTATGTCTCTAAATTACTGGTTGTTTTTCACAAATGTACACAGATAACACATGAGCCATGTGACTACTGAGTTTGTTGACAGCTAATCCCACTCTAGAAAATATATTTTAGGCCAGGCGCGGTGGCTCACGCCTGTAATCCCAGCACTTTGGGAGGCCGAGGCGGGCGTATCACAAGGTCAGGAGATCAAGACCATCCTGGCTAACACAGTGAAACCCCGTCTCTACTAAAAATACAAAAAAATGAGCCAGGCTTGGTGGCGGGTGCCTGTAGTCCCAGCTACTCGGGAGGCGGAGGAAGGAGAATGGCGTGAACCCGGGAGGCGGAGCTTGCAGTGAGCCAAGATGGCGCCACTGCACTCCAGCCTGGGCGACAGAGCGAGACTCCGTCTCAAAAGCAAAAAAAAAAAAAAACTCCTTTCATAGGATTTACAGAGTTTTGTTTCTTTGTTAGTAGAGAAGATCTTACCACCAGAAACCCAATTTTCTTGCGATTCAGTAGATAAAAGTATTTAAAGTGGAATAGAAGACAACTTCCACTTAGCTGCTGAATTCTTCACTCGGAGTACCCTATGTTCTACCATCCCCAGGGGCCACCAGGAGGCCTTCCACAAAATCAGACAAGCCTCACCTTTCACCCTCACCTGTGCCTGAAGTACCTGGGCTCAAATATCTGTGCTTTTCCACAGGAAACCTTGTGGTCTTGTCTTAGTACTTGCTTTAAGTGCTTGACAAAATAAAATGCAGCACCTTATTGAAGAGAAACATTTGTGCTGCCGTACACAACCTGGGGTTCACCTCCATGCAGAGGCAGAATGGCATTCATTCTGGACAGTCATGGGTCAGGAAAGTAACAGAAGCTAGCCTCCTGTGTAACTGTTAACTAGCTCCACCAACTGAGGTAAGACTGTCACGATAAACCCAGCCAGCCTCTTAGGAAAGATTCTCATCCCTAAGCCATCTAGGTGCTGAGTTCAGCAGACACCTTATTCTTGATGTCTCATTGGAATTGGAATTGGATATTCATTACTACTCTTTGCCTTTTTTCTTCTGTTCCTCTTGCTTTTTTCTTTTTTAAAGCAATCACTATACATATAACAAAAAACTAGATTTGAACAAAATGCTTCTGAAATAGTTTTCATTTATAAAATATTATATATTCTTTTTAACAATATACGGACTTAATGTTATATTTTATATATTCTACATGTACACAGCCATTCAAAAGGGTCTAAAAATTAATTAAATTAGCCAGCAACCCCCTTTACCATTCACAGCTGTGCCAAGGCAGGAAGTTGATTATTCATTATTATTAAAAAGAATCCAAATAACTAACTAACAGACTTAAACTATTTACCTTGGTTGACTGTGACTTCTTCTCAGGTTCTGTTTTTACAGCCTAAGTTCAGAAAAAAAGAAAGAAAAAAAGGAAGGAAGAAAAGAAAGATAGACATAGTTTACAAAGACTATCACAGATTTTCTTCAACTGAGGAAACTCAAAAGAGATGATTTTTAATGTAATTATAAACATTATCAGTTAAGTTTGTTACACTTTGCTTGAAATTGCAACTCTTTAGATAAACAATTAGGTATACTAGTTAATATTCTGCTTTACTATTCAGGGAGCAATTTATATCTCCTTGCTAGGTATATCAAAGATATGTAAAGATTTATTACTATTTACATGGTAACACATAAATGGGCAACAGAAAATAAAAACCTTCATCACAAAGCCAAGGGCACTGTGTTTCCATGCCACTAACACGGTGTTTTTATCAGTGAAATATTCATCACGGGTTTTGGCTGACAGTGTAAAACAATGGGATGGTGACAGAATTGAGGGCACAGAAAGCAGTGAAAATTACTTTTAGTGCCAGAATGTGGCTGATGGGCAGCTAAGCCTACAGAAAGTCCATGATGGGATCTCAGTGTTAACAGAAGACTGTGAATTGCAGTTATTAGCACATGCTGAGCGGGTGATGTAACCGTTAGTAAACAGAGATGCCCTAGTACAATGAACAACATCACCTGTTTTTTGTGTTTTTTCTTGTTAGGAAGATGTGGTCCTTCCATCTGTTGGCTGACTGGAATGGCCTAATATAAGAGCACAGCCCCAGGTATAATTTTATTTTATCTGTCAGTCAAATAAGTAACATGTACAAAAAGGGTTAAAATGATTATATCAATTCTATTCATCTATTGCATCTACTCGATGCATATGTGTATAACTCCAAGAAGCTGTAGGCACTTACATTCTAAGGTCCTAAGCAGATATTTCAGTTTGTGTTTACATTTTTTCAGTGAAGGTTTTTTTCAGCGAAGGTTTCCATTAATAAAATTAATTTCTCATTCCTTTCCTTTCCCTGTGTAAAGACTACATGAATATCATTTTTTCCTATGTATCCAATGTTTAGTTATGATCAAATAGTCACAGATGTAACGGAAAGTTTTATGAAATTCTGTCAACATAATCCCCCCAAAATTGTAAATATTTAGTGCATGGATTTTTACTGGGCACATCACAGTCCTGTATGCAGAGATCGAATTTAAAGTTCTAGAAATGCTTCTACAGAACTGGTTGTAACTTAGCATCTTTAGTATGATATTTTACAGTTTTATCCAACTAAACATTACTTGTGCAAAAACAAGTAAGTACATGCATGCATTCTCAATATAGGCAAGATATACAATCATGAATAAAACTTGATTAAACATTTCATGAACTTTTCAGTCAGAGATTACAAACTAGGGTCCGATGCTTCCTGCTGTTTCTTTCCTTTTTATCTGCTTGGTAGTATCAGCACAAACTAGTGGTTTTTATTTATTTATTTTTATTTGAAGAGGCTAAAGTCAATTATCCTCTTAATTTATCATGTCTTCTACTTCAGTAATGAAGACACATACTTTCTTCAAATAATGGCCCCTTGCTAGGCTAACACACTATTTTGGGAAGGAAACAAAGCTTATGATTGAAATGTTTTTAAAGAAATTTTAAATTTTGGATCCTTTCACACTACATTCTCATTAATGAGTTTCTATTTATGGAACTATCCTTTCAGTTTATGCAAATATAATTTATTAAATGATTAACAAGGAAAATAAGCCAGCTGGTAGTATAGTGCTTTGAATCTATTAATAGCTTGCAATTTGGCAATCAAGATTTTGCATGGGAGAACCTACACTACAATTAAGAATGTATGCTCACAGACACAAGCAGCTTATAATGCAATCTATATTTAAATCAGTAATTGCTGAATTTATTTTTGTAGTGATTGTGCTGAATATAATAATGATGACCATAATAACTAATGTGTATTAATCACCTCTCATGTGTCAACCCACTTTATCTTCATAATAATCCTATGAGACAAGTATTATTATACCCATTTCACAGATGAGAAATTGAGTTTAGAGCAGTTAAATAACTCCCTAAAGACATCCATGGTGGACCTGAGGTTGTGTGTTCTAGTCATCGCACTGCACTCTCTCCCCAGTAGTGGCCAACAGACAATCCCATCTGGACACTTGCTTAGGACAGGAATTGTCCAATATACATTATGTTTCCTTACACAGTCTTGTGAGGCAGGTACTATTATCACCTTCCTCCAAACTGTACAGATAAGGAAACCAAAGCAAAAAGAGATTGTCCAATATCACAGCTGATATGGAACCAGGTTCCAGGGAAAGAGACTTGAGGCCAAAAGTGGTCCCTAGTTAGCCACTGGGGACACTTCATTACGTGCATCTTATTTTTGTCTCTCCCCCTCTTCTCTCTCCTACTTTCCTCCAGTTTCACAGGACTGCCGAGAATTCTCATGATTAATGCTTAGAGAAGGGTGAAGAGTTTGCTGACATTTGTTCTAGGTAACAGGCCACGCTTGAAATAAACATTGGTCCTTGAGCTGAGGCACAGGGGATTAGAATCAGGCAACAGGATGAAAAAGAACCAAAAGAATAAAAAGGAAATCCTATATTTCTGGCTCTCTTTCCTATCTCTTTTCTTTGGTTTTCATGATCTCTAAATTCAATGAGATTATTTATTTATTTATTTATTTATTTATTTTTGAGACAGGGTCTTGCTCTGTCACCTGGGCTGGAGTGCAGTGGTGCAATCACAGCTTGCTGCAGCCTTGATCTCCTGGGCTCAAGCCATCCTCCTGCCTCAGCCTCCCGAGTAGCTGAGACTACAGGAGTAAACCACCACACCTGGCTAATTTTTTGTAGACACGGGATCTCGCTATGTTGCCCAGGCTGGTCCCAAACTCCTGGGCTCAAGCGATCCTCCCACCTTGACCTCTCAAAATGCTGGGATTATAGGTGTGGGCCACTATGCCTGGTCTTAATGAGAACTTTTATTTTGTAGATGCTTCTGGAATATTTTTTAAAATTAGGATTTTTAATTTTAGGCTGGACACAGTGGCTCATGCCTGTAATCCCAGCACTTTGGGAGGCTGAGATGGGAGGACTGCTTGAGCCCAGGAGTTTGAGACCAGCCTGAGTAACATAGCAAGACCCCTGTCTCTACAGAAAAACAGAAATATTAGCCAGGCATGGTGGTGTGCCCCTAGAGTTCCAGCTACTCAGGAGACTGAGGTAGGAGGATCACTTGCATCCAGGAGGTCAAGGTGGCAGCAAGCTGTGATCATGCCACTACATCCAGCCTGGAAGACAGAGCGAGACCCTGCCTCAAGGAAAAAAAAAGATTTTTAATTTTTTAAGATTAAGCTTAACATAATTAAATAGAGACAGCTAACATTAATTATAGATTATATAATGTATATTTTGAAAGCAATTTAGAAATCAATGTAAATTTAAATACTAAATTTAAAAACTGATAATTTTAGATTAAAATTTTAAATGAATGCTAAATGACATAAGAACTTAGATGTGGATAGTGTATTTCTAGATATTTGTAATGTTCTTTGAAGATGATTCAAGATGAGGCCATATAATCCTTTGATAGTACTAAGTTATAGTGCCACATCACCTGGGATAGGAAACTACAGGGATAGCATAGTAATATGAAAGACAGAAAACAAAAGTAGGTTGGTAATTTTAAACAAGGGCAATTTAATAATAATGGAGTTGGGGTAGCTCTTAAAGGTATTAAAGAATATTGGCACACAAACATTAGTTGAGAGAATTTTGAAAATGCTCCCTCTTTAATTCCCTCCCCTGAAATATTCCCAAGAGATACAGCTTGAGCTAGAGTAACTTAGGGAGAGGGTTTAAAAGGCAGCTGCAGCCAGCTCTTCAGAACAAAGTGGACAATACCACTAGAGGAAATTCTTTTATTTTTAATTCTGAAATTCAAAAAAATAATTTTAAGAATAAATCCCAAATAGAGCTCAAGAAAGGTTTGTCAATAAAATGGTACCCCACAAGACTCAAATTTCAGAAAAAACAACTTGGGAAAGCATCCGAAATAACCAGTATATTTTTATGTTCATTTAGTATAATCTTTCATTTTTATATTTATTTTTAAGTGCTCAGAATAGTAAGACCATTTTAGCAAGAATTAATAATTTATATTCTCATTTCAATGTAGAGAAATGTACTTAGAGGAATATCTTCAATTAAAAAACTCAATCAAATCTAGGATCAAAAACAAAAACAAAACTGGCCACGGGCACGGTGGCTCATTCCTGTAATCCCAGCACTTTGGGAGGCCCAGGTGGAAGGACTGCTTCGGCCCAGGAATTTGAGACCAGCTTGGGCAACACAGTGAGACCCTGTCTCTACAAAAACAAACAAACAAACAAACAAACAAAAAAACAATTAGCCGGGCATGGTGGTGTGCCTCTGTAGCCCCAGCTACTCAAGAGGCCGAGATGGGAGGGTCGCTTGAGTCCAGGAGGTTGGGGCTGCAGTGAGTGTAATCACACCACTATACTCCAGCCTAGGTGACAGAGCAAGACCCTGTCTCAAAACAAAACAAAACAAAACAAAACAACTCTAGGTGACTCTACTTTTCTAGATAACCTAAAACCATGTAGATGATGTGTAAGGTAAATATTGGAAGGAAAGCTGAGTTTTCAAAGACCCCCATAAATTAGGAAGAAAATGTTTACTTCCATAATTAAAACTTCCTAGCATATATAACTCATCATCAACAATTAGTCTACATTTGTTTTGCTTTGCAGCACAATCAACTTAAATTAGCACTCACTCAATTAGCATTCTTCATACCTTGGTTTCTGTGGGATTCATACTGGAAGACTTGCTGGTTGCACCAGAGGAAGCTGACACCTAGAAAGGAAAGAAAGAAATAGAAAGTTCGATTCTATTTAACCTACAATCTACATGGTCCTTCAGCTCCTCTTAACCATACTGCCCTTGGCCCTTTACCTTGGTTTTACCCAGTTTAGAGCACAAAAATCTAGTAGGAGGTGGTGTCCAGTAGTGAAAGCCTTTGTAACCAGATCAAATAGGTTCAAAATTTGGGTCTGCTATTTACTAAACAATCTCGGGTAAGATACTTAAATTTTATAATCTCCAGTTTCCCAACCTCAATTTTTCTTTAGTAGTTAACAACTACCTTGTAAGTTTATTATTAGAATTACTCCCTGGCACATAATGAATGCTCAGTAAATATTATTATAATTACTGTTTATGTTATTTTCAGAAAAAACATGGATTTTGCAACTCAACAAAATTTTGTTCAAGCCCCAGCTCTGTCAGTTACAAGCTCTGTGACTTTGAGCTTTGTCTTCCAGGTCCATTTACATACAAAGTACAGTAACATCTATTTGCAGGGTCGTATTTGAGATAGTGTGGCAAAATGTCTGGCAAATTGCAGATGCTCATTAAATTGCCAGTGTGTTATTCCTAATACATAAGATAGAAGGACAAAACTCCCGTAAATAGACTTGGGTGGATGTGAACTGTCCGTTCAGTGTCATGTAAGAAAGAGAAGGTGGAGACAAGGTTACAGAGGGAATTCTACTGCATTATGTCTCATCTAGGCTCTTCCTTAGAAGGCAAGAGGTGATAAATAGTAACTATTCAAGGAACACCCTTCCTTGAGATGCTTGCAGTGGTGCAATCAGCCCCTGTGATCCAGTCATCTAAGTACTGGGATGTGTGTGTGGATACTTGTATGGTTTGGAGTACTATTCTAGTACTTAACTTGTATTACACTGGTTAATATTAAACAGATAATTATAATCTTTGCAAACTCCTACCCAGACTCATTTAAACCTCCTTAACACTTAAAGTCCATTAGGTTTTAGAACCCAGGGATTCCATCTGGCATGAGCTGCCTTCTTAAGTAACTGACTGTCAGTAAACAGCTGCTACCCTGCCAACAACACCCAGGGAAGGAAGCCTGTAAGATGGACCTCACTGTGTCCCTAATGCCTGGTCCAGAGCCACTTCAGAGGCTGAGTCACAGGGCAGCATGAGCCCATTCCTGCTTCTCCCTTACCTTCCCCCACCCCCAATACACTACCACTCAAGGTGATTGTATGAAACCCACTATAGTCTATGGCCCATGAACAAAATCACCTTCCCCACAAACCTCAGTTAATGCAGAACACATTGATGCTTGTAGTTAAACTATCATAATTTACAGACAGAAATCCAAAGCTTTAGTATACTTATTTTTCAAAAATAATCATATAAACATAACTATTCCTGAGAACCCTTAGGCACCAACTGGACACTCCCTTCCACCAAAATACACACACACGCACACATACAAGAAGCCCCAGTCACTGTAGCAGGGCATGGAAGGGCCTCTCTCATATTCTTTTTGGTACTGAAAACTGTAAGATGTACCAAGACAGATTTTCCCTCTATCAAATTAATGGATAAATATATGAATATCCATATTTTTCCTTGAAAATATTTTAAAACATTATGGTGCTTAATGTCCCTGTATTTATGTAATTCTATCCTTCCATAATTGGAATTGATTATACAGATTTCCATTCAAACTCAAGAAATTCCACTTAGCTGCATTCCATTCCTTTAATGATTCCCCTCAACCATGCAACACCAACACAGAAACCAAACACTCTATGTGAAAGTGCTTCTGAAGCTGAAAATCTTTAGGTAGACATATTTTCCACACATCCAAATGTATTAAATCATCCATAAAATCACATTGCCTTGAATTGTCCAGCCTGCCTTGTTACTTTATTAAACAATACCTTGAAGTGATCCTCAAATTCCAGAAAGGAGAAAACTTTCAGAGGGCCCCCATGAACAGTAAAATCTCTATACAGAACAGCTGAAAATCAGCAATGGCGCAGGGTGTAGTGGGAATTTAGCTGAGGGCCTTGGCCCCTGTTGGCAGCACAGATTACTGCATGAAAGTTTTCTTCCCTCACTAAGGCACTAACCATTTTAAAACTGAAATATGAAAGCTGCTTCATGGGAGCTGGAAGTAGGGAATATGCCCACCCCATTATTAATCCATTCGATTCTGGCTACAGCTTGTTCAATTTTTATTCTCTCTGTAAAGACAAGCAACTTTCAATATTTGTAATCTCTGGTGAATGAATGAATACACTTTCATTGTATACTCTTTTGCATTGTTTGAATTTCGTATCATTGATGTGGATAACATTTATAATAAAAAATTGTGAAGGGTTAATCCATAGATCTTCAAAGAGAAAGCACCTTAGTGATAAAGTTTAATACAAGCTTTAATATACAGGCTTTAAACAGGTGAGAAAAATGGAATCTCATGTCCAAGATTTTACCAGAGTTCATTGGCTCCCCCAGGTGTTTATCCAGAATATGCTCTGTGCCAGGTACTGTGTCAGGTGCTGGGGACACAGAGGTAAAACCAGTAGGCATGTCCCTGCCCGTATGAAAGCTATAGCCTAGTCAAAGATGGCATTAGTAGAAATAATCACTCCCAACAATTATTTGCTACAAAGGAAACTCACAGGGTTCCATGAGAATGTAGATGAGGGAACCATAGCAGTTCAGGGGATAGTTGAGACAGGCAGTTCTGATAATGTGACCTGTCATGCGGTGATTGGAGGATAAGGAGGGATCGCTCAGGCTGGAAAGGAGCACTCTCTGCACGAGGACCCTCCGAGCTGTGTACGCCAGGCCTGGGAGCTTGGCCATCTGACTTCTAACCCAGGTCCCTCTACTGCAGTGCCTGCCACTTGGCTGGTCCTGCTAACATCAACGGGCTGCCAATTTTAAAGCACAACCATCAGTGCTCATATACACCAAAATACCTCTAAAGAATTAATACTGTAAATCAGAGTATAAAGTGCTGCTATCAAAATACTACCCCTCCCAAATGACCCATGTACCTATCTTAATATCCCAAATATTAGTAATCATTTATAAACTTGAATTAAGGCACAAGTCAGAGTAACAAGAAGCAGAGAAAAGTTCCTTAATAGAAATTACTCTCCACTCACCCGCCTATTCAACAATTATTATTTAAAAAGCAATGTACAGATGGGTGCAATGGCTCACACCTGAAATCCCAGCACCTCGGGAGGCCGAGATGGGAGGACAGCTTGAGTCCAGAAGTTGGAGACCAGCCTGGGCAATGTAGTGAGACCTTGTCTCTACAAAAAATTTAAAAATTAGCTGAGTGTGGTGGCACGCGCCTGTAGTCCCAGCTACTTGGAAGGCTGAGGTGGGAGGCTCACTTAACTGTCTTGTGAGACTGGATGGGAGTAGGGAGGGTTCTGAGCTCCCCAGCAGGTCCTGGCAAGTGAGCCAGGATGGGAAGGTAAGGGCTTCTATAGAAGCAGGGGCAGAGGAAGGGGGCTCCTAGGATGCGGGCTCATCCATTGCGCCACTACATGTAGCTGATGGAACAATCATTCCCTCAGCTCCTTACTTCTTTGTCTACCACACATTAGAATCCCTTCACGTCCTCCTGGCCTCTTGCCAGGCACCTCCCACTGGATTACAGGAATCCTCTCTGCCTCCCCTCCAGCCATTCAGCCTCCCCGTGATCTCTCCCCTTGACCGCAGCTGGCTTGGCTCGGAACTTGGCACAGAGTGGGGCATCGGATGCGTCAGAATTCTTTCTCCTCATGACAGACCTTCCTTCCCTTCTCCACCCCATCACTGGCAGCACTCCCATATCCTCCCACCTGCAACACTACTTGCCCTTCACACACCTGAATCTGTCTTTGTTTGTTGAGGGTTACTAAGAACACTGGGCTGCGTGCATGTTCCCTCCTTCTCCACTTGACAATCCATTGGCAGTTTCACTTTGAGTCATTCACTGACTGTTCTCTCCTTGTTGGCTGCTGTGGCTTTAGGAGCCCTGGGTTCCCTCCCTATACCTCTAACTTGTTTTCTTCCGGAAGCCTCTTCCACTTGCTCCATTCTTCTCTGTATTCTTTTTTTTTTTAACTTTTAGGTTCAGGGGCACATGTGTAAGTTTGTTAAACAGGTAAACTGCGTGTCATGGGGGTTTGGTGGACAGATTATTTCATCGCCCAGGTGATAAGCACAGTACCTGATAGGTAGTTTTTCAATCCTTACCCTCCTCCCTCCCTCCAGTGTTCTTTAATAGTCAGTCTCTGCCTTTTCTCTGATATTATTGCTCCCTCTGAATGTTGATTTCTCCCCATGACTTTAAGCATCTCTTATTTTGGGAGCAATTCTTCAAACCTTATCAGCAACTCTACTATATGACCAGACTGCATTATTTTACCTTAAAGAGAGGAAGCCAAGAAAGATAGATATAGGCTGAAATCCCTGCTCCAATGCTTATTAGCCCAAATTAACCTCTTGGAGCCTCCGTATTTCCTCATCTGTAAAATGGGGGTAATACCATGAAGCTGCTCTCAGGAAATCACCTGGCCTTGACTCACCTGTTGATTCAGTGCCAGTTCCAGTCCTTATCACCATTACATCCTTCTCATTTCTACTGCTACCCTACTCCAGGTCTAATCACCTATCACCCATACCTGGATAGAAACCCCCTTTTAATAGTTTCCATCTAATAGTTGCCATCCTTACCCTTATTTGTCTCTCAATCCTTTCTGTCTAGGGCTGACTAATCTTTCTAAAATAAATGTCTACCATGTTTCCGCACTGATGAAATATCAATAAGTCCTAGACAAAGTTTAATGCCTTCTGCCTGATTTTTAGATTCTCCATTATTTGACCTCTCTCATCATGACCCCATATTGAGTCTCCCCTCTAACCATGAAGGTGTCCTTACCATCTCACGAGCACCACATCAGGCAGCATAACACACAGGTTAAAAGGGTTAGAGTGGATTCTGGTCTCAAGACCATGGTGGAATCCAGCTGCCATTTAATGCACATGCAACCTTGAGCAAGTTGCTTAACCTCTCTGCCTCAGTTTCCTCATATGTAAAATTGAAATAGTAACAATTCTTCTCTGGTTGAATTGTTTTGATAGCCGTTTTAAGGATAAGTTAATGCATGTGAACCAATAACTGCTTGGCAAGTGATAAGTGCTGGGCAAATGGCAGTTATTGTTATCACTATCACCATCACACTCCCTTCCACTTCTGAGCCTTGCAACTTGCCATTCCCCCTGCCTAGAAGCCTCTTCCCTGCCCAAGTCCCATCTTCCCTGCCCTTGAAGATTTAGCTCAAGATACACTATTTGCATCTGCTTTAGCTCTTATTATCTTCTCAACTCTTGTGTTGATATTTCTCACTTTAACACTGAACCATGCATTCTGTGTTGGAGGGTTACTGAGTTCCTTTCTAAGTGTACATTATGTCTTATCGATGAAGCTATAAATTTATCAAGAGGCAGAGGTCATTTCTACTCCCCACAGTGCCTATACAGTAGCAGAGAGGGGCTCAAAAATCACAGTTGATTCACATTTTTGTTTCCATTTTCTAGCTGTCAGTTAGTCTCATTTAAACACAGAATAAGATACAGTTTTAATACTTTAAGTTTTTTTTAAGCTGGAATCAAGAACACACTTAATAAATCAGAAGACTTAAGTTTCCATTTGGATGGCTGCTAAGTGGCCGGGACTCCATGGGAGGTCAATTAAGCCTGCTGAGCATCTAGTTTCTTATCATGGCAATACCATGCACCCTACAGGGTTACTGTGAGAGTCAAATTAGATACCAAATGTTAGAGCAATTTAGGCAAACCGCAAAACAAATACAAAACATTTTCTAAATTAAAAAATCTGACAAATCAATAACTAATTTTTAACTTTTACAAACAGCTCTGCTAGATGTACAAGAGAAAAACAAATAATTTGACCTGAGCCATGATCAGATTCTTATTTAATAACACATCTCAAATATTGAAATAAAGGCAATCATGGGTGAAAAAAAATCCTTTCCTCACAACATTTATAAAACAGCCAAATGTGAACTCCATGAAGGCAGGGGCCAGGCCTGTTTGAGTTGCCACCCATCCCCATCCCCATCCCCGGAGCCTTAACATAGTAGTTGCTTAACAAGTATCTGAGATAAATGCATGAATTTGTACATGAATAAACACAAGAGTATTATTTTATGGCACAAAACCAATATTGTCTGAGTTTTATTATTTGATCGTCAGAAATTCTGTTGACAGCAGAGGTCAGAAAACTGATTAGAATAACGCAATTTAAACTTTAGGTCATTTACGTTATGACTGTCATCAACCAGGAGTTGTACAACTTAAAAATAAAACACATATACGCAAAACCCTGAGCTGCTTCCTGTAAGACAACCGCAACAAAACAAGGCTGCTCACAAGGGGCTTTTCTAAGAAAGACATGGACATTCTTTAAACACCTTTTATAGGTCTATTGAATACAGGCTTCCATTTTTCTTTCTGTAATGATGGATTATTCACTTCAGGAAATGAATATTCAGATGTCTGTTGTTTGCCAAGCTGTCACACCATGACATACATTCTTACAATCCCTTTAATTATTAAGTATAATAATGGTGCTTTTAAAGAGACCTGCAATAGAGTCATCTAACAAGGTATAGTGTTTATGATAACTGAAAGTGTGATTCTGATGAAAGATAAACAATGGATCATCTATGAATGAAGTTCAGCCATCTCTTTTGGGCAGAATATGGTGTTGTGCTAGCAGATCTAGTTACAGTGCCAACTTGTATCTCAGAACATAGTATTTGACAAGTTTGACTGTGATAAGATCTTAGGTACAATACAATGCTACAGGCGGTCAGAAGAGGGAGACTATTTCTGAGGTGCTGGTTTGGAAGATGGTTAGGAAAGGCTTCATAGACAAGGCAGGGACTATTTATTGGATGCTTATTGTAGTGTCATCTACAGGGAGGTGGGGACTTATAGAATCTTCCAAATACCAGGAGCTGTGACAGGTGCTCTATGTATCTCATTTCAATATATCTTCATAAATCTTGATAGGTAAACATTATCTGCATTTTATCAATGAGAAAAGTGATGCTTAGAGAAGTTAAATAACTTATCTAAGATTACACAGTTAAGAAGGGGCAGAGCCTGAATTTGAACACAGATATGACAATAATGTCCATGAACTTTTTGCTGTAACAAGTTGACTGCCCTCATATCAAATATTAAAACAAAATATCTTGATTTTACAAAATGTGTAGATAGAGGCTGGATCAGGCAGGCATTCTAGGTGAGCAAAACAGCTTGCACAAGACTTAGGGGTAGGAAAGTACCAGAGATATTCAGTCCAGAATGCAACAGGTTAGATGAAGTTGAATGCAAAAATTTAGAGAATTGGGACTACTAGGGAGAAACTGAAGATAACTACAGCTTGGCAGAGTAGGCTGTACATTCATAAAATACATTACAAGGAAACAGTTTAGTTAAAAATAAAGAGCTCTACTTGTTCTGAGGAGTGCAGAGCACATGAGCTTTGGCCTCTGATGCAACATGTGGGTAGGCCTCGAAATAAACATACAAACGTTGCCTAGCAACTGTGACAATAGTCACAGCTGATCTGTGATCTAAATCCAAGCTAGAAGGATACTGGCCATATTCTCTGAGGGTCTGATTATGAGCTCTGATACCGGACCACCCCAAGAACTTAGAAAAAAAAATCCACATTTAAGGCATGAAGTTGAGCTTCCAGTTCTACGAGGCAACTGCTTCATTTTCATTGCTTTCCAAACTCTAGTTTTCCAGTGCTTTTTTATGGGATAATAATTTTGTAAGTAAGGAGAAGAGCTAGCCACACAGCCTAGGTCAGTCATCAAAGAATAGAAAAGCAGATTTCTTTCCTGAAGTTGTATTCATGTCTCTAGGGATTCCAGTTGCTTCTCTTGATGCATGAAATAATTCCAAATATGTCTAATCTCTGGCTGCCTAAGATAAAGCAAAACAGGGAAGTCAGGTCCAGAAAATGCAGCCTACTTTCTGCTTCTTGTCCCTCCCCTAGAGAAGGTTTCACAGGTGAGGATTTACATAAGCCTGTGAATCAAACAATTTCTGTTAACAGGCACTACAGGAGCCATGAGGAAGACTGTACTTGACTAGCCATGTGACTTGGAGCTCTTAATCTTTCTTGCGCACCTTTTCTTTATTTGTAAAAACTGTTGGCCTTGAGAATCCTGTAGTTCTGCAGTTCTAATATTATATGCTATACTTTAGTGAAGGGCATTAAATAATGTGCTTAAGGACAGATGTTCAATTGGGAAACACAGAGGTTAAGAGCATGAGCTCTGGAGTCCCATAGACCTGAGGCCTAATTCTGGTTGCACAACTACAGGCAGGCTGCTTAATCCTTCCAAATGTGAGGTTTTTAAATTCATTTAATGTATATAAAAAAAGATACCTACTTCATAAGCTAGCAGTGAGGATTAAATGAGGGTATGTATATAAAGTGCATGATTTGGTGCCTGGCACATGGTACATCAATAGACAGCAGTGATTTTTATTATTTTATGAATGCCAACAGCCTCGAAAGTTTCTTTGCTTGGCCTCAGAATGACAGAGTAATTCTGTGCTGACCACTGTGTTTTTTTTGTTTTTTTGGACAGAGTATTGCTCTGTCACCTAGCTGGAGTGCAGTAGCATGACCTTGGCTCACTGTAACCTCCGCCACCTGGGTTCAAGCAATTCTCCGGTCTCAGCCTCCCAAGTAGCTGGGACTACAGGTGTGCACCACCACACCCAGCTAATTTTTGTATTTTTAGTAGAGATGGGGTTTCACCATATTGGTCAGGCTGGTCTCAAACTCCTGACCTCAGGTGATCCACCCACCTCAGCCTCCCCGAAGTGCTGGGATTACAGGTGTGAGCCACCATGCCCAGCCTGAGCACTAATTTGAGAAGTTACACATTTCACATTAATCTTGCTTATCTTCCTCAAAGGAAAGAACCTGCAACATTATTTTACATTGTGGCATTTTCTTTGGATTCAAATGCATGGTTGCTTTAGGTCCATGTTCCAGTCAAATGAAGAGGAATCTTGGTAGCAAGAGCATATACCTGTAACAACCCTGACAGATTATGAGCTCATCTAAAGCATATATGGTTATTGATGATATGATTATGGTATAAGAATGAGAAATTCTGGCCAGGCACGGTGGCTCACACCTGCAATCCCAGCACTTCGGGAGGCTGAGGTGGGTGGATCACCAGGTCAGGAGATCGTGACCATCCTGGCTAACACAGTGAAACTCCGTCTCTACTAAAAATACAGAAAGTTAGCTGGGCATGGTGGCACGTGCCTGTAGTCCCAGCTACTCAGAAGGCTGAGACAAGAGAATCACTTGAACTCAGGAGGCAGAGGTTGCAATGAGCCAAGATTGCACCACTGCACTCCAGCTGGGTGACAGAGCAAGCCTCCATCTCAAAAAAAAAAAAAAAAAGAGAAATTCTGAGGTCTGCTGAACAATCATCCAGAAAGCCTTTCTACTTCCATAGTGCATTCATTCCTTAGGTGTAAACTGAACAGAGAGCAAGAAAAACATGAGAACTTTTATGTGCACTTACGCTGCAAAACCAACTGCAAGCCTCAATCTCCACAGAAATGAGAGACTCAAAATGTCTCTAACACAAAGTAGGGAGGAACATATGAGGATATCTTAAGACAGAGCCAAACATGAGGACTGAGAGATGGGCCTGGCAGCCAGCCCACCTTTCACTGAAGAATATTCTTAATTAAAAAGCCAACGTCATGAGAACTGTAACAAGGTTCTCTTATCCAAGCTGATTGTCAAATAACCAACATGAAAATGGGGAGTGAAATAAAATGTTATTCTGGAAACCACCTAAGAAGAACAAATTCACAAATGTATACTGACAGCAAGTTTAATTTTGCAAATATTAAAGAGGCAGTGTTGTATCAATCTTTGCAAATATTAAAGAGATGGTCGCTGGGCACAGTGGCTCATGCCTATAATCCCAGCACTTTGGGAGGCTCAGGTGGGAGGATTGATTGAGCCCAGGAGTTAGAGACCAGCCTGGGCAGCATAGTGAGACCCCATCTCTACAAAAGAATCAAATTAGCCAAGTATGGTAGCACACACCTGTGGTCCCAGGCCCTCAGGAGGCTGAGATGGGAAGACCACTTGAGCCTGGACATAAAGGCTGCAGTGGCCCGTGATTGCACCACTGCACTCCAGCCCAAGTGACAGAGCAAGACCCCAAGAGCCTGTTTCAAAAAAGAAAAGAAAAGAAAAAAAGTTGTGTCATGGTTAGAAGAATGGCTTTGGAGCCAGGCCACTTGAGTTTGAATCTCAGCTCTGCTAAATTGTGTGACCTTGAGCAAATTTCTAAACTGCTCCATGCCTGTTTCAGATAATGATACATTCCACTGCATTACATTCCACCTTCCCATCAGATAACAATTCAGTGGAATAGATAGAACACATTTTAAAGTAGGATTCATTTGAATTTGAAACTGCTGTAAATATATGAGCACTGCTGCTTATATTTCAATCTAAGCAAAAGTTTCCTATAGGGTAAGGGTGTCCTATTTCCTATAGGATAAGGGTGTTTTCAGTTATGTGCTATTTAATTTTACTATTAATTTTCACCATATTCCAAAATGGCTAATTTATTCCTTCTCTACTGCCCATATCAAATGTCCAAAGAAACTGCCAACTAAACTATTATCTCCTAATCCCAATCAGTGTACAATACTCTCTTTCAGACAAGTGGGAAACCTCACCCATTAGAATTTCAGCAGTCCTAAGATACTGCATATAACAAAAGAGCACAATATTGATTTCCAGTGTTTAAGTTTAGAAACAAATTCCCCTCTCAGTTATTTAAACTACTTAGATACAAACTACTGAACAGAGGATTTTGTAAGACTAGTCTGCTGAAAAGAATTTTAGAATCAAATAGAATCTTGCTATTTGTAGTGACCTAGGGTAAGTTATTTGAACTCTCTTGGCCCTCAGTCTCCTCATTTATAAAACTGTCAATACCTCCTTACCTAGTTGTAAAATATGCAACTCTTACAAGGAATAAATGAAATCTTATGTAAATCACTTAGCACAGTAGTTGTCCAATAAATTAATAAATGTTAAATTTATTTGTTTCTATTTATTTTCAAAATCTACATCCTGTAGAGTTTCTCTAAACTATATACGTGCTGCTAGACTGAATCCTGCCCCCAGAGCATTCCAGAATTTTTTTCAGATTATCAGCAATAGCTAGAATGTTCTTAGTTAACTTTTTCTTTGTTTTATATTGGTTGTCTTCCCAAGTTGAATGGTACCCAAATTTTCAGTTCATTGACCTATATATAGTAGGATATGGAGAAGTTACACATACATTGAGAAAATATGGTTTACTACTACTTCAACTGGAAATCAAGTGGTATTTCACAAAGATTTTAATTGAAAATATGGAGATCAGTGTTGATCACATTTAATCTTTGGAAACCTGTGAACAGGTATAAAAATATGATTGTCAGAAGGGCTGGAGAAGAAAACAATTCTAATTTTCTGGGCTAAGAATCCAGGCCTGCCACAATAACACTGTGAGAATAATTCAGCACACAATACTGCAATAATTAAAAGATTATTGAAACCAACAGAAGGCTCAAACTCAACAGCCAAGAGAGATTAAACCTCCATTTTTAAACTCTGAATATTCAGCAGAGGACAGACTTTTTTTTTTTTAAGTGATGTGGACCCATTAGGGCTAAAATCCCAAGTAAATATAATTAACTAATTGATTAAAAACTCAAGGTTAGAGTAAGATATCATGTGGAAGATATTTAGTTTTATAATATTGCTGGGGGAAAACAGGATCTCTAATTCTAATCATTGAAACTATATGTAGAATAGGCAGGAATTCATAACTATTTAAATATTTTAGGCTAAAAATGTTCATAATTATTGCTGGCAATGAATGTAATGTCAAGCCACTGGGCAATGTAACTGGCCAAGCATTAACACTGTAGCTCAGTGGTTCTTGACATAACGGGTAGAAATGGTCCTGGAAGAGAATTATTTATAGGCAGTAGTTAGAACAGTGGGAGAGGAAGGGGGACAATAGACACTTAGAAACATACAAAGGAAAAAGGGCAAGAAGAAGAGGGAAGGAGGTCTGTGGCCTAAAAAGCTGTAAGCCTCTCACGTAATTCTAAAATTCCCAGACATGGAGAATCACTTTTAGGTAATTTAAAACAAGATGGCTTTGTAGTGGCTCATTGAAAGGACCACCATTTTCTACCGTCTATTGCTGTACATTAGTGCTCTATTCCTGGTGACAATCTCTGTCTCTTCACACTTACATTTGGTTAAAAGAAAGGATCACATAAGATATTAGGATAAATTTGCAAAATGACTCTTCAAAATTACCTTCCAGCCAGCTTAAAATAAGATTTTTGATGCTAATATTGCTAGCCTAGGTTACTGAAGAACCTAAATGTTCCCTAAAAAGACTGGGACAAAGGCATACATGCTTGCCCTGAAGTACCTCAATAATACTTGTCCTCTTTAGTCTTATGTCCCTAAACCCCAGGAACACTTGATACTTGTGACTTTCTCTATAGCCCGCGTCCTTTCTTGCACCACAAGGAAATAGTAGTATGTTGTAGACATCATCGATCCCAATATTGCTATCATTTTATAGGTAGATATTCTGGAACTAATATTGGGGAACCCCTAATGCTGCACACATTATACACCAAGTATACAGCTCAGCTGCCAGGATATTTTTTAAAACAGGATGCAATTTTCAAATGGTCAAGTAATTAAATTTTCAGAAAATAATATATGTCTATTTCTGTAGAACAGGAGTCTAAAAAGCAAATGAAAACATGTGTAGAGTGATATGAATATCATCAGATCATTACGAAGATCAGGCCAGTATGAATATCATAAGGCCAGTATGATGATAAGATAAGCATGTGACAAGCTAGTACATGTATTCCCCAACTTAAAGGCTTTCAAACATTTTAAACACATTGTTCAGGTCTAACAAAATTAGTCTGTGTTCTAATAAAAGAACTCCATTTTGTTCCAGACATGAGAATACTGAATAAAATTTAACATAAAAAATAAAATAGATAGGTAAGCTTTAAAGAAGAGAAATTCCCAAGTAACCTAACGGGGAGGGAATTCTAAGTCCTCTGGTGAGCAAGGCTGAGACAGAATGACTCACGGGGATATCAGAAACAGATATAACAGTTGGGAACTAGGAATTGAATTCTCTAAATGAGAAAGGAATCCTGGCTACAGGCCCTGTGCTGAGTTACTAGCTTAAAACCAGAAGCTACTCAGAACTGATCATCCACAAACATAAGCCTTGACAACTGCCCACCTGTCCAGAATAATGGTAAGGCAGCTTTCTTTCTGGCTGGAGCCATGAGTGTAAAAATGCATATGCATGAGAAAAATAAATTCCAAACTTGTGCCATTGGGCACTCAAGGACCAAATTTATTTCTGTATAGTGGAAGCACCAAGCCAAGATATTAACGCTGTTGAAATCTGAATGACCACAGGCAGCAACGTACTAAAAACCACTTGGTAGAGGCAGATCTACAACATAGGGGAAAAAGGACTCTCATGGAAAACAATCTTCATTGAAGGTGAATTTCAAGCCACATTTTCCCAACCTAATCAGGAAGTAAAATAGCATGCGGGAGAGTCATTGTTACAAATATAGGAGAAATTTTACTTCAAGAATTAAAGACAGGCTGGGCGCAGCAGCTCACACCTGTAATCCCAGAACTTGTTTATCCTCTTTTGCACCTCGGGTTGAGTAGTGAAGAAAGAAATAGAGGTGAAGAAGGAGGCCGAGGCAGGTGAATCAGTTGAGCCCAGGAATTCAAGACCAGCCTGGGAAACATGATGAAACCCTGTCTCTATCAAAAATACAAAAATGAGCCAGGCATGGTGGCTCTCAACTGTGGTCCTAGCTACTTGGGAGGCTGAGGTAGGAGGATCACCTGATCCCAGGGGGTCAAGGCTGCAGTGAGCTGTGATTGTGCCACTGCACTCCAGCCTGAGTGACAGGGCAAGACCCTGTCTCAAAGAAAAAAGTAACTAAAACAATAGAAAAATCTGAAGGGGACTTTTAATAAATTTTAAAAATCAAAGACACAAAAGAAAAAATAAAAGCCCCAAATCAAAAATAGGTGAAAATATAAACTACACATAACTGCATAGAGACTTAAGCGACTGCAAGATAGATCTGAGGCCATTAATCACAATGCAGCACAGAAAAATAAAGAGATGGAACATATGAAAGGGAAGAATCCTGAAAAATAAAAATGCTGGTTACCAGTTTCAGTTCCCTGATGCAGACTCACCTCTCTAAACCTGACACAACTTTTAAAATAAAATGCTATAAAATAACGCATGTCTAAAAGCATATGAGGCACTGTTTTAAACATATTGTTAGCATGAGAATATTTATATTCAGGGACGCTGATGATTATTAGCCATAGTAATGGAGTCATATAAAAGGGTTTCATTTTCCCTATCGGATATAAACACAATTTCCTACATTCACAATAAGGAAAAAGCACATGTAACTGAAAAATGTATAAGTGATTCTATTCCCTGCTACCTTCCCTGGCCACTCTGTTAGTATAGTTAATAAGGAAACAGTATGTGCAGGAGGCTAAGCTCCTGATTTCTTGGTGGGAACAGCACTCATAGCTCACACTTTCCCCGGCAACTCTGGAGGCCCTGAGGTGTGGTCTAGGTCTTTGACTCTTAAGTCACTGGTATGGGGGACCTCAGTCCATTATAGAGCTCAGGGAGAATACTTGCATACTAAGCGCTTTAATCTGTTACGGCAACTTTGAGTGAAATATCAATGGTCCATGACCTTGCTCAGGCTCCAAACGTGGGCCATGAACATCAGTTGGTTTAGTTCATTAGAGACCTTCCCTGTGAAGGTCGATTGGATCATGAGGTCAAGAGATCGAGACCATCCTGACCAACATGGCAAAACCCCGTCTCTACTAAAAATACAAAATTTAGCCAGAAGTGGTGGCACGTGCCTGTAGTCCCAGCAATTCAGGAAGCTAAGGCAGGAGAATTGCTTGAACCCAGGAGGTGGAGGCTGCAGTGAGCCGAGATTGTGCCACTGCACTCCAGCCCGGGAAACAGAGCGAGACTCTGTCTCAAAAAAAAAAAAGGTTAACTAAAGTTAACACATTCAATAAAAGCAGACCCAAAATCATTTTTTCTAACATATAAAATATCTTCCTCAAATAAAGTTAAATGTTAGTTTTTTAAAAAACAGAGTGTTGTAAAGGGATCTGTAGGAAAACAAATGGCAACAAAACAGACCAAGCAACAACTTTGACAGGAACCAGGGAAAACGACAAAAGGTGAGTAAACTGGGTGTGAAGTTTTCCTCCTCTAGCTAAGGAGATGTATTTACCAGGTGGTAGCTGCCAAATATGAAATTAGAAACTAGATTGAGAAAATGAATCATTAGAAAGAATTCAGGGGCAGGTTATTCTGATTGTTGATGAACTTGTCTTTGCACTTTTGCACCTCGGGTTGAGTGGTGAAGAAAGAAACAGAAATATGAGCAGCAGAAATGTAACCCTCAGAGCTTGCCTGGGGGACTGACAACACACACCCAATCAGCTGTGGCGGCTCCAGTTAAACTGCGTAGAGCCCCAGGACAAAATGAAAATCTTAGATGTTACTGACACCTGATGGAAATCCAGTCTGTCTACAAGGGAAGAGTAGCAAGAACATCTTATCAGAATGTCCTAGAATTAACCAGAACTCTCAGTTCCACAAAACAGCACATGCAAAGGTGTGCAACAGAAACTGGAGTGTCTCAGGGGAAAGCACGGGAAGAAGAGATTAAGAAAATAATGCATCAGGCAAGCCAATGACTGGGAGGCTGGATGTATTTCACACTTATAAGCAGTCCTGCCTTTAACTGACTGTGCTCCACCAGAATAACATCTCAGTCATTAGGATCTGCAGCTGTTGGCATTTTCTGCTTTAGCCTTGCCTCCTGGTTGCAGATTTCCTTTAAAGAAATCATATTTCTACTGTATATTCCCAGAAAAACAGGCTCCCAAGCTTAACCTCAACCCTCTTCCTTTAACCTTTCACTCCGCTTTTACAGTATCGTGACAGCACTGCCATTTAACACTTTTTACATTGCTCTTTATATTTGTTATATGGGCCATACCTCTGTATGCCTAGCATCACGTCTGGCCAATTGCAGAAACTCCAGGGAAAAAATAAAGAAAGAAAAAAGGGTTCCTTGCTCATATATTTTTTGATTATCCACTCTATAATCTTTAGCCAAAGCACAAAGAGATATTAAACTTCAAAAACTCTACTTGTAAATCCTAGAGAATAAAAATGAATATTATTTTATCATTTCTACCTAACCAGGAATAATCTATATTAATGTAACAGCATCTTAGGGCTCTATTCATATTACGATAAAACTAATCTTTTTTCCAATCCAATAAATATTGAGCAATTACTATGTGGAAGACATGAAGTAGATGCTATAGGGGATTCTGTCTTTAAGGGGCTCATGGTATAGTAAAAGTTTGCATTCTGAGAGAGGAAATCACTGTAGCAAAATGCGAATTTAGTGTGTGATAACTTTTCATGCACTGAAGCTCATTCTTTGAAAAGTGTTCATGGCAAGCTGTTAAATATGTCCTGAAAAACAATATAGTATGGCAGTTTTTATTTTCTTAATCTGTAAAACGAGCATAACAGGAGTTTCTACGTCATAGCTACATTATCATCACAGCACATAAGGGCTCCGTATGTGCTTAGAATATAGTGTTTTCAGTAAATGTAGCTGTTACTATTAATGTGTTATAGCCACATTAGAACTATTATTAGAACTATTAATATAAATATTAATATTAGAACTATTAATACTATGTTCTAATACAGATTATGCTCATCTATTCTTTTACTAGAACCTATTACAGTCACCTTCTAATAATCCATTATTATTGCTTAGGGTAGACAATAGAGTACTATAGCACATGGGTCCAACAATGTCACCTTGCTAACGGTATGATTGATTACACAGTTTCTGCCCAAATCGCAATGTTCAAATAAACAGATTTGTCCAGAAGCCATCAAGTCTTAGGAGATGTAAAGTGGCCTTAAAAATTGGAAATCATTGACTAATTATTTTTATGGCTTTCCATCAAAATGGTATGGCTCAATTCTTTTTTTTTCTTTTTTTTCTTTATATATATATTTTTTTGACACAGAGTCTCATCGCTGTGTCAGGCTGGAGTGCAGCAGCACAATCACAGCTCACTACAATTTAACCTCCCAGGCTCAACTGATCCTTCCACCTTAGCCTCCCAAGTAGCTGGGGCCACATAGGTGCACGCCACCATGCCCTAATTTTTAAATTTTTTGTAGAGACAGGGTCTTGCTATGTTGCTCAGGCTGGTCTCAAACTCCTGGCCTCAAGCGATCCTCCCTCCTTGGCCTTCTAAAGTGCTGAGATTACAGGCATGAGCCACCGTCCCTAGCCCTTTTTAATATGTTTTATTCAATTTTAAAAAATTGGATGTAGTACCCAACCAAAGTTCATTTAAATGCATGAAAGTGCTTTCGGTCACGCTCTGACATTCAGTGCGAGCAAAGAGCTCTATCTAATTCAGAATTGTCACCCAAAATGCCAAGACTATGCCTTTTGAGAAACATTAAGATGACATTTTTAAGTCAAGAGCGTCCATAGAGAAAAAATTAAATGCAATGTTCATGAAGACCTCCTGTAATTTTCTAGTAAGCAGATTGCTAATTCTATGTATCAGAAAAACTATGCGATATGTTCTTATGAGGTTAGACACACCAATGCTAAAACAGATATCCCAGATTCGTATGATCTCCAAATTGAGGGAATTATAAGGTATAATGAAAGAGGAGATACAAAGATATATATGAACATAGAAGAATATGGGTTATGGAGTTTTTATTTGAATAGGACTAATTAAGACAGTTCATATTTTGAGAAAAAGTAAATGTTTCCACCTAAGAAGTAGTGATCACTTAAAGTTAACTGTGATTATAAACAATGAATAGAAACATAAATACTCAGCTGATTTTCAGAAGTTATTCAAATGAAAAGAAAATGCTTTCTTTTTCTTTCTGGTTTCATTCTTTCAAACTGTTACTTTACGTACTAGCTTTTATGTTTTCATTGCAGTACAGATGTTATACTTAGTCAATTCTGCCAGAGAATAATCAAGGAACCAAAACTCCCCACTAATTCTATATAATCAACTACTCTCTGGCATTCGGACTCTTCTTTCAAAGCATCTGAACTGAACCACAGCCAATATTTATACTTGAATGTGCTGCTTCATAAACACTGTTTCACAGTCTACAAAGCATGCTGATTCGTAATAGACACCAGGAGTCCTTGCTGCACACACACGGGATCCCTAGTCAGCCTCATTGCTATAGGTGGCTTATTCCTTCTCCATCAGTCTACAGGTGTGGCCTTTCCTTGTTCAGCAAGATTTTGCTAAATTTCACTACTTCATTTTAATCCTATACTGCCTCCTAGAACCCAAGCAGCACACCCTCCCCAGCATATTCCCAACAACTCAATATTCCTTTTAGATACTGAAAAATCAGTGCACAAAAGTCGAATACATTCATCAGAAAGAAGCAATCTATATTAATATAAACTCTAGTGCTGATTAGGAAATAGACTTTCCCCTTTTGAACAGTAGATGCCACTCCTTGTTGAGCTTCCCTGCAATGCAGAGGTTTTTCCTCTGAAAAACATGTGAAACAGCAGGAACTTTCCAGAGCTGCTGATTAAGCATTTCTGTCATTCTGATGCATAGGTGGTTTCCTAGAAAACTAGAGAGGCCCCAAAGTCCCGATCCTTAGGGAAGCTGTCTAAACTCTCTGCCTCATTTTCTGAAGCTGTACAATGGGAATAAAGAACTTCCCCCTGCCTGTGTGTAAGTGGAGAATGCCGGGTCCCTAACCATACAGAAGAGAAAGTTAAATCTCTGTGAAAACACTTTGTATTCTTAAAAGATAGACACAAAGTAACCCTCAGTGATGTTATTCTACAACCGTCTCAGGTTGTGTAAAGGAAATGGAACCGAAACAGGTTACAACACTTGCCACGCCACACCCAGCATGTATCAGGTACGCAGAAAGGTCAGAGTGAGCTCACGCTCTAAAACGGAGGTCATCACAGGGTGGCGGCACGGCTGGGGAGGAGGAGATCTATCTCCAACCCTAGAGATAAAGGTGCCAAACCAAACTGACATAGCTGCTGCTTTCCTTCTTTTGGGCCACTTGTCTCGGGCCACTTGTCTCGGGCCACTTGTACCGGGCCACACAAATCCCTTGTTTTGTAACCCTACGCGTCCGGTCACCAGATACATTTCCCGGCGGAAGGGGCAGTAACAGTGTTACCGACAAGGAGGAGGAGTCGCCAAGAAACACAGTTAAACTCAGAACGCACGGTATCGCCAGGGTCGCGATAGTAGGAAAAGCGCACGTCCCGAGCCTGGGGAGTCCGCTGCAGGGACCAGGCCCCGGACACGCAGGGCAGGTAGCCGGGGGCACAGGCCCTAGACCCGGGAGCACGCGCGGCCTGGAGCAAAGCGGCGGAAGACAGTACTCACTCTGCGTGGACACCGGACCCCGCAGTCCTCGGCTTGGTTTTCAGGAGGTCTGCATTCCTAGCTGGGCTCGGCTCCCGCGGTTTCCGCTTGGAGCTCCAGCCCAGCTCTCTGAGTGCGACGGGGCGGGGCGGTCCCGGGAAGGCGACGCAGGATGCTCCCCGCCCCCCTGCCCGGCGGCCCCGCCCCGGGAGCCCGGGATGCGTGGGGAGGGAGGTCCCGCTCCGTGGACTCGTCATGCGCCTGGCATCTGGAGACTGGCTCACTCAATAACGCAGCCTGTGATGCGGACCACGTGCTGTGTGGGCTGCGCACCGCCGGCTGATTACAGGTTACCGCTCCCTCGGCTGTCACCCTGTGACTACCAGAATAAGGCAACGACGGTGGGTGCACTTCGCAAATATGCTCCCCCGAAGACCTCTTTTGAAACTATAAAGTGGATTAGTAATGACTACAACCAGGGATTTGCAAATGCAGTTAAAACTGTGTAATGGATTTCTTTAAAGAGTAGTTTAACAGTAAGAATTCTACCCGATTACTTTATATTATAGTATATTACAAACTTCAAAATTAGAATAGATTTGAAGCTATTGAATACAATATAAATTCATGAGTCTATACTGCTGTAAATAAATGAATGAATAAATAGAGGGGTTAAGCCACTCTTTCATATAGAAGGCCAACTAATAAATATTGAATGATAAGAGTTAGAGAAAATAATTATAAAAAATTTTAAAATAAATGAAAAGCCGTACACCAACCACATTAAAGGCTCTGAACCCTGAACTTGGGGTGTGAGTGAAGGAGGTAGTGTTGGTCACTGTTTGAGGAACACAGACCTCAGGACAGGTTGGACAGTGCTGTGTCGAGTCATGACAAATGATGGCCAGTGGCATGAAAAAGGTGAACTCATCCATACAGCTTTGTACCCCACCAGGCAGCCAAGGCAGTTAGGGCCCTCTGATGTACCTTTCAAGGTACTCCTCACAGCTACCTTATTTTTTTTGTCTTTTATTTCTGTCAAAAATCTAGTGAAATAAGAGCCCTTCCAACTTTAAGATTCTAACATTTCCAGAGCAGAAGACCCTGTCCTTATAATTTTTTTTTTTTTTTGAGGTGGGATTCTCGCTATGTGGCCCAGGCTGGAGTGCAGTCACGTGATCTCAGCTCACTGCAACCTCCACCTCCCAGGTTCAAGCAATACTCCTGCCTCAGCTTCCCGAGTAGCTGCGATTACAGGCATGCACCACCACACCTAGCTAATTTTTGTATTTTTAGTAGAGACAGGGTTTCACCATGTTGGCCAGGCTGGTCTCGAACTCCTGACCTGAAGTGATCCACCCACCTCAGCCTCCCAAAGTGCTGGGATTACAGGCATGAGCCATGCACCCGGACTTAGAATTCTTCTTGATATATAGCTTATATATCCCTTTTTGTTGTTGTTGTTGATCATTAGTATTGTCATTCCTTTTTAAAAATAGACTAAAAGCTCATCTAGGTTTCACTGACATTAATTTCTCCTGTGACAAAAACAGCACAGGGTGACTAATTTGGGCCACACCCCATAGGGATGGGCCCTGGGCCCCACAGCTTCCAGAGTTAGGCAGCTCAATGATGCCTATCTCTGAATGTATTTCTGTGCTCCTGATGAGTACAGATGAGTAATCACATGGTTATAAAACAAATTTTCTGGCCAGGCATGGTGGCTCATGCCTGTAATCCCACCACTTTGGGAGGCCGAGGCAAGTGGATCACCTGAGCTCAGGAGTTCCAGACCAGCCTGGGCAACATGGTGAAACCCTGTCTCTACTAAAAATACAAACATTAGCTGTGTGCGGTGGTGCTTGCCTGTAATCCCAGCTACTCGGGAGGCTTCAGGCAGGATTATCGCTTGAACCTGGAAGGTGGAGGTTGCAGTGAGCTGAGATCACACCACTGCACTCCTGCCTGGGCAATAGTGAGACCCTGTCTCAAAAAAAAAAAAAAATTTTTTTCGCAAGATTCTTCTGCTGTAAGTCAGGTGGAAAAAGGCTCCTTTCCTTAGAGTGAAGGCAAACAATGTAGTTCCACTGCTGTGCTGTGGCCATCACAATCCCTGAGGGTGTCCTTCCTGCCAGTGTGGTTCTCAAATCATCTGCATCTGAAACTCCTGGGAATGCCTATTAAATATATGAAATCCTGGGCTCTTCCCCCACCCCGGCGAATCAGAATTTCTTGGCTTCAAACCTGAGAATCTGCATTTTAATCAGATTCTCTAGTTGATGTTTAGGTTATGGGTAGCCTAAACTACCCACATTCTGCACTATTCAGTCTCCTGGCTACTCAAAATGTGGTTGCCAAAGCAGCAGCAGCACATCCACTGGAAGCTTGTTAGAAAAGCAGAATCTCAGCCTCATCCTGGACTTCCTAAACCAGAATCTTCATTTTAATAAAACCCACACTGACTCATTATGTACATTAAAAGGTGAGAATTACTGCTCTGGATCTTATTTCTCAAGCCCTGGTTATTATTTGTACATTACTTATATAATATTTTTTAACCTGCCATAGATATATTATGTTTACTTAATTTAAAAGAAGTAGATTTACTTTAACCTTAAATTCAGCCTCACTATAAATGAAAATAGCCATGGGATTAGGAGTTGATGTGCTAGTTTACTTTTTATAGCACATTAAAATATAAGCATAATTATTAAAATAAAAACGCTTTCTTGTCTAACACACAGTCATCTCACAAACCACACGTGGTAGGAGGGTACTGTGGGCTGATGCTGGCACTGAATGTCAGCATACCCTCCACAGTACCTGAAGAGTTAACCCAAACCCTCACTCCTATTACAGATGAGAAAAGTAAGAACCTGGGAAGAGAGCTGTGTTGCCAAAGTCAGCACAGCTATTTATGGCAGACTCAGGACCCAAATCACGAAAGTATTTCTCTGATAGGTGCTTATTCCTTCATAGATCTCCTCCTGTCTAGGCTGGGAGGAAAGTTGTTTGCGCTTTCTTCTGTTTGAAAGGCCTAATGTTGCTGAATAACTTGTCATCTGTAGTTTTCCTATTCAATTAGGTAATTCTCCTGTTTTCCTTTGTCATGGATATCTGTCATTCAGCAGGAGGCCACATATTTGAAAAACCTCACCACATATTGATAATTTCCTGCCTTATCAGTCCATGCCTTCCCAAAGTAGGATCCAGAAGACTCACACCCCCAGATTCCCTTGGAGCAGGGTGAAGGCATGTGATTTACACTGGCCAATCAGATGTGCCAAACAAGAATGAGCTGGGAAGTGAGCAACGTGTGCAGGCTGCTGCCCACCAGGAAATCCATGTTATAATAGGGATTTTGAGTCTTCTGCATTGTCAGTGGCAGAGTTCTGGCACCCAGTCCTACATGTGACAGGAGCTGAGCTGTGGTGGCAGCAGGAGAAAGCCTCATAGTGTTACTGTGCATTAGTACTGCTGTAAGGCTTTAGATTTCTTCTGCTGTACTCTCCTGGATTTCTCTACCAGCTACCCCGTTCCTTAAGAAATTCCTTTTTGGCTTAGTCAGAGTGGGTTCTAATTGGAACTAACAACTTTAACCAGTACATCTTCTTAATAGCATGGTCTTCTACAGAGACATTCCTAATGCAATTTGAACCTCGGTTTCCTCACCTGAACAGTCAGGTTGGTGAAATAGAAGTTGTCTGACAAGTCTTCCAGAAATAAAATTGCATGACTGGTTATGGATCACAACTATTTTCATATAGGCTTTAGTAAGAGTCCGTATAATTTCCGCAGCCTCATCTTCACTACTGATTTACCAAAAATTAAATTTTAAGAACTAAATATTTTACACTAATTATTTTGAATTAGAAAAATTTACATCACTTAAGAGCATTAGATCTTTGAAACCTAAAACTGCATAGCAGAAGGGATATTATTTGAGGGCCCAATTCCTCATTTTGTAAGCATTCTCATAAAACAATTCTACAATATATAGAAACCATTCTCTAATACATAGCTTACACATATGCTTCAAATTAAGTACTTAATTTTTAAAACTTTAAAGTTTTCTTAATAATTGTAAAATTATCACTTATTTTGAATTTCAAATTAACTATTTCCAGAATCAAGAAAACTAGCACTAGTTCTCACTTCCAATTCTATCTACCACTCTGTCACGCCTTTTCAGAATGTGTTGGGAGAATATTATTTTGCCTGTGTGTGCCATGATAACTGTGTAATAAAAGGCTTCAAGTTATGCTATTACCCCCAGCTTTTCTAAATGATGCATGGGTATGTAATTCCTTAAGGGATAATGCTATGAGTTACAACCATTCCAATCTGGCATCAAAAGAAGAAATAAGCAATTACGTTTGTTCAACACCTTATAAAAGTAAAAAATATGAGAACGGAAGGGGTGAAGAATCAAACCCTGGAGAACTCACATTTAGGAAACTGGCAAAGGAAAGTGAGTCAGAAAAGCATGGTGAGAAAGAGAAACAGCAGACATAAGAATGGAAATGGGAGAGGATGGTGTTTTTAAAGCCAAAAAAAGAATTTCATGTTTGCTGTTAAATACTAAAGCAATAAACATATAGCTAAATCATCTCCACTTCCCAGTTATGCCCTGCCCCTCCCAGCTCTTAAGACAGAACAGGGTTTGTGGGGAGATGTTCAAATTCTTTATAACTATCCCATCTCAGAAAAATAGGGTAACTTCTACGTTAAAAAAAAGAAACATGGAAAGGGTCTGATTCTTATGATTACGTTCAAGAAAAAACTGGGTGTGGTTTTCCACAATGTACTAAACCTTCAAAAGTTTAGATAATAGCAAGTGTGGGAACATTTACAAATAACTCACTAAATCTCACTGGGTGGGTGTTTTGCTAATGAGGTGTATCATTTTTAGTGGCATAATTTAAGTGTATGCTAAATACAAGTCCTGATAACAATAAAAGTTAATCTTTTTTAGTTGAAGACTCTCTTTTATTTGGAGACCTGGAAATAACAGAATATGAAGATTAACATGATCAATCACAGGAGAGGTCCATTTTCCCAGCACCTGCTAAATGCCAGGGCCAGGCCTAAGTGTTAGTATTTATTTTCTTTCATTTAAGGCTCTCAACAGCCCTGACAAGAGAAGTCCAACCCTCATTTTACAGATGAAGAAACTGAAGCTCAGTGGGACTGGACAAATAATAGTGGCAAAGAGGAAATCCAAACTCATATTTGTTTGTGTAAGCAACTCTCTCACCCAGTGGCCATCAGTGAATGCTGTGGTGTCTCCAGCAGCAGTAAAGAATGGCTAACAAAGAGCAGACCTCAGTTTTGAATTTATGTTGGTTCCAAATGTTAATTAACTCCCTGTATTTACGATTCATGGTCTTTCAATGATTTTTATATTTTTATTGACTGGTAGCAGAGAGCTTTGAAAAGGTCTTTAAAAGGCACGGGTCTTAAAGTGGCATGGTATTTAGCGTTAGAGCTTCTCAGCTGATTATTGGTTTGGGCACCATCAGGGACTTGGAGAGCAGTCAGAACTCTGAGTGACACGAAAATACTAACTCTTCATTGAGCAAGTGACATCTATGAGAAAGTCTGACTTCCATAAGATAGCCACCAGTTTTAAAGAAAAAAAAAAGCTTACGTTAAATAGTTGTATAGATACTCCTGAAACATAGGTTGAGGTTTTAGATAATCTTGGACATACTAAAAGACCACAAAGTTGAAATGGGTTGAATGTAACAACTTTTTTTTTCTTTTTTTTGAGACAGGGTCTCACTTTGTTACAAGGCTGGAGTGCAGTGGCGCTATCTCGGCTCACTGCAACCTGTGCCTCCCGGGTTCAAGCCATTCTCCTGCCTCAGCCTCCCCAGTAGCTGGGACTACAGGTGCGCACCACCACACACCATGCCCAGCTAATTTTTGTATTTTTAGTAGAGATGGGGTTTCACCATCTTGGCCAGGCTGGTCTTGAACTTCTGACCTCGTGATCTGCCCACCGTGGACTCCCAAAACAATTTTATTTATCAAAAATTACTAGCTAACATTATAAAATTAGACTTTCTTTTTATTTTTGAGACAGAGTCTTGTTCTATTGCCCAGGCTGGAGTGCAGTGGCACTGTCACAGCTCACTGCAGCCTCGACCTCCCAGACTTAAGTGATCCTCCAACCTCAGCCATCTGAGTAGCTGGGACTATAGGCACGCATCACCAAGCCTGGCTAATTTTTAATTTTTTTTTTTTTAGGAGAGAAAGGGTCTTACTATGTTGCTCAAGCTGGTCATGAACTCCTGGGCTCAAGTGATCCTCCTGGTGATCCTCCTGCCTCAGCCTCCCAAAGTGCTGCGATTACAGGCATGAGCCACTGTGCCTGGCCATTTTCTTGCCTCGAAAGGTGAGGTTTCAGTGATTTTTATAAGTTGCAAAACTTTGAAGGGTTATATTACCAAAAATTGCTTAGATGGAGTTTATAAGACCCAGCATTGTCAAAGACCTCTTAACAGGAAACCTGGGTTCAAGCCCTATCTCCATCTTACTGGCGTTGTGAGCTTGTCAAGGTTACTTAACCTCCTTGAGCTCTGGTTTCCTCAGGTATAAAGGAATAAGAAGAAGATTGTGAGGGGATTACGTGATATAATTACATAAAGCACTAGCAGCACGCCTGGTGTGGTTAATGCCCATGAGGAGGATATGAATTATTTTCTAAAGTGGGAGCACTACGTTTTTACTCACAGTATGTTCAAAAGTTTAATATTATCTGCAGATAGTCATCATAATAATTAATATTTATTTAACGCTTATTATATGCCAAGAAGATTTATACAATAAATGGTTTTACTAGGTTTTAAATCATTCACATCATTATTAAGAAATTATATTCTCTCTTCTAGCACAGAAATGATACTTTGTTAAAAAACCTTCAGTGATATCTGGACACTGTTTGCCATTCCTACAGGCCCCACCCACTAATCATATCCCTGTAGAATACAGTAGGGGTCTTTTCGTGTTCAGGAAATCACTGACCTTGGTGGCCGAGGCTGTTCCACCAGCATAGGTTCTGGAGGATTGACTGCTGCCGAGGCTTGCTGCTTTTTTCTTGAAAATAGAAAATATTAGTTTCAATGGGGGAAAACACCTTACCAATGTAGTCAAATGCAAACTTACATATCAATACAAATATTTTCTCAAGCAAAAATCAGACTAATATTTGAAACACACCCAAAGTAAACATATGCTTTGAATTTTTCGTTACTTTGCCTGAAGATGATACAAATATTGAAATGAAGAGTAAGTTGAATAAGTCTCAATTGTTCAATATTCAGTGATTTTGGAGAACTGCAAAACTCACTGAGGCAGTTCTCATGTACTTCCAAAAACTTCACTCACCCTTACAGTGCCATAGAGAGTATACAATGTTACAATGTCTATGCAGGGTGATTTAGAAATATGTATCAAAGATGCTATTCTACTTGTAAAAATGTATCTTAGGGAAATAAGAGAAGAGAAAAAGTATTTTTCTACAAAGATACTGATCACAGTACTATAACCTAAAAAAGCTGAAAACAGTATCTATAATAATGAATGTTTATTAAGTACTATGGTGTGCCAGGTAATTATTAGAATAATAGAATTATAGATAGTAATAGGATAAAATGCTTCAAGAATAAAGCCTCTCAGAACGTTATTCTAAGTACTCTAAGTGTTTTAAATACCATGAGTAACAAGATAAACCAATATAAACCTAATACTATTGTTATCTCCACTTTATGGGTGAGGGGACTGAGGAACAGAAGGAATAAATTACTTGGCCATGGTGACAGTTAGTAAAAGGCAGGATATCTGCTCCAGACTCCAATCTCTTACCTACCTATACTGCATCCCATAATAGGGGGTTACGTTATGGGAGAGCCATAGGATGAAATATCATCTGGTTATTAAAAATCATGTCCTAGAAAAACACTTCATTAAATAAAAACATATTATTCATATTTTATACGAAGAAAAGTTAAATTATAAAATAGTATGTTTAGTATGATCCTTTAAGGTCATATGAGGTTATTTTCTGATGGTGTGAAGAGTAATTTTTAAAAAATCCTTCTTGGGCTTTTTTGTGTTTTCTTATGTAACTATTTTAATTGAGAAAAAGAAAATAAATGGGGGAAAAAGGAAAAGTAAAATACACAGTTGCTTCCTCAACAAGACCTTCATATCCTGTATCTCTTTCTCTTTCTTATGAATATCTATATTTCAAAGAAGCAAGCACATAAAGTTTTTTTGTTTGTTTGTTTGTTTGTTTTTTTGAGATGGAGTCTCGCTCTGTCACCCAGGCTGGAGTGCAGTGGTGCGATCTCGGCTCACTGCAACCTCCGCCTCCTGGGTTCAAGCAATTCTCCTGCCTCAGCCTCCTGAGTACCTGGGATTACAGGCACATGCCACCACGCCCAGCTAATTTTTTGTATATTTAGTAGGGTTTCAGCGTGTTAGCCAGAATGGTCTCGATCTCCTGACCTCGTGATCTGCCTGCCTCAGCCTCCCAAAGTGCTGGGATTACAGGCGTGAGCCACCGTGCCTGGCCAAGTATAAAGCTTTATAATGTAAAATGGTGATATGCTCCAAGGTCAATAAAGTGTGAATAATGTACTGTAAATATTGAATACACAAGGCAAGATAATGCATAAATTAGCTAGCATATAACACATTAAAGTGTTCTATGTCTATGCAACAAATATTTTATATGTATAATTGAGAATAATTTGGTTTCATTCTTTAATATTTAGAAGAAATATTTAGCCAAATTTATATTTTCTAATTTATTGAAAATGCATGCCATGGAAGTTTGAACTGAAGTCTTCTTTCCCTTCAGGGTAAATTTTGCCTTAGCATGCCCCAAAATCAAAACTTAGTTTGCTGTCCTCAAAGCACAATCTCTATGTGTCCACTCGCCAACCACTCTAGGGGGCCTCACAGGCATTTGCAGGAGTTCAGGCTCCCAGGCATCATCTGTAGAATAAATAGTCTCTCCCAAGCATACACTTACTACCATCAACCAAGGAAAGAAAAAAACCTAGATAAATGTGATAAAAACAAAAGAGGCTGCTAAGAAGCTAGTGATGCAGGTGTGATATGTGAGATGGTAAAAGGAGGGGATAACCCACATTTTATCCAGATTGCTAGTCTTTTTTAAATTATCACAAATAATAACAAATAGCTTCTGACAACCTTAATGTACAAATGGATTCTGTGTAAAAGACTGGACGTAAGACATAAAGACAAGAATACAGCAGTAGCATTATCCATTTCAACTTCATTACCTATCTCAACCTCTCATTTTCCAGCGAGGAAACTGAAGGAGGTTAGGTCTGTTTTCAATGTGACACAGCTGTCCCAAACTCCAGCTATTAGCTTTTGATCTTAGCTACAATTGAGGAAGGCCATGTTCCAATCCTGGGCTAATTACAGATTCCATTCGCTACATCAAAGCCCACATACTTAAAGTCTATAAATGGATTCCACTACTTACAATATGCCAATTAGGATCTGCCAATGAGAATTTAAAAATTTGTATTTTGGCTGTGATGAAACTATTAAGTTAAAAATAATGACTGTTTAAACTTAATTTATATGCTGAAAATGACTTACTAATAAACGAAATGTTTTTTAACTTAACGGAGGCTCCCTCAACTTTCTTGTGGGTATGATCTGTTCCCCTAAAGACTGGCTTGCTCTCAGAGCTGCCTGGATTACTTAGTCCACAAAGGACCAATGTAGTTCAGCTGAAGTGAGACTGGAATATGTAAAATCATCTTTCATTAAATTTTTATCTAACAAGTATTTATTAAGCCCTTTGTTGACATCTGGCACTGAAAATACAATGCAAAAGCCTTGAAATGCACCCATATACAGAGCAGACTCCTTACTTTCAGATTGGTAATCAGAGTTTAATTACATGTTGTTTTGGCCCCCTTTCTTCATTTGTGTCTGACTTCACATATTCATTTGTTCATTCATTCATTGGGAAAACTATGAGCCTGGTCCTATTCTAGGCAATGGGGATATAATGACCAATTAAACAGAAAAAGCTCCTGCCCTCGTGGCACTTACATTCCAGTAGAAAGACTCAGCCTTTAAGTAAGTCAACAAAAAAACAAGATGACTTCAGAGAATGGTGAGTCCTGAACAGACTGTGAGATGGGATGAGGTAACAGAGAGTGATTGGCTCAGGGTTGCTTCAGACAGGATGGATGAGGAAGTGACATTTGACTAACACCTGACTGCTGTGTGGAAACCAATCGTGTATATATGGGATGAGGGAAAGGAGGCATTCTAGGTAGACAGGGCAGCACGTGCAAGGGCCCTGAGGTAAGAATGGGCTTGGTAAGCAGGAGGAGCAGAAAGAAGCCAGTGCAGCCAAAGCATGCTGGGTACAGGCATGTATGGTATGAGATGAAACAAAATGCAGGATCAAATATTTATTCTGAAGTGATGTGGGATCAGAATAGCCCTATAGTCACATGAGTTTGGGATCATCAGTTTCTTCCAGGATCTGGTTTGCTTCCTAGTCTTCTCAGGTTACTACCTGACCCCCTGAGTCCTCCCTTGCCTCCAGGTGCAAGGTTTTCAACGTCCTCTGGCTTCATGTCACCTTGTGCTTAGTTTTGTTGGTATCTCTTCACACTTATACTCCTTAACATCAGCATCAGTCCTTAGAAATTCTACCCTGCCCTGAACAGATCTCTTAGCTCACTAGATCTGCATACTCACTAACTAGTGATAGGGCTGGATCCACCCTGAGGAAAGAATTCATCTACTCACAGTAAGTAGAAACTCTCAAAACAAGCTCATTTTTATATGATATTGCACCATCTGTTGCAAGAAGGCATGAAAAGAATTAGTTGCATACTTTTTTGTATATCTATTGTAGTTCAGAGAAAAAATTTTTTACTGAGTCAATCAGAACTCGAGTCTTTAAAATTTTCAAAATAACAATGAAGTTCCAAGAGCCAGGCAAAGAGTTGCTGTGTCACTGTCACTTAAAATCTTAGAAAAGGCTCCCTGAGTGAAGCCACATGTTTTACCCTGAGACTTCATGACTCTGTGAAGAAAGGCACCACATTCTCTAGGATAATGGTTCTATCTTATGATTTATATAGCAAGAGTCCTGTTCCACCAAATGCCAGCTATGAGATCTTAGGCAAGTTTCTGAACATTTCTCAACACCAGTTTTCTGAGCAGGGTGAATAACTCTGCTCATACCTCGGAAGGTGATTTTGAGGGTTAAATGAGTTACAACATATCCTGAGGACTGTGACCCACAGGTTGAAAATCCTGGCTCTAAAGGGAGAGGCCCAAAGTCCTTGCCCAGGTAGCAATGGAACAGACTGACCTCTGCAGGGCAACCCCAGTGGGTCTGGTTGGTACACATGAGAAGACTTAGTGGCTGCTGAAAATTTTCTATGAGTTTTATTATGTATACAATTATAAAAAATAATAACCTTTTATGGGATAGAAAAATGTAATTTTTTCCTTAGAACTAGCTCATGATTCTAATAATGGGATACTGTTAAGTTACTTGGAAACAGTTTGATTTTTTTGAGATTTGCTTTCAAGCTTTGTTAGGTTGGACCAGATCAGCTTTTAGAGTATGCGATATTGTGATATAATAAGAAATCTATGTAGTCATGTGCTGAATAAGGGCGTTTCACTCAACAACAGACTGCATTTTCTGTATATGGAACAGTGGTCCCATAAGATTATAATGGAGCATATACAGAAACTTGATGTATGGCACATGATATTGGCATTGCAGATCAAGTAGGGGAAATGACTAATATTTGGTCATGATGCTGAGACATTTAGTTTTCTATATGAAAAACTATATATAAATAAAGCTGTATCTACCATCTAGGTTTGTGTAAGTACACTCTGGCATTTCCACAATGATAAAATTGCATAACAACACATTTCTTAGACTTCTTGAAATGTATTTTTCAAGATAAAAACTCTCATTAAAATATGTAAGTTTTGACATATTTGTTAAGAATCTACTCCATAACTTAGTAGTTGTCCTATAAAATGGCAAGAAGTCTTGTGTTTCTACATGAAAATACATGCTTTATTTGAAAACAGTGTCAAGAAAAAGATTGTCTTTCAAAAGTGTAGACAGATTCTCCAACACTAGCAATTATAAAACTCTGACTCTTATTTACAAATGTTCTTTTAACACCATAGTTTAAGTGGTGACCAAATAAGTACAAATTGCTTTTATTACCAAAAGAAGTATAAATGTGTGCTACTGCAAGTGCAAAGCAGTAAATACAATATGCTGGCTCTAAAAAACACTAAGTCATAATGAATAAGCCTTACCATTAACTCATAATATTACATAGAAATTCACATACTGAGGCCAGGTGCAGTGGTTTATGCCTGTAATCCTAGCACTTTGGCAGGCAGAGGCAGGCGGATCACCTGAGGTCAGGAGTTCGAGACCAGCCTGGCCAACATAGTGAAACCCCATCTCTACTAAAAATAAAAATTAGCTGGGTGTAATGGCGCATGTCTGTAACCCCAGCTACTTGGGAGGCTGAGGTAGGAGAATCGCCTGAACCTGGGAGATGGAGGTTGCAGTGAGCCAAGATCACACCATTGCATTCCAGCCTGGGCAACAGAGCAAGACCCCATCTCAAAAAAAAATAGATAAATAAATAAATTCACATACTGAATGAAATGTCCCATGTTCTAGGCCCTTAATAACACCCACTATGGTGAGCACACTCCAGTGAGTTGCTTGTTGTTGTTGTTCTTTTTTCTGATTACTCAGTTTCCGTGTGTCATCTCAAGTGGAACCCCTCAAGGTAGTCCAGCTCAAGTCTTTTTAGTCCTGAGGTTGCTGCACTGACCAGGAGTCAGGACAATGCTACTATTCTAGGGCTCTGCCTCTGCTTCCCTCAGAGCCTCATCTCCTACCTACAAAGGGAAAATAGCTATACCTACATCATGGGAATTGGAATGACTGAACTTGCTATATAATCTTGAATGAAAAGAGGGCATCACACAAGGAAGAAAGAGGGAAATGAAGAAGTAGAAAAGTGAATAACAAAAAAATGACAATAGAAGTAAGAAAGTCTATGGAGTTGGCCTCCATCTATAAGGTAGACTTCATAATATAAGTAATTTTATGATGAGTATCGGATACTAGTTAAAAGCACAGACTCTGGAAAGTGATTTCAATTCTGGGTTCTATTATTAAATAACTGTGTGGCCTTAGATGGGTTATTTAATCAAGCTGTGCCTCAATTTCCTTATCAGGAGAATGGGGTTGCCATAAGGCGCATGTGTGTGCTCATGTGTGCACACATGTATTTGCATGTGTATATAATGCCTATTTATGTGTTAGCTATTTTCATCAAATGATCTCTGGTGCTCTACTACCTTTACAGAATCTACAGAAAAAAAATGCTTACGGTATTCTCTTCCTTTCCTGCCAAACTAGTTCTCACAAGGGCATTAATAGTGAATATATTACCTAGAAATACCTACAGTTTAAAAGAAGATGCAGAAAAAGGCAATGAAAGATTAAGGAAATTGTTAATGGTAGAATTTCAGACATCAGCAAGCCACCTAGGAAAATACTATAACATAGTGCCTCCTAAATATATCTACTTGATAAGATTGTCCCTACAAGGGTGGGGATAGTGTGTGCATATAAACCTCTTTAAATTGTATGTAACATTTTGGAGAGTATTTTTTGTATTCGTACATGTGTGTAGCTTTCAGAGAAAAGATCACAGTTTCATCAGATTCCAAAGAGAATATGAACTAAAAATATTTCAGTATTCTTGCCCTCCAAGTTGTCTTTGTTCTTATTTTCTGTCTGTATTTAAGAGGTGCTTTTCTACTCAAACACGTGTGTGTGCCCCCACCCCTACACACAAGCACACAAAACATACACTCATATACACACACACAGCAGCAGCAGCCTTGCTCTGAAAGTATCTCTTAGGGGCCCCAAAGTAAAAAATCTCAAATACACAGCACTTCTCTCTTTAAGGTCTAAGCAGATACATGCATGGGTACTTTTCTGGTCATTGGTAAAACACTCTTATCTTACTCTTTTATTATCTATGCTGCTTATTGTTCTTTTTCTTCTGGTTTAATAAATACACTTAAGATTAAAAAAAGTAGGAAGAAGAAATAATAATTACTTAAAATCCTGTCATCCAAGACAACTAATTTCAGTTTTTTCCTATTTTTATACAAATACAAAAATATGCACATGATAACATATTATAAGTATGTTATATGAATAGAATTGTAATCTTACATTTAGAAAGATTTTTACCTAATATAAGCATTTTTGCCTGTCATTAAATGTTTTTCAAAACACAGTATTAAAAATGCCTTCGTCAGTATATCAGCGCTATGATTTTACTTAACTTCCATACAGGTGTTTCCTTCTTAGTTTGTTGTTATTATAAATAAAGCTATGATAAATATCGTTGGATATAAGTAAGTCATCATGTACACCTCTGATTATATACTTGGAATACATTCTTAGAATTGGGATTTCTGGGTCAAAAAGGCTTTTCTTATTTATGACGCAGTCACTTGTTCCACATTTCTAATTTGTTTTAATTAAAGGAAAAGTTTAATCATATTTCTAACATTTTCAAAATTGTTGGTGAGTTTTTATTATTCAAAGAAAATTTATATATAAAGTCAAGACCAAACATTTTCTCAAAACACACACACATCCTAACATGTACTCATTCAGAAAGAAAAAATCAACAATGTGTGATCACTGCTGAGCCAAGAAATATATTTTTCCATAATTTTTTAACACTGTACCACAGCAAGGAATTACCTACTTTTAACCACTGGGTGTCCCCTGAACTATATGGTTAACATGCAGGCAGATAGCACCATATCACGTTTAACAAATGTCTAACCTTTCTTATTGGCGCTGGTAGTAAGAACCCTCATTATCTTTTAAATTCGCCAGTCATTCAGCTTTCAATTTCACTAGTGAAATAAGTATATTGTATCAGATTTTACTGAGTCTACTTGCTGTATTAAGAAAGTACACAGGAAAAAAAGTGACAAAATTATATTCAGAGAAGCAATTTTTATCTTAAGTACTAAGTGAAACCAAAAATGGGATGTTATTATAAGATTGTTTTAGCTCTCAGTTTCCTATAAATAGTTTTCTTCAAAATTGTAGATTTCAGATTTTAGAATGATATATTTCTAGAATGGTACTAAAGTCCAAAAATTCTGGTCCTTAAGCTTGAATTAGATCATTTAGGAATGAGAGGCTTGATGTGCAAAAGAGAGAGCCCAAAAATACCAACTTTAATGTGAATAACAAACTAGGAGGTCTAGAATCGTAATGATTAAGACAAACAAATTTTTAGAATTCACTTGTTAGTTCTTTCCAAACAACATCTTTCTTATTTGATGTTTCTTAATTAATAAATGAATTCATTTATCAATAAACAACTGGCAGAGAACAGTACCAAACAATCCAAGACATCTATAACATGTGAAGTGTCTCAGTCACACTGACAAAGATTCTCTCCTTGACTAAATTCTAATCAGGCTCCTCTGAGCTCTTTTTCAATTAGGCCTCATTGTTGGACTTCCACGTTCATCTCTGCACTACCCACTCATAGCAAGAATACTGACAGGCTACTTTAGTCAGAATCCTCCATTCTTGCTATCCGATCAAGTCCCCTCATCCTCCACCATCCGCCAGGTGAGATCTGATCACCCGCTGGCCTTAAGCAAGAATCCTATAGGTCACTTTTCCCAGAATCCGCCTTATCCCTGATGTTTCCTTTTAATTTTCCATCCAACGATCCCTGGCCCTGCTCCTAGCTAAAAATCCCCACTTTTCTTCATTATATTTGGAGCTAAATACTACCAAGGCCTTGAATAACTATAATAGAATGCAATATTTGAGAATGATGTACATGGAATTAGATTGTTAAAATTAAGGTTGGCTATGGAGTCAACTCTTGGAAAAACCAGCCACCCCTATAATTTCTCCCCTCTTACTGCAAAATTCCCTTGCAGTGGTCCCTACACCTATAGCAATGGTCTGGAATGAAGTCTGCCTTACTATTGTTTAACAAGTAACATGAATATTTTTTTCCTTACAGAACTTATCTCTTTTTGTGTAAGTAAACACTGACTTCATTTTTCATTGCTTTATCTGCTGTTCTTTACATAAATCTACATACATTGGAAGAAGAATCTACCATGCAGAATCTCCACATACTCAGCACCCTCTCAATCATAATCACAGTACAATGGAAACCTTCTATTACTCCACAAAAACAGCTTGGAAGAGAACTGATACTATCCCAGTCTCCAATCAGGACCTTGCCTCAGCCCCCATCCCTCTGGAAATATCAGCATTTCAGCCCTACTGACCCTCCACTTCTTCCTGCACCCCCCACACTGATGACAGGGAGCACCCAGCTTCCTCTACCTCTTTGCTTGCTGCTTCTTTGACTTGAGTTATCCTTCCCACTTTCTACATGTAGGCATTTATCAACACTTGATTTTAGTTTCTCTCTCTTCTCTCTCTACACTCTTTTCTTCAATAATTTTAACCAGGAATTTTGGTAGTGAGGGTTAGAGGCAGAGATGGAATTGGAGCTTGAGCAGTTTCAAAGGAATTGCTTTAAAACAGTTTATGATGAAGATTGAGCTAATATGTAGTCTAAAGAGGAGTCATGAAATAAAGAGTGAAAAAAAAAAGGAATAATCAAAAGATCTAAAGGACAAGGTCCTGGGAGAAGTGGGAAGAAATAGTATCAGTAACTGATCCCTCCAACCAAAGCCTCCCACAAGGTCCACTGACTCTGAAACTGCAGCTCTCTTAGTGTGCTCTACTGTATTCCCACAATATGGCAGAGTGAGTTGGTCAGGGGGGAAAAGGAGAGGTCATTTGAAAAAGAAAAAAAAATGAAAGAAAAAAGAAATAAAGAAATCAATGTTTATGTGTGCTACGCACCATGCTATGCACTCCACAAGAATTATTTCAGTGTTACTCAAAATGTGCTCAAAAGACCACTGGCATAAGAGAAGAATCACCTGGAGTGATTGGCAAAAATACTGATTCCTTGGGCCCACCTTAGATCTAAATCAGTCTCTGGAGATGGAGCCTAGGAGTCTGAATTTCTCATACCATCCCCAGGTGATTCTTAGGCACAAAAAGAGTTGATAATCACTGCATTATCTCATGCCATATCCTGAAAAATGAGAAACAGAGAGTTTTAAATTTGTTTTGGTACTAATACAATGCTCTACACATTTACTAAGCATTCTGTAATAATGATACTTGAAAATAAAAGACTATGATGTAAATTTGCCATGAGATTTTGCTCTCACAAATGAACTATTTTTATAATGTACAAGCCATTATGTATTTTGTTATGTGGAAAAATAATATTGACATTACGATAAGAATCATACATATTCAGTCCTTAGATAAGACAGATATCTTGCTATGGGTATGATTTCAGGTTATTGTCCCTTTTGAACCAGTCATCCCATTATTTTTGAGAAGCTAAGAAAGTCTGAAGAATAAAAAAAGTTAACTTTAAACATGTTATTTCTGGAATAATATTTAATCCATCTGTCCATGAGGTTTCTAGTGCTTATGATCTGTGCTGAAGTGAACTGAACATCCATTCAATTCCGTCAATATTTTGTTAGTATTTTACTCTGATTCCACAAGCAATAAAATATAATCTCTTCAGAGACAATTTGGTGGGACCTAAGATCTTAGGTAATTCAGCTCATAAATCTAAAATAAGATAATGAAGGGTATATTATTATTGTATGATATAATGTTGATATATTTATATATATATATTTATATATTCTCTCATAGAGGCAAAGTGTTCAGTTGTTTTTTTAATACCATTCCCTATCCAATGATACAACATTTTGTATATCACAGATTCTTAATTTAAAGGCACATTATTTTCATATTCTTTTTAAAAAGTACATCCTTAGCTTCTGATAAAACAGCTCATTGAATAGTGATGCATACGGTCTGGCATGGTGGCTCATGTCTGTAATCCCAGCACTTTGGGAGTCCAAGGTGGGCAGATCACCTGAGGTCAGGAGTTCGAGACTAGCCTGGGCAACATGGCGAAACCCTGTCTCTACTAAAAATATTTTTTAAAAAAGTTATTTGGGCGTGGTGGCATACACCTGTAGTCCCAGCTACTTGGGAGGCTAAGGCAGGAGAATCGCTTGAACCCAGGAGGCAGAGTTTGCAGTGAGCCAAGATTGCACCACTGCACTCCAGCCTGGGCAACAAAGTGAGACTCTATCTCAAAAAAAAAAAAAAAGATAGTGATGCAGAGGTCTTTAGTTCTAGCTATTGGCGTATGTTTCTGCATGTTGCATGTAGTTGGTTTTACAACAAAAGTGCTACTAAAGTTAATAAACTATCAAACTTCCCTCATTTTTTAATGGGAAGGTGCTGCAATATATAATCAACCAAAGAATTTGAGCCCTGCCCCATCCCATAGGTAGACATCAATACGAGACTCACCTTTATTGCCAAACAAGTTCTCTTTACTGAGCTAATAATAATAAAGTAACACCAATAATAATAATAACAATAACAGGAGGTAAGATTTATAGAGCACCTCATATGTCCCAGGCACTGTTCTAGACACTACATATGGATGGTCTGATTGTTCTTCACATTGACTCTTATGTAAGAACTATTAGTATCCTCATTTTACAGATAAGGAATGTGCCCTTAGTGAGGCAAAGTAACTTGCCTAAAGACACAGAGCTAGGAATTAGCAGAGCTGGGAATTAAATCCAGGCATTGGACCCTAAACCCTACACTCAGAATGTATCATATGCTGCTTCTATAGAAACCACAGATCAATAGCAGGTTAACTGAGTTGTGAGTGTGGCTCTTCAAAGCTTTCACAACAGATGAGAAAGAAGATGCTCTCACTGTGGTCTCAGAATGGCACAGAGTTTTTGTCCTAAATTTTGTAAATTTTCTAAATTTCTCTCAGAATTCAAACTGAATTTGTATCTTAGGATAAATAGATTGCTTTAATGTCTACATAATGCCAGGAGTTTTAATTGTAGCTTTGAACTTAAATTCATGCAGTGCTCATGAAAACCTATCTGACACATTCCACATAGGAAAATAATTCTAATATCTATGTAAATAAGTTTTGCTCATAGGAAAACAAGCAGTGACCAACATTATGAAGACTTATAGAGAAAGACAAATGTACCGGGACCACACAGAGAAATACCACAAAAGAGGTGATGCAAATGCCCTGTGATGATTAATCATGTCCTGCTAGTAATCCTCCTGCCCCTCTGTTAAAACTCATGAGGGGCTGAATGATACACAGAACAGAGTTTAAAGTGGAAAGCCATTTCATAGGTTTCACTCCAAGCAAACTAGAATAGAGGAGCTTGATTCAAGAAGCTGAACACTGTCATTATGAGCCAATTTCAAGAATTCCTGGTATAAAATATTGTCTCTAGAAGTTTCTATTTTTTCATTTTCTCATAGAAGAGAGCAGAACTTAACCAAACACTAAAGGAAGCCTACCAAATGCCAAAAATCTAGGCAGAATCTCCATCCTAATCGAAGCCAATGGAACTATATTGAAAAGCACAATTGGTGAACCACTTGTGTCATGCATCTGAAACAGAGCAAGCTTATGTCCCTGAAAGACCCCCTCTTTCCTGAATGCTCATACTCCACACAGAAATGTAGCCATCTAGAAAACCTAGCAGTCAAACCTCTTTGGTAGGAGTCCTCTTCATGAGGCAACCTATCTTTATTCCCCATTAGTGCCTCTCTTTCTAACCCAAGTCAAAGATTCCAAATCCAAATCCTGGAAACCAACTAAGCAGAAATCTGGTGCGTTCAGTGGAGTGGGCAGGGTGTGGGAGGATGGGTTGTGCGCAGGGTGTGGCAGTAGCATGCTGCACCTGGGGGAGTAGTTGTCCTAAGTACAAAGTGGCCTTCTTGGGGGTGGAGGTAAAAAAAGCCGCATTAGCAATCCTTGCTAAAAAATGGAGTTATTCCCTGCATCTCATTTCATACAGTGGATGTTCTGTAATGAATGAAAGTCCACTAGGTAGTGGGGATTTTACCAGCATTGTGCATATTCACCTGCCAAACAGCTGTAGGTCTGAGGAGATTTAGTTAGCAGGGACATAGATGAAGAGCAGGGCTAAGGACAATGTGCTCATCACAGCTGACAAGCTCTAGGAGTAGGCCAAGCTCTCCTTAAAAGAGTAATCAGAAAGAAATTTTGCCTCTCAAAACCACCACAGAGAAAGGCAGAGGGCATCATTACCCCGAAGACTGAAAAAGACAGATCTCATAAAATGATACAGAATAAGAAGAAAATTCAGACAAAAGTGTACATCCTTGATAGGAAACAAGATGGTATTACCTTCATGAAATGGAGTAAAGAGCTATAGATTGAGATGGAATGATAATGGAGTGAGACAAAGAGGTAAGAGAGGATAAGAAGGGGACACAAAGAAACCAAAAACGAAAACCAAAATTTAAACCTGTATTAGAAGTTTCAAAGAGCAGAATTTAGAAATAAAATATGTGGGGGGCAAACTTCAGAAACTCTCCTAGAGTGCAAGGGTAAATGTCAGCAAAAGAAAATTGTGAGGCAGATGATTAGTGAATGTCTAATGTCAGAATTACAGTAGTCTCTCTTATCTGCAGTGGATATATTCTAAGATTCCCCAGTGGGTGCCTGAAACTGCAAATAGTACTGAGCCCTGTATTCACTATGGTTTTTCCTATACATACATACCTATAATAAAGTTTAATTTCTAAAATAGGCACAGTAAGAGATTAACAACAATAACTAATAATAAAATATAACAATTATAGCAATATACTGTAATACAAGTTATGTGGATGGGGTCTCTCTCTCTCAAAATATCTCATTGTATTGTACCGTGGGTAACTGAAATCATGAAAAGCGAAACAGCTGATAAAGAGGAACTATTGCATATGTAGGTTTAGGAAGAAACAAGGGAAACCGAAACAAGAGTAATAATTAAAGAAATAATGAAATAACAGACATTCCAAGACAAATTAATAAAGAAAAACACATATTAATATATAAGTACATCCTGGTAGTATTTTTTTTTTTTTTTTTTTTTGAGACGGAGTCTCGCTCTGTCGCCCAGGCTGGAGTGCAGTGGCGGGATCTCGGCTCACTGCAAGCTCCGCCTCCCGGGTTCACGCCATTCTCCTGCCTCAGCCTCCCAAGTAGCTGGGACTACAGGCGCCCGCCACTACGCCCGGCTAATTTTTTGTATTTTTAGTAGAGACGGGGTTTCACCGTTTTAGCCGGGATGGTCTCGATCTCCTGACCTCGTGATCCGCCCGCCTCGGCCTCCCAAAGTGCTGGGATTACAGGCGTGAGCCACCGCGCCCGGCCCATCCTGGTAGTATTTTTAAATTGTAAGAACAAAAGAAAAAAATCTTGCACCAAGGCAAGAAAAATAGGCTTCCTAAAAAGTAAGTCAAAAGTAGGCTGCCTCAGACATCTCTGAAGCACAAAAAGCCAGAAAACCACGAAGCAATAGATACAGAATTTTGAGGAACAAAACTGTGACCCAAGGATGTTGTACAATTTTGTATTGATGGACTTTCTTGTGAGTCACCAACGAGAAAACATGCTTACATTCACACACTCAGAAAATCATCATTGTGCTCCCTCCCTGAAAAAAATATCTTAGAAAATACTCTGGTCAATGAAACAATAAATGAAAATTTCAAATGAAAAAATGGGGAAACCACAGTTGAAAAGAATCTTGTAACTTCCCAGAGTCACTTTAGCCTCCCAAGTCAGACTCAGCTCCCAAGTCGCACCCAGTGCGAGCCTGTGCTGGCCTCTTGGGGCTAGATATCCCGGTGAGCCAGGCATGACTGCCTCGGTGCAGCTTTTCGGCTTAGCTTTTCTTGGCACTGAGACATGAGCTTGTGCAGCCACAATCGACTCCCCACAACTAGTATGAACTCTCTTGTCATGACATAAAAGAATGTTAAAATGTTTGCTGCAGTACTCTTCTAGAACTTGCTAATGACAGCTAAATCACTTGTGGGAACACTGTCACAAATTACTTCTTGAATAAGAAGTAAATTTCTCCTCCCTTCAAAAACAGAGCACAAAATAATGAACATTAAATGCCATACTGAATGCCAAGGTGCTTGAATAATGGTTTTCTATATACTTAAATGCCACACACACTGATGGGTCTTTTTTTAATTGGAAAAGATTTATCTATCACAAAGCACATTATTTATCATTTTCAGACTAGGCCCTATAATGGTGTTCCTTTGCTATTTCTGCTTAAAAATCAAGATATGCAGCATTTCAGTAAACAAAATAAGCAAACAAAGAAAAAAGATGCAGGAAAATACACCAAGATGTACATAGTGCCCATTTCTCTAGGTGCTAGAATCCTAGATGAGGGTGTTTATTTTCCATTTTTCTTTTCTTCTTCTTCTTTTTTTTTTTTTTTTTTTTTTTTTGAGACAGAGTCTCGTTCTGTTGCCCAGGCTGGAGTGCAGTGGTGTGATCTTGGCTCCCTGCAACCTCCGCCTCCCAGGTTCAAGCAATTCTCCTGCCTCAGCCTCCCGAATAGCTGGGACTATAGGCGCCCACACCCACGACCACGCCTGGCCAATTTTTGTATTTTTAGTAGAGTTGGGGTTTCACCATATCGGCCAGGCTGGTCTTGAACTCCTGACCTTGTGATCCGCCCACCTCAGCCTCCCAAAGTGCTGGAATTATAGGCATGAGCCACCACGCCTGGCCAAGGGTGTTTATTTTCATTAAATTCTCTGGTACTTTCTAATTTTTTTCCAATAATTATATTTTAGCTACACAATCATTAAAAAGTACTAAAATTGGCATATATAATAATTATAAATACATGACATTATCGCGTTAATTTAAGTATATACACACAAGTTTAGAGCAGTAGTTTAAGCGGTAAGACTCAGGGTAATATTGTTTTTCACAAGTATGTATTACTTTTGTGATTAAAAAAGTCTAACTTTATTAAAAGAAAAAAGTAAAAAAAAAATGTTTGAGTCATTCAACATTGAATTCATGCATTCTAAAAGGAGGAGAGGTAAACACTGAGGAAAAGCATGCCACCAATGCCATTAGAGTAAGGAAAATGTAAAAAAACATCTTTTCCTTTAAGGCAGAATTTCCGTTCGCTTTTATTTGTGTTTTCTTTACTCATAAAAATAAATCCATTGTTAAATTTGAAGCTTTTAAAATTGGCTCTCTGAGATCATGCCCGTTTTATACTTTAAATTCCATTCCCCAGGACTTTACTGAAATATGTTGCTAAAAGATTCACACTCTCTCAGTGTGGCCGGATGTGTCAGTTTCATCCTTTAAATAGATTTGATTGCAGGTTTGGAAAGACTTATTTGTTCTACTGCATTTAAAGTTGCTGATGTTAAGTGTTTTCATTTTTCTTTTTCCTCCTCTCTAGTTATTTTATCTTTGGCTTGTTAGTCCATGCAACTTTTGGTCCTGTAATTCCTCTACATCTGAGAAAGAATTGAAAAATTCATAACAATTGGTATAAACAAGCAAACATAAATAAATTCTCTCAGACACTTACCTTACCCTATCCTCAAGTATTTGTATTTCAAACGCAGCATGACAAATGTATTAGCTTCAACATTCTATTACAATTGCTATAGGTAGCTGGGCGTGGTGGCTCACACTTATAATCCTGGCACTTTGGGAGGTGGGAAGATTACTTGAGCGGGGGAGGTCAAAGCTGCGGTGAGCCATGATCACACTACTGCACTCCAGCCTGGGTGACAGAGTAAGACCTCATCTCAAAAAATAAAAATAAAATTGCTGCAGGTATCTTAGGATTACTTAATGGTTGTGTGTTGGGGTAATATTCCAAAAAAGTAAAAACTATTGACAAATAGCAAGGGAGAAAGAACTCTGAAATTCACATGGCTACATTCATCTCCATGTGTGTTTTTGTTTGTTTGTTTGTTTTGAGACAGAATCTTGCTCTGTCACCCAGGCTGGAGTGCAGTGGCGTGATCTCGGCTCACTGCAACCTCTGCCTCCCGGGTTCAAGTGATTCTCCTGCCTCAGCTGCCTGAGTAGGTGGGACTACGGGTGCGCGCCACCTTGCCAGACTAATTTTTTCTGGTATTTTTAGTAGAGATGGAGTTTCACCATTTTAGCCAGGATGGTGTCGATCTCCTGACCTTGTGATCTGCCCGCCTCAGCATCCCAAAGTGCTGGGATTACAGGCATGAGCCACCGCACCCGGCCCTCCATGTATTTTTATATATGGCAATATAACGGTGGTTCTCACCTAACCCTCATCAATTTTTTCTTCTGGTTATACCCTCCCAAAGTCCTCCTCTGTGCCCTTTTCTGGCATCTCTAATAGAAATGTAGCAGAATAATAAAAAGAGAAGAAAAACTGTGAAGAAGATAGAAAGCAAATTTTCAAACTGATTTTGTTTCAAAGACCCTGGTTTGTCCTCAGAGGGCTAACCAGTATATTTGCATATGCTTGGGGACAGTAAGTTATTTAACATTGGAGGGTACATGCCAGTTTGAAAATGGATTACTAAAAACCAAACTAAGCTTCTTAGTCTCACGTTTTGTTCAACAGAGCAGTAGGTAAGAAAATATTTGGGAGAAATAATCAGTTTCAGGAAGTCTTTCTCTGGTAATTTTGAGAAGAAAAGGAGATGGCAACAAACTATGGATGGTAGGCAGGGCAGATAACAAATTCAGATTGCTCATGGTTTTATAATCATGAACATCAAGGCTAACATAATGCCTAAAGTGGGACAGTTTCCTTGAACTGTCTCCAGGACACAATATCTCATTAATGACTTATTTGCACATAACATAAAGAATGAGGCCCTTTGAGACAGACCATTTTGGAAATATACCCTGACTACCAAGTCACCCACCCCCATGCTTGGCCACCTTAACAAATACATACAGGCAGAATTTAAGGAGAGAGAAGAGCTCTAGAAACCTCTTCCAGTTTTGAATGCTGCCCAATTCACAAATCATTCTTTGCCCAAACAAATTCTGTTATGTTTATTTTGTCTAAAGCCATGATTTAAGCCATGGGGACAGAGCAAAGTCTCTATCCCCTCTTTACTTCTGCTGGTTGGGACAGAAGCTGAAAGACTGGTATGTCCAGGCTCTGGCACAAGGGCAGGGGTCATGAATGTGAATTTACCAGAAACGTAATAAAACAATGTCAGAATTGCTATGCCAATAAAGAAAAGAAAAATTCGCTGTTCCTTCTTTAAACCAGAAGTTCAGCCTTTCAATTTTTTAAATCAAAGTCTGCCTCTTATAACATGGCTTCTTAACAGTGTTTTCCTTTCTAAACCTTTTATAAATATGGAGATGAGAGACATTATAATCCAGACATTATATACTTAACTATCTACCGTCAGTTGTTACATACCAATAATGCCTGTACATCCTGTACATCCAAGGTGTAATATTTAAGTTTCCCAGTTATAATTGGCCAGAATGACCATATTAGTATTGGCTTTGCATCCACTTGACCATATTGGAAAAGAAAACTTCCTTTTTAGGCAAATAACCTTAATTAACATTAATAGAGAATAACAACCAAAAACATTGTTTACTGGTCTGGAGAATAAAAGAACACAATGGTTTTCAATCAGGAAGTGTTCAATATTTGCTCAATATTAATTTGATAAATAACTTATCTGGAAATATATTTAAAGGGTAGGGTTGATAAATGAGTTAAATGACACTAGGTGGATTTTCTTTTCTTTTCTTTTCTTTTTTTTTTTTTGTCACCCAGCTGGAGTGCAGTGGCGTGATCTCGGCTCACTGCAACCTCTGCCTCCCAGGTTCACGCGATTCTCCTGCCTCAGCTTCCAGAGTAGCTGGGATTACAGGTGCACACCACCACGCCCAGATAATTTTTCATATTTTTAGCAGAGAAGGGGTTTCACTATGTTGGCCAGACTGGTCTTGAACTCCTGACCTCGTGATCCACCCACCTCGGCCTCCCAAAGTGCTGGGATTACAGGCATGAGCCACCGTGCCTGGCTGACACTAGGTAGACTTTCATGTTGGGAAAAAGAAAAATTTGTGGTTTTTTTTTTTAATGGAAATTTATCTTTTATTAATTTAATCAGGAAACAGGATGAAATCTTAATATGTTTACTTCTACTTTGTATTTTTAAAGAAACATTTGCCTTTCATGGCTATAAAAAATTCACTAAAAACTTGCTTGGTAAGAAACAATCTAAATTATTTTCATGGGTACTGGTGATGAAAACAATGGTAGAAAATGGAGGCATAAACTTTAGTACAGAATGCATAGCAGGTTCTAGCCGTAACAGCCTCCTTACATATTGACTATTTTGAAACTGCAGAAAATAAGCAGAAAGAAGAACTAAATTTCAGAAAAACACCTGATTAATGTTGATAATATAGAGAAAAATAAAATGATCACTTGATGCTTTCCAAATTTCCATGTACCTTTTAAAATCTGGCTATATGATGTTTACAAGTTAGAAATGACTCAATTTCTACTGGATGAAGATGGATGTATCATCCAGTTATATTGAGATTTAACACACAAAAAGCAGGTAAAGGAAGGCAAATCCTGTATCCTTTGGAAGGGCAGAACTTTCACATGACCCTTCCATAGAGAAGTAGGTCATTCTAAACAGTGCAAAGAATGGTATGTCATTCAGTAAAAGAAGAAACAGCCTCAAAGAAAACCCATCTCAAAGTGGGGAGATTTGGTTTTACTAGTTTTCCACAGAATCTGTGCCAATAAAAATAGTTATCTCTTCCTTTTGTTTATGAATCTGAAGGACTGGTTAATCTGGCTGTCCCTGTCCTCCTTTCATGGTTTATTGTCATAAAAAAAGATTTTCCTTTTTACTACAGCAACTGTTTTCCCTTCTACACTTGACATATTCGCCAACAAAACAATTTGGATTCACCAGTTCCTATAGGGAAAACACCCTAAGCAACAAAGTTCTATTACTAAAGGGAAAGTATTCATACAGGCTCTATTCCCAGGAACAATTTTTTTTATTTATTTTTAGTGATTTCCTTTTATATTCTTGAACCAAATCTTGGTTAAATCAAAATTTCCCAATATTAAGCAAGGTAGAAGCTCTTTGCTACATCGTTATTTAATATTTCAAGGCAAACTTCACAGTTTAAAAGCAAGAGAAAATGAAAGCCCAGTATTGTGGAAATTACCTCATCTGATCCTTTCTTTTCTCCTGGTTTGGAAGGCGATTCACTGGTTTTTTCACTGACATGCTATAAAAAAGTAAAAAATAATGCTTAATAAAGGAAGATGACACAGATGACAGTAACTTTAATCCCCAAAGGCTAAATGCATACCCTTTTTTAAAAAACGACCACTTTAATCTTCCTCCTGAGAATGCTGGTAATTCACACCAACATAGGTGGCTCTCAAAAATCAAGGGATGCTACACACATTCATTTGGAATCTAGAAGGTCAGTCTGTAATTAACTAGATGCAGAGCTGATGGTGATGCCAAGGCGGCATCTTGTCTCCTGCAAAATGCCTCACGAATTTTAAGCTCAAGTTTTCAGCACGGTAGACATCTCATTCATCAAGGAGATGAGATAAGAACCATGTTTCATCTGAAGCCATACTTAAGGCTCAGTTCAGCATGGACTCAATTGTCCTCCAAGGGAATTCCCTAGAGTTCTTCCGCGTATCCACCAATGCAGAAAGATAAAACCTGAAGGACAAAGACCATACCTGCAACTTCTTCTATGTGTTATGGCCTTAAGATTTCATTATGTCTATAAAGAGAATTATTTTTCTTACTAGGACACCGAGGATAAATACAATTTTTAAAAGTGTTATTTTATTTTTAATTAACACATAACAATCATACATCTTTATGGGGTACAAGGTGATGTTTTGAATATACATTGGGTAATGATCAAATCAGGTTAATTACTAAATCTGTCGCCTCAAACATTCATCATTTCTTGTGGTGAGGACATTCAAAATCCTGTTTTCTAGTTATTTTGAAGTATATAATACATTACTGTTAACTGTAGTCACCCTACTGTGCAATAGAACAACAGATCTTATTCCTCATAACTGTCTTTATACCCAGTGATCAAACTGTCCCTAATGCAAATATTTTTACGTGGGGTATAAAAGCTTCAAGTAGCTTACATATTCATTTGTTTTGGCGATAAGATAAAATAAGCCATAACTTTACTGAAATGTTTTGAGAAATGAAAAAATAGTTGTATGTTCCTGAATAGGGGGCACAAAGAATTATTCCATTTCTGTCACACTGTGGATGTTCAAAAAAGTGGGAAAAGGGAGCCAAATATGAAAAAATAAAAGCTCATCATTGGATTCAGTCCTAATCATCCTCAATTGAATCAAAATATAAAATGCTATTATGTTCCCTAAAGCAGAATCATAACCTAGATATATAGGTCAGTGAAATTATCTGAATTAAGAAGAATGATAATAATAATAGTAATAATAATAATTTATGTTATTATTATATACAAGGCACTTCCATACAGTCTTGATACAAAAAAGAAGCTCATGTTGTTTTATAAATGAGAAAACTAAGAATAATAGTGATTTGATGGTGTTTACAAGGAAACATAACTAGTAAATGGGAAAAGGTCACAAAGCAGACTAAAATCTGTTGTTTGCCACTAGAACACACTAAATGGAATTAGATAATATTTTCTTTAATCATATCAACAGATATGCTACTAAAAATGGCCAAGGAATACCAAACCTGTGGCTGAAATCCTTTCTCGATAGTGTTTTGTATGAACAACTAGCCAAAAGGCATGTTCGTGACTCTACAATTCTTACCCAGAAGAAACACTCTCATGGATTAGTGATTGGCATCCACTGAAAAGCAGCCAGGGTGCAATAGCTTGGTGAAACCCTCTACAGGTCTTCTTTTACCTATACATCCTAGTCAAGGGTTTGTTTGTACATAGTTGAGGGCAATCTATTGAATAATTAAATGAATCTTTTAAAAATGAACCATTTTAAAGTCCACTTATATATCAAGGCTATATGGCAATTGATAAATATTAGAATAATTGATGAGCAAAAGATTTCTAAAAGCCAGACTTGAGGGGAAAATATTACTTATCTCTGTTAAAGTAAATAAGGGGGCCATTAGCATGAGGTGGTCTCTGTCCTCGGATACCTTACTAAGCACACTGAAATTTAACTTGAAGGCATTTCTTGTAAATGACTTAAAACAAAACAAAAATTGCCTCAGCCAATCATAACCAGCCAACCAGCTTATTGGTTATATAACTACAAACCTCTCATCAGACCATACCTAAATAAGGCAAATGCCTAGTTGTAGCCAATCAAGTAATTTCTTCACTTTGCTTCCACATTCAGCTATAAAAGCTTGCTGCTCATGCTGCTGGAGTGTACTGAGCTCTCTGAACCACTTTTGATTTTCAGTACTGCCCAATTCATAAATCATCCTTTGCTCAAATAAGCTCTGTTAAATTTGTCTAAAATTTTTCTTTAAACATCTCTAAAAAAATCATTCTAGAAAGACAGAGATGACCAAATCTGTCTCCTTCCAGAACTGGTAATTTTAGAACCATGATATCACATCCATAATCTGTAATTCATATTTTTTCAGATTACATAAGTAATAATAATAGCCACTGTTTTATTGGGTGTTTACTATTTTGAGTGCCTCATTTACTTGTCAGGAGGTGTAATTATTCCATTTCACAAAAGAGAAACTTTAAAAGGTGACTTGTTCTTGTCTGGTACAAGGTTCCATGCTCTCCACAGAGTCTCACTCTGCTTTCTGCTCATGTGGCAAATACATATCATAATTTATTACCCCACAGTAAATGCATGTACAGCCTTTTCTCCCTTAAAATAACAACTTAAAATAACAACTTTAAAATTATGTACTATAAGCATTGTTATTTTCTGACTTCAAAAGAAAAAGTTGCTCACAATAGAAAGCCATTTTAAAATACACAAAAGTATAATGACATAAATAAAAATCACTTATAATAAAAGGCCAACTTTTTTAGAACTTCATGAATTACATTTTTCCAGTTCTTTTTTTTTTTTTTTTTTTTTTTGAGACTGAGTCTCACTCTGTCACCCAGGCTGGAGAGCAGTGGTGCGATCTTGGCCCACTGCAACCTCCACCTCCTGAGCTCAAGCTATTCTTGTGCCTCAGCCTCCCAAGTAGCTGGGATTACAGGTGTGCACCACCACATCCGATTAATTTTTGTACTTTTAGTAGAGATGGGGTTTTGACATGTTGATCAGGCTGGTCTTGAACTCCTGACATCAGTTGATCCACCCTCAGCCTCCCAAAGCGTTGGGATTACAGGCGTGAGCCACCGCTCCCGGCCCAGTTCCTATTTTAAGCCCAGCTTTTTATTATGAAAAATTTCCAACGGACAGAAAAGTTGAAAGAATAATACAATGAATGCCCATATTCCCCCCGCTCAGATTTCAACAACTATTAACATTGTTGCCATATTTTGCCCTATTTGCATACACACACACAGGCATACATACAGACACAGAAAGAGAGAGAGAGAGAGAGACAGAGAGAGAGAACAAGAGGGCACTACATGTCTTTATATACCTGTAATGGAAAGTAAATCACAGACATCCTGAAATTTTAACCCTAAACTTTTCACCATGCATCTCCTTAAATTTGAGAACATTTTCCCAAATGGTATTGCTATATACCCAATACTATTATCACCCTAAGACAATTAACAGGTATTTCCAGTAAATAACAACTTTATCAATTAACCATTGCCCTGATCATTTATTGAAAATTATTCAATATTCAGCAGTCTGTTAATGATGTAAAGTCAATTGTATCTTTTCACTGAGAGAGATTCATGAAATAATTGAGTACTTTTCACATAACTGAGAGGATGGAATGAAATACTTGGGAATGACATATGTCAAATTCGATCCAGCTCAGGAATCTGCAGGCGTCTTTCTAAAGAGCGAAGAGAGAAAACTCTGCTGACCACTACTACGTGTAACTGCTGGGTTGAGGAGAGTGAGATGAGCAGGGAACAGGGAAGGATTGACAGCTGGGGAAAGAGAACTGAACCACAAAACTAATTACAGAAAAGAAATTAACACCTCCTAAGCATCTGCTCTGTGCTAGGCCCAGTGCCAGGCATCTCCTATGTGGTCTTCTTTGCTACCCATAGCAGCTCTAGGGAGTACCCACTGTCGCCTTGGTTCATGAATAAAGCAACTGAAGATCTGAACAGCGATGTTCTCCATGGTGATACCACTCAGGATTACATGGGCCAAAGACTAGGCTACTTTGGATCTAGTTAAAAGCTAACTAGGATCTTAGGATTTTCATCAAGAAAGTCTTTAGAGCATGCGGGTGATCTGAAATGAGAACAAAACAAAAGGCACGAAAAATAACAAAACATGAAAACTTCCTATTCTAAAACTTGTTTTATAAATGAACTGAACACACAATACTGTCCTGTATTGGCAGCTAGAGAGGAGGCCAAAGACAGGAAGAGCAGGACAGGATGCCATAGTAAAGAATTTCACTGGAAGGACAAGGCCATAGAAGACAGGAGACTAGATGGGGGCTAAGATGAAGGTGGTATGTGCTCCAGAAGCTCAGAGCCAGAGAAAAAAATCAGATCAAGGGCTTTGCTATCTTAACTCAAGAAGGAATAATTTTCCAAACTGTTTTCACCCCCTTTATCACATAGTTGGCAACTACAACTGTCGTTTGTCCTCATTCTAGGTGACAGCCTCTATACGTTTAAAATCTGCCATAGCAAACCCATAAATCTGAAAAAAATCAATAAGAGCTAAGTGCAATAAGGCTCAGAGCCTGAGCTCTCACCCAGCTAAGGGCTTCTGCCAGGGCAAGGTTCAACTCTGCCACATTTGGGCACCTGCCCTGTTGTTACCCAGATACACACAGATACATAGACAGCCAAGGGAACATGTCACACAAAACAAGATAAAAATCAAAGAAACTAGGCCGGGCACAGTGGCTCACGCCTGTAATCCCAACACTTTGGGAGGCCGAGGTGGGCAGATCAGGAGATCAGGAGTTCGAGACCAGCCTGGCCAATATGGTAAAACCCTGTCTCTACTAAAAATACAAAAATTAGCTGGGCATGGTGGTGCACACCTGTAGTCCCAGCTACTCCGGAGGCTGAGGCAGGAGAATTACTTGAACCCAGGAGGTGGAGGTTGCAGCGAGCTGAGATCGTGCCATTGCACTCCAGCCTGAGTAACGAGCAAAACTCCATCACAAAAAAAAGAAAAAAAAATCAAAGAAACTTCTTCACATATAAAAGAAGCAAGAAGACAGAAAAGCAGCCCTTGCCAGCATTAAGTCCAGCTGTGAAAAGAGTATGAAATGCTAGTGTGCTTCTGAAATGCCTTTGCTTTATTATTATTATTTTTTAAAGTATGAGGCTTCTTTTAGGAGGAAAGGAAAACATTCTAAAGTAAAATTGTGCTGATGGTTGTGACCACCCTGTGACTATACTAAAACATATTGTATCATATGTCTTGGTGGGTGATTTATTTGAAAACTTAAACATTTTCCTTCTTCAATGTGGCGACAATTTCATCGAGATAGTATTTGCATGTCCAGGGACAGCTGTGGAAAAATCATGGAGCAATAAAAGGTTATCTTGATACCCTCTGGACTCTCCGAGCTCATGGAACTCAGCTCTCTACCATCACACACACTGAGAAAGGCTTCTACCAGGGGCTCCTGAGGATCACAAAGACTTCAGGTTAGCAGTGGGTCCCATCCTTCAGTGCCTGTCACAAGCACCTGGGAAGCTTTTAGAAACATTTGTGTCAGGGCACAGGGATTTAGATTTAGTTTGAATAGAATGGGGCCTTGCCATGGATAAATTTTTCTAAAGTTCCCCAGATGATTCCAATATACAGCCAGGATTGAGAACCACTGGTTTTGGGGGAAGATTTATGGGCACCATGATAGGAAGCGGAAGTTTCCGCTCCTCAAACCATCCCACTGAGTCGGCACCCATGGGGAGGTTCCCAGGGTCAGGCAGACTGGGGTGGCTCTGGGCTCCTCCTGGGTAAACTCTGATTGGTCAGTGAAGCAGCACAGTGCCCTATGTCTACACCAGTGTTTCCTGTCAAATTCTGAGCTTTGCCCTATTAATGGAGTATCATATTTTCATATTTGCACATTAATCTCTATTTTCTCAGTAAATCAAACAAATTAGCACTTTATTGTACACTCTCTTGCTTACTGATTACTTTATAAACTTACATCTTGCCTTCCTAATCACAGGGTAAGTTATATCCTTTTTTTCCTAGATGTGTGGTAGGACCATAACAAAGAATTCTTGATTGAATGACCATGTTCCCACAAACCTATAAACATTCCCTGAGAAGTAATTTTGCTCTTTTCAGATCAGTAAACTAGACAAAAGAGAAAGAGGCCAAGAAGGTAGCTTGAAAAATTAAGAGACAATGTGCAAATTGGTATTTCCCACAAAAATGCCTTAAAATATATTTGTATATGTATTCTACTTGCTAAAGCAAAATTATTCAGCAAACAAGCAGATGGACCAAAGCTTCTGTAAAGCTGGTTTTGCTTCAGAACAGTCTCCCTGGGTGCAGATCCTAGAACTGTCTGCCTTCAGGTGGATTCCTTGTTCCACTTCTGCTGTGTTCAAATTGTAGTGGAACTTTGCTGGCTGCAATTCTCTTGATGGATGGCCTCAAGTTGGGTTTAGCCAACAGCAGGCGCTGCCAGGAGACTAGAGGTGGTGGGTGGGTGGTATTCCCTTTGCCCCACCCCCTCCTCCAGTAGCACCTCCTGCAGGATGGGTTGGCTGTGGTTCCAGCTTCTGCAAGGTGACCCTTGTCCTCCCTGTGTCCCTCTAGACTAGGGATGGTAGCAGCTTCCTGCAATTTCTAATCTCTGGGTTGCCTCACCCTCCCCTGACGGCTTCCCAGCCTTTTTTTTTTTTACCTGGGTAACCAATTCCCTATGTTACACTCCCTTTGTTTTAAATACTCAGAGTCATTTCTGTCTGTTAGTTGACTGCAATAAACTCTGATAGGGCAGAAACAGCCTAGATTTGTAAGGCTATATGACCGTGACCTTGGGCAGATAATTTAATTTTTCAGTTTCTTTTTGTAAAATAGGGCTAATGGTATCTATCCCAGGGGCTGGCAAATTTATGAAAAGAGTTGACATTAGTGAGGCACCTGGTTCATTGCCTTGTTCATTTTAAGAACACAATTAAAATTATTTCACTCCCTTCTTTTTCCCTGGCAATCTGACTGTGGTGAATTAGAAGCCAGTGAGTTAAGGTTTGAGGGTTTCATTTTCTAAGGCTGTAAACATTAGAACAGAAGAATTTAGTATTTTACTTTCCCTAAAGTACAAAGGAACCTTATCAGGTTCATCTGATTAAGTTTTTGTTTAGTACTTTGTCTATCTCATGACTGTGTATTATATATTATTCTCACATCTTCGTATAACACTCAAGGAGATAAACTACATGGGGGTTAAAGAATTCATTTTCCCAACAAACTACAGCAATTTGGTTACAAGGATGACTTATATTTGCAATTCCCATGCTTTAAAACATGTTGAAAGGGTGTGTGTGTGTGTGTGTGTGTGCACGCGTGTCTGTGCTGGTAGCTGTGACGGTTAACAGATAAAACAAGATTAGGACAATGTTGACAATTATTGACACCAATGATTGGTATATGAAGAGGTCATTATACTTATTTATTTATTTATTCATTTATTTATTGAGACGGAGTCTTGCTCTGTCGCCCGGGCTGGAGTGCAGTGGTGCAATCTCGGCTTACTGCAAGCTCCGCCTCGCGGGTTCACGCCATTCTCCTGCCTCAGCCTCCTGAGTAGCTGGAATTACAGGCGCCTGCCACCACGCCCAGCTAATTTTTTTGTATTTTTAGTAGAGATGGGGTTTCACCATCTTGGCCAGGCTGGTCTTGAACTCCTGACCTTGTGATCCATCCGCCTCAGCCTCCCAAAGTGCTGGGATTACAGGCGTGAGCCAACCGCACCCAGCCTCATTATACTCTTCTCTTATTCTGTGTACTAATGCTTAATATATATTAAGGATTAACTGCATAGCTGTAATTCTGAAATCCCTCTGTTTTCACTGAACCCCAAGTGTTCGTTTTTTCTAACATTTTAAGATTTCAGTGGACATGACAAGATGACACTGTAAAGGTACAGGCCCTTTGTGTCCAATTTTCAGAGGTGGCATCTATTGCCTGTCATAGATTAGCTCCTGGGATTCACCTGAAGTAAGGCTGGATGAGTTTTTCTTAAGTCAAAGGGGGTATCATGAGAATTTAAATAGTTGCTTTGTTGCCACAGCAGTTGTCATGAGAATGAACTTGTAGTTTTATCTATGAGAAATGCAAGAGGAGGCCAGGCACAGACCACTGCACGATTTTTTTGTGTCCACCGCACTCTGCACAAAACTGACACACAGCAGGTGGACAATAAACAACTGTGAACATCTTTGAGCTTTACCAAATTTATTCTTATGTTCTATGAGTTTCCTACAACCAAAACAAATTTCATACATTTTTAGGAAACTATAACTTTAGACCTTTTTCTTCCTGAGTTAACTGACTTTTCCATCTGAGGAGATAACTTACATGAACAGTGTTTATTGGATGGAACTGTTCTTGCATTTTTCTTAACTGGAAGACATCTGATATACTTCCCCCTGCCCCCCGCCTTTATGGTGGCTGTAAAGCTTTCTGGGTATGTTTTCATGAAAGGAAAATGAGACAACTCAAAGAACAGAACTTTAGTATCTGTTAATATGATTTTCATCTTAAAAATACCTCAAGGGGGAAAAATGATGTACTACTTAGAGTAGTTTTGTATCTGCTGAGACAATCTAGTCAGAACTAATTACCCACCTATCCACATGGAATCTCACATGACCCCCCACTGTTCCCACCCCCAGAAGGCTATAGCATTCTTTAAAAGGCACCTGTAGAATATAATTAACCTTCTGGGAAGTGCCAAAACTGATTTAAAGAAAGATATTATCAGATGCTACTCTTGGTTTAAAAGGCTTATACACAATGGGGCGCGAACTAATTCAAAGACTGTCAGCTGAAAGAGAAAGGCTGTATTTGACCTCTATGTTTCCATTACCCTAAAGTCTATGCCCTTTTTGCAGGCCCTGTTATTTGCCTTCCTTAGTTCTAAAATTCACTGTGAGCAAGTGATCTGTCCTGCCATGGAAGGCTTGCAACATTCTTCCCAGGCTGGCAGCAATGATGGGGCCTCCCAAATGACTGGGCTCCTTGATCATGCTGTCACTAGGTCTATGGATCTAATTAGGCTAAGAAACACCTTTAATTAACATAGTCTAATAGAATCAACTGATGATTCAGGAATGTGATGACTGGTGTGGGCCAAATTAACCTTCGTTCATGCTTGATCATTACATAGCTCATAGATGTTCTTCAAATTTAGCTCTGCAGAGTTGTGTGGTGTGTGTGTGTGTGTGTGTGTTTACTACAACCACATTTTTCAGAAGATAAAGTCAATAGGATTGATGGCATTCAATGTGGAAATATACATTGCAACGTTTCACTGACTAGCTTTATAGGTGGCATGCTGTTAAACGAACACATCTGAGACATGTCTTTTAATTATTTCATTTTATTCTGCCTAAATTTTGAAAGTTAGATCATTTATAACCTTTTCAGTACTTAAAGGATTCCACAAAGATATTTTAATTATAGGATTTACCTGAAGTATTCTGAGATGTCTGTGTATATACCGATATCTGTGTTTATATCTGTAGATATATATGCATATAAATCTGTCTATATATGTATTATACATGCATGTGTACATACAGACAGACATCTGTATTTATATCTGTAGATACATACACACATAAATCTAGATGTCTACATATGTATTATACATGCATGTGTGTATTATATATAAATATGCACATATATGTATATTGGATTGTATATGTTTGTATGTGTGTATGTATATGTGTGTGTGTGTGTGTATGTGTGTGTGTGTGTGTTATAAACTGGCTCCATGGACCTTTGGGGGATTTATGGGTGGTCTTTTGGAAATCTCTGAACTCCCTGAAGCTATATTGGAAACTGCATTTTGTGTATGTTTGTATGTATTTTGTTGTGGGAAAGCAGTCCATAAATCCCATTTGATTCTCAAAATTGTCTGTGACCACCCACCTATCACCAAAGGAAAAAAAGAAAGTTTAGGAGTCCATGGTCTAGCGCTATACTGTCCATTACTATAGCCCCTAGCTGCTTGTGGCTACTGAACACTCTTGAAATGTGGCAAGTGTGAATTGAGATGTGCTGTTAATGTAAATATACATTGGATTTTGAAGAATTAGTATAAAAAAGAATGTAAAATATCTCAATGGCTTATACACTGATTACATGATGAAATAATAATATGTGGGATATAGTAGGTTAAGTAAAATATATCAATTAGCACAAATTTCACCTGCTTTTTGTTGTGATGTTGTTGTTAAAGTGGCTCCTTGGAAATCTGAAATTGCAGACGTGGCTCACATTATGTTTCTATTGAATAGCACTGGTTTGGGCAAAGCTAAAGCTTGATCACAGGCATGTAGCTGGTTCTAGGAAGTTCCTACTAGCAAAAAGTTTTCATGGTAGTACCAAAATGGGATTCTAAGAGAGGTTTTAGCAAAAACATCAGACTGTGACTAAACAAAACAGGGTTAAAAGCATAGATTCAAACTACTTTCATCCAAGTAACCCAGCAGAGTTTCCTTGAGAGAATCATGAGTCTGGAAGGAGAATTTTGATGTCAACTCTGAACTACTGCTATCCATATTTGCAGATAAGGTACATGGTACATTTTGATAAGAACCTTAGGCCAATAATGACTCAAAGCAAATTGATGTGGTTTGTTCTTACCACATCAATCAAATGCTACATGTAAAAGCCCAGGAAATGTACTGGAAAACATTCATGAAGAAGTATCTCAAGGGAAATTGGAATTCCAAATTCTTAAAAGTATATGTGTATGACATTTTGACTTTTAAATCTAATTAGTCCTCACCAATACTTATGTAGTGCATATAATTTCTATTTTACACATGTGAAAACAGGTTGAAAAGGTTGACTTATTTCCATTTGAGAAAAACTCTTTGTTCTCCACAGTGTACATGGAGGCTTTAAAAAGCACCTGTAGGCCCAGTGCAGTGGCTCATGCCTGTAATCCAACATTTTGGGAGGCTGAGGTGGGAGGATTGCTTGAGACCAGGAGTTTTAGACTAGCCTGGGCAACATAGTGAGAGAGACCCTGTACAGTATATTGTATGTGTGTGTGTGTGTGCATATATATATATATTTACACATATATATGCACACACATATATATGCACACACACATATATTTACATATATATGCACACACATATATTTACATATATGTGTAAATATATATATGCACACACACTGTAAATATACACACATACACACTATACATATATACTATTTATATAGAAACGGAGAATAAAAAATAATCTAAAAAAAAACACTACTTGTGGGATATAATTCTGCCTGGCACATAATAGATGATCAATAAATGTCCATTGTCTGATAAGTAACAGTTTCTTTCTTGATTCTTATACAGGGTAGCTAGCTCCAAAGAATGTCTGATTCCAACATCTTTGCTTTTTCCAATACCACATGCCAAGAGAGAAAAAGACATACCTAATTTTTTAATTCTCACCATAAATCAATGAGACATAAACATTTTGGCTCTCACTGTCAACAAAACTCCTGTGTGTGATTTTTTTTTTTTTTTTTGGAAAGCAATCTAATGTTAAATCATGCTTCCTGGTTCCAAAACACTAGAAGTGCCAGCTTGACTGGATATTACACCTAATTGGCAGGACAAACATTCAATGCACCAAACAAATGGAATGTTCTTGTCCCTCATCCAAAGTAATAAAGTGCAGAGAAGCTCGCTTTTGTGCGCGCTGTCTCTCTCTCCCTCCCTCTCTCACTTTCTCGCTTTCTTTCCTCCACCCCTCCACCGCTCTCTCCAAGGGTCTTGGTCTCAGATCTCAGTTGCTTCTGCCCCTTGATGTTTGGGATTTTCTCCTTGCCTCACATTGCAGCTGCCTCTCCTTTGCGTCGGCGAATGTACGTCCAACAATCGCCCTCTAAAAGTTTTGAACTTTACTTAGGGGTTAAAAAAGAACTCTAGATCAAAGCTCTTGCGAGCTGCGTCCTAGTGCATTCAGGAATCCACCTCCTAGACAGAATTCCTCCAGCAACAATTCCAGTTCCATCCCACTTGTGAGCGCCAGCAGAGCATAGTGCTTGACATCGGGGCGAGAGAGGTGCATGCGCCGCGCACGCTCGGGCGCGCTCATACATACCACAAGAGGGTGAGTCCCCTGCCTCTCCCCGAGCCTAACCTGAAGGTCTGCGAGGAGGTCGCACCCGGTCCGCACCCCTTCCCCGCCAAACCCCGGACAACGCTTCATCCGCACGCCCAGAAGGGCAAAGCAAACACACTCCCTTCCAACACACTCCCTTCCGGGTCCTGCCCAGGCACAACCGCTCCTATTTACCGTCTTGTACCACCAGCTGGCGAATGCCATGGCAACAACCGGCTGGCTCCGATCCGCACGGCGGGGGAGCCGGCGAGGGCGCGGGGTGTTGCGTTGGAGGCGCCGGGCTCACACTCCGCTTGGCCGGGACCGGGCTGGCACTGAGCTCCGCACATCCCAAGGCGGCTGCCAGGTGGGCAGAACCCTGGGGGTGGGGCCCGGCGCAGGCCCCGCCCCTCCTCGCCCGCCCAATTTGGCTCGAGGCTGGTTAGGGAAGAGGCTCTGCGTCTCCAGGCAGCCACGCCCTGCGGCCCGGCCTTAGCGCGGAAGACTACATCCCGCTGTCCAGTGAAACCACCCCACTCACTCGGGGGTCCTGAGTGAACCTCATTCCCCGTTCATCCTCATCCTCATTCACCCACGTCTTACCAGCCAACTTTTCTTGACGCGTCCCCCCCTCCACTCTACCCGGCCAACGCCACGCCCAGCGCACTGGACCCGGCCGGGGAACCGAAGCCACCTGCAGCCACCTGCCTGGCAGCGGCCAAGCCCCTAGCCCTCTCCCTGCCCCGCGGGGGCGCCGGGGACTGCAGACCCGCCAGCCTGGCAACGCCCAGGGAGGGCGGCCACAGCTCCGGGACCCGGTACCCCATCGCCCAGCCCCGCGACGCCGACAGGAGCGCCACTCACCTCATGGGTGCGGCGGGCGGCGGCTGCTCGCCGGGGCCGCGGGGAGGCGGCGGGCTTCTGGCCGGGCTGGGACATGGCGAGGCCGCTGCGGCCGCTGCCTCCCGGAATGCGCCGCGGAGAGTGGCGGGGAGGCCTGGCGGGGAGTCCTGCCAGGGAGAGAGGGAGGGAGGGAGGGAGCGGAGGGCCCGGGAGCGGGCGATGAAACAGCTTTTCCGACCCCACCCCAGGTCTGCGCCGGGGTTCCCCTAGCCCCGATGGGCCCTCCCCTTCCTGCCCGCGGAGGGACCCGGGCTCCTGCCCTGTAACTTAACACCCTCCGCCCCGGTCCTCACCCGGTGACCCGCCCCGGCCCCAGCACTGCTCTGGTCCCGGTTGGTCAGAAAGAAGGGGTTGGAGGTTGCAGCGTTCCTCCTTCGATGCCCAGATCTAGCTTGCAGTTGTGCAACGAGAGAGCGGGACCCGGGCGTGGCCAGTCTACGCTTCGACCCTCCTCCCAACAATCCGGAGAAGTAGATACTCTTTCTACATTCTGCTCCGCTTTAGCTGCGAGAGTTTACCAACTCAAATCTGGCCCAAGCCTGGACAGTCTAGATAAGGAAGCGGATCACAAAAACAAATTGGTCTGTGTGTGTGTGCGTGCGTGCACGCGCCTGTGTATGTTTTATATGATTTTACTTTGTTTTTTGGCAGTTTCGAATTTTAATAAACTTTTATGGGGAGGAGAACATAGGTTCCAATGCAAAACGGAGAACAGTCCCAAATTTAAACCCTTATAGTCTTTCTAGAGTCTGGCGAGTTTTGTTTCTGAAGCTAGATTGCTTTCTTCTTGGGCTCATCTTAAACAGCGCTTCCTGGTTTGGGGCTGGAAGTGAAATTTAACAAGCCCTACGTGCTTATGTGAGAAACTGTCAGCCTGCAGTTGCTGCTGGTTCACAATCAGGCCTGACAGAAAACCTGTTTGTTACCCTGCAGTAGCATCATCATTCTGGGACTTGGGGTCACCGCTTTCTGCAGCGTTGGGGTTTAGACAGTTGAAGAGAGAGAAGGCAGAGCCTTTTTTTTTTTTTTTTTTTTTTTTCTGGAGAGGCAGTTTCGCTCTGTCTGGAGTGCAGTGGCGCGATCTCTGCTCGCTGCAATCTCCGCCTCCCAGGTTCAAGCGATTCTCCTGCCTCAGTCTCCTAAGTACTTGGGACTACAGGCGCGTTGTCACACCCAGCTTTTTTTTTTTTTTTTTTTTTTTAATGGTAGAGACGGGGTTTCACCACGTTGGTCAGACTGGTCTCGAACAACACCTGACCTCAAGTGATCTGCCCAGTGCTGCCTCCCAAAGTGCTAGGATTACAGGCGTGAGCCACTACAGCCGGCCAGAAGGCAGATTTTAAGGAGAGATTTGTCATGCTATATGGAGCCTGGCAGAACAGAATTCTGGTTTCCTTTGTACCTCCTCATTTTAGGAATTCTGACTTCTTCTTCAAAGGATAGGCTAGCAGCATTCTTAATTTTGAGGGAGGGGATGCGGGGAGAAGAGGATTTAAATGCATTTCCTCTTAAAGTGTCGTACTTACTGTCTGTGTATCTAGTATTTCAACAAACAGGTAGCACTGCAGGAATTTATACATAAAAATGAAACAACTTAGATATTGGGACTATGTCCACTCAGGAAAAACAAATGATTGTTGGCATCGGTTACATTCAGAAAGGAGGGAAACTATGCCATAAGTCTGAAAACAAGATCTTCTTATGATTGTGACCACACCACTACAGTAATTTAAACAAACACAAAAGCTGTAGGGGTGAGGTGACAGGCAGCTCCTCCTTCCTGGCCTCCACCCCAGGAACTAGAATGATTTTCTTACTGGGGAGCCTACATATCCCAGAATCAAGGTTTTAGATCCCTGGAGTACTTTATTCAAACTCTGGAATGGTTTCCAGTGACTTGGTGGCATTAGAGTTTGAGGTTATTTTCCAACAGAGTATTTAAAAATTGAGTTTAAACCAGTTATATATTTCTTGAGAGTATTCTATGTAAAACATTGTGAAAGGACTAGTAGAAGGAGAGATATAGAGATTAAAAAGATACATTGCCTGTCCTCCAGGGACTGACAGTTTAGCTGAAGTTATATGGCATTTGTAACACATGATGGTGTAGGGATATTGAAAGACCTAACAGTGTGTGAGTAAGTACAAAGGTGTTTTGGGAGTTTGGGGTTCCACAGGGGTTGTATCAACAATAGGAGGGAAAGGAGGAAGGAGACATGAGCAGGCTGGCTAGCTGGTGAGGTGTGAACAGAAGGAGAAGGGGTGGGGGCACCTGACGAGATAAAGAGGAACCCACTCACCTGGCTGGAGCGGAGGGTCTATGTAATGGAGTAAGTAATCAATCTATTCACCAGCTCATTGTTTGTGGAGCAGCTACACTAATACATGATATATTAGGTATCAAAATCTATAAGAGGTAATAACCCTAACCTTCAGGCTTAGCTTAAAAGTCAGAACTCACATAAGCAGAACAATTGCTAAACAATGCATTAATGACTATGAGTACAGAAGAATTTCAAAGAAGCTGAAGACCCTGATGTTTTGCTTTTCCTTGTAGCCAGTGAAGAATTATTGGAACTTTGATATCATGGACCAGCATTTACTAATTTGGGGAAGCTCCTTTTAAATATAGATGGTGCGGTGGCTCATGCCTGTAATCCTAGCACTTTGGGAGACTGAGGTGGGCAGAGTGCCTGAGCTCAGGAGTTCGAGACCAGCCTGGGCAACACGACGAAACCCCGTCTCTACTAAAAATACAAAAAACTAGCTGGGCATGGTGGCGCGCACCTGTAATCCCAGCTACTCAGGAGGCCGAGGCACAAGAATCGCCTGAACAAGGGAGGCAGAGGTTGCAGTGAGCCAAGATTGTCCCATTGCACTCCAGCCTGGGCGACAGAGTGAGACTCTGTCTCAAGAAAAACAAAAACTAAATATAAATAAATAAATGGCTTTTGCCACATTACTGTCTGCACATAGGTAATCATTTATTCCTTTATTTACTCAGTAACAGATGCCTGCTATGGGGAGGTACTGTAGACCTCTTACACTAAAGGACTTTACAATTAGAAGAGACAGACAAGTAAATACAGGCATACCTCATTTTATTGCTCTTTGCTTTATTGCATTTCACAGATACTGTGTTTTTTACAAAATGAAGGCTTGTGGCAACCGTGCCTCGAGCATGTCTGTCAGCACCATTTTTCCAACAGCATGTGTGTTCACCTCATGTCTACCCACATTTTGGTAATTCTTGCAACACCTCAACCTTTTTCATTATATCTGTTACGTGATATGTGATCAGAGATCTTTGATGTTGCTATTGTAATTATTTTGGGGCACCACATAGTGCACCCATAGAAGACAGAGAATTTAATTGATAAATGTTGTGTGTGTTTTGACTGCTCCACCAACTGGCTGTTCTACCTAGGAATCGATTTGCATATAAATATATACTTGAAAGAGAATCCTATAAAGAAATAAAAAACAGAGCCAAAGAAACATCCAGGTAGATACCACATCGCATTTGCTGGAGATTGCCATATTTTGGCAATACATCATAGTGGGTAAAGCATAAGAGTTTTAGATCCACACAACTATGTTTAAATCCCAGCTCTGCCACTTATGGACTGCATACCTCAAGCAAATTACTTAATCACTTTGAATATCAGTTCCCTAACCTGTTACCTGTGGATGATAAAGCTGAGTACCTACATCCTAGGGTTATTCTGATGATGGAATAAGGCAGTGTATTAAAGCATTTGGCACAGTGCCTCATGTATGATAATTGTGCAAATAAATGCTGGTTGCAATTATTAAATTGCATTTATTATTAATAGTTAAAAATTTCAAAACCCCTGAATGTTCTTTGGACAGGGGCAAAGCAGTTTTTGTTGGATCCCCAGTAAGAAGCAACCTCCTGTCCAATCAATGAATGTTATAGATCTGTTTCCATTCAACCAGCATTCCAGACATTCTGTAGACCATAAAATGAGCCACAGCTGAGCAGTACCCTAGGAAAGCTCTAATCCAGACCCACATACCTGAGCTGGCAGCCAGAATTCACGCTGATGTACTCATTCCCAATAATGGGTGCTTTTTCCATTTTTCCATTTCCTTTTTTTTTTCTTTTTGGTTTGCTTCTTTTGTGTATGTGCTGATAGAGTGGCTGGTTATTTGAAATAACTTTAACATTTGTTAGGCAACAAGAAACCAAATTTGGGATGATGTGTGCATGGTAATGAACTTACTAAACCCAAAGTACTCCCGTGTTCCTGTCCTGGGATAGGTGCAAGTTCGTCATGGCCCCTCAGATCTGGAGGCAACACAGAAAACTGAGTCACAAAATTACATTTTTTTTTTTCAGATGGACTCTCGCTCTGTTGTCCAGGCTGGAGTGCAGTGGCATGATCTCGGCTCACCGCAACCTCCACCTCCTGGGTTCAAGTGATTCTCCTGCCTCTCAGCCTCCTGAGTAGCTGGGATTACAGGTGCCCACCACCACGGTCATCTAATTTTTGTATTTTTAGTAGAGATGAGGTTTTGCCATGTTGGCCAGGCTGGTCTCGAACTCCTGACCTCATGTGATCCACTCGCCTCGGCCTCCCAAAGTGCTAGGATTACAGGTGTGAGCCACCGTGCCTGGCCTACAAAATTACATTTTCAGACTAGCAAGTGTATCTCTGGAAATCAAGTTATATTTTTGAAATCTTGCCACTTTCCACTAACTTTCATTTTTCTCCCACTCACAAACACCATCTTATGGAATTAATTTTCTATATAGAAATTTTTGCAGCCCAAATATCTGTACAGCCAACTGCTTGCTTCAAATATTTACCAAAGCTAGATTAATTTTTTAATGTGCTATTTCTGTCTGGAATATATCTAGACCAAGTCATTCATAGGAATCAATTTTTATTATAAGAATTATCATATTCTTGTCATATTGAAGATTTTGAATCAATTATCTTTTCCTTTCTATATATCCTAACCTACTCCCTCCCACTCAAAAAATTGTCATCTAAATTTTCCCAGGCCTAGACTTCATTTCCTCCCTCAGCCTGTCTTTTGTCCATTAATAGGTATTTCTTGTAGCCTATCCAGAAGGCATGTAGATTGGGACGATACACTGAGCAAACCACATTTCTTCACTATAGCAAAAAAGAAACCACAGTTGGTCATCATGGTGACTCACCCCAGGCTTCTACCGCCACACCCAAACCACACAATACTGCAAACTCTTTGGTTAGATTTAAGGCAGAAAATAAAGCCATCCTGCAAAGCAAGATTTTTATGTTCCAAGGTACGCCTAAGGTCACCTCTCTTTGGTGTTTGATTATAAAATAGTCTTGATCCTTCTTGTTGCAGATCACTTCACATTACATATTTATTGGTGTCAGGTTTGTTTTCATTTTTGTTTCTTTCCCTGCATTTGTTTCCAGCTCAGATTATTGTATAAAGAAATGTGCCATTTCTAAGAGGTTCTTCAATTGCCTGCAAGCCACAGTGTTTTTTTTTAATTAAGAAAAAGTGTCTCTTTGGATTTAATACTCAAAGTCATTTGGGGCACATGCAGAATCTTGATTCCTTTGAATCAATATATAAGAATTCACTAGTTTCTAGAAAGAAGAGTTAAGAGCATGCACCAGGGGCCATTTGGAATATCTGCCCGGCTCACCCCTGTTCCTCCTTTGGAGTAGAATTCCAGATCCCATCATGGCTCCCCATTGCTCTATCCCTCTTCTCCACAGCCCACAGTTGACTGGACCAATGGTAGACCTGACTTGAACTGACCCAAACGGGCAGGTTTTCTTTCCTCATTGGGAGGTGGGGACTGAGTAATGAAATTAAGATGAAGATAGAGGAAAAAACTTTCTGGGTGCTAAAAACCGTAACGTGAAGCATGTAGACCTGGGCTTCACTGTGGAAACTGAGGACCCGGAAAGTCAGCCCGCACAGGAAGAAAGAACAGGCCTGCCAGGGAAGCAGAGATAGGAGGAGACAGAAGAGGGCTGAGCTTCCTTACGACCTTCCACTTAATGAGCTGCACTCTCTAGTGAGGCCCAGTTGCACTCAAAAGGCTTTGGTTCTGGGACGTACGCTATAGCCTTCAAAATAATCTCCCCTCATTTTTGTTTTAACAGTACAAGTTGCTTTTTCTGTTATTTGTTAACCAAGAGTCTCAACCAATTCAGAAACTAAGCAGAATATGCATAGAGTATACAAATTGTTCTTAAGTAAAGTTCTCAGTAATTTTTCCAAACTTTTTTTCCCCGTGGTCCTCAGTAAGAAATACATTTTACATTGCAACTAGTACATATAAATGCACATGATTTGAACATGAAGTTTCATGGAACAATTCTTCATTATCTATGATCAGGTAAAAACAATGAATAATGTGAACTATGTTTTATTCATCTGTAAACACAAAGTGGAAACAAATCCAAAACAAACAATAAAAACTAAAAATTAGGAAATATTTTACTTAATGCTCCAGCTATCTTTGCCTGTTCATGTTTATTACAGTCTGAGACACATGAAGATAATGCTACCTGCATTTCTGGTGCACTGTTCAGCCAGATTTTTTTTGTTGTTTTAATTGGCTGAAGATTGAAAATCCCGATTTACACAAATAGGCTCTTGAGAATGTTAACAGTGGCAGCATATTCTGATATTCAACTTCTGTTCTACTTTATTCAAATTTCTTTTTTAAACTGTTGATGATGACTCACTAAATGTCATAACCAACTATTGTGCCCACAGTTTGAAAAACAGTAAGCCAGAATATATTGTTAAATTGCCTACTACTAAGATGAGCTAAGATAAGGCAAATGCATTGCAAGTATCTGCAGTAGATCCTTATTTGAGCTCAGACATCTGTCCTTTTTTAAAGCTCTCTAGAGGGGAATCCCAGTTTTTCATTCACTACTGCAGATCATTTGTAACAATTCTCTTTATGTGGAGAGCCATCTGCATTTGACTGCGGACTGCCATTCAAATCCATTTCTTCTTGTCCAGTTTTCAGAGAAGATAAAGAATAGGTACTCTAAAGCTTCTCTTTGCCTGGGTCTATCCTTCTCCCTGCCTTTTCCCTCTTATCCACAGAAAGCCAGCTTCCCAGCCACACTGGTCTCCCTACTGGACCATGCATGACCCGTGCATGCACTTTCCCTTTCCTGCATTTTTCCATGTTGCTGTTCTTCCGAGAGACATCTCCCATCTGGTTATCTAAATCCTGCACATTCTTCAAGTAGCAGGACATGTTTACCCACCATCAGGTCTTGCTCATCACTCTGCCCCACATCTTTTTTGTCCTTTTCTGATCACCTATAGGTCTTGAAAGGTTTCTATTCCATATTTATTGACACAGAAAAATATTCAGTATCCTCTTAGAAGGACAATGTATTTATAAAATAGCATGTACATTGTAGAGCTAAAGATAGAGCTATACATCAAGAAATTAACTAGATGTGAGCATTTGGGTAATTCTATTTTGGTTTTATTTTCCCAGTTTATGTTTTCTTAATGTTTCTTATATTTCTTAATGGTTCTTGCAATAAACACATAGTATACAATAAAAATAATAAAAGGAAAGTCTTAACTTTTGAGCTAGCTATGAAGGTCTTTTATCATGTGAGCCCTCCCCAAATTTAACACAAATATACATGGTCTTTATTTGTTCTCTTCTTGTGTGCTCAGCTTCCACTTCCAAATGTATTGCAATATTCTTGAAAATCCAGATGCCCCTTTTTTGTTTTTTCTTACTTTTCATTTTCCAATTTTGATATAACAGCAAGTTATTAATGAACTTACTCTTGATAACATCTGAGTGTAGTCAAGTAAAAGCTTATGCTGTGTATGTCTAGAAGATATTTGTGTTATATTTTACTTCCTTCAAACCACTGAAAACTCTGCAAATATTACTTCTCAGATTAAAATATAACATCGGAGAAAAAGAGAGTGCTTTGTTTTTGAAACTGGTAATATACAGTAGCTATGCACACTACACGTGAGGTTTTTTTGCTTTCATTATGTACTCCACAGTTTGGTTTTCTTAAGAAAAAGATATAGGAAGCATAAATGAGGAAAGTAGTGAAAGTGAAAGAAAGGTAAGAAAAAGAATTGAAAAAAGAAAATGGGCCGGGTGCGGTGGCTCACATCTGTAATCCCAGCACTTTGGGAGGCTGAGGCAGACAAATCAAAAGGTCAGGAGTTTGAGACCAGCTTGGCCAATATGGTGAAATCCTGTCTCTACTAAAAATACAAAAAAATTTAGCCAGGCATGGTGGTGCACACCTGTAATCCCAGCTACTTGGGAGGCTGAGGCAGGATAATTCCTTGAATCCGGGAGGCGCAGGTTGCAGTGAGCTGAGATCGCACCACTGCACTCCAGCTGGGCAACAGAGTGAGACTCCGTCTCAAAAAAAAAAAAAAAGAAAAGAAAAGAAAACGATAAGGAGAAAGGAGAGATACAAGGGAAGAGAAAAGAGAGAGGGGAAGAAGAAGAAAAAGGAAAAAAGGATAGTTAAGCAACAAGAATGAAAAAGGGGAAATTAAGTAGTATTTTTAAGGGGAAACAACAAATATTAGACTAAAACTACCACTAGAAAAATACAGAATAAGACTCATAGTTATTTATTTATTTATTTTGCTTTTCAGTCTTTCAAATACTTAAAGATAATTATTTTGGCCCCCAAATTCTTTTTTCTTTTCTTTCTAAAGAAGCCAAAATGAAATATTCCTTCGTCTTCTAAATATTGGGTTAAGATACAAGATAAAGATCTGAGAGAAAAGAAGAAAAAGAAAAGAGCTTTTAAATAATTTTTATTTCATCTATGATTTACCTTTTGCTTACTCTAATCTAGGACTTTATATGCATTTTATAAACCTTCACAGCAATGTTACGAGGTTTTATTTGTACCCTTATTTTACAGAGAAGGAGATGGGTGTTTTAAGAAGGTAAGACTTCATCCACAGCTGGGAGGTGGCAGAGCCAGATTCCAAAGCCAGGTCTACTAACTACACTTCCTCTCCAAATTGTTGCCCTTTCTGGAGCAACAACTCAATTGTTCTCTTTTAATCATCTGTTTTTCTAGGTCTCCCAGAACTCTCTAGATGAGACAGCATTTATTTATTATGAATTTATTATGCAGTTGACTTTGAGGAAAAAAATGTGATTAAAAACACATGTCTGGCATAACTTCAATACCAGGTGGGGTCTAGCCCTGCCCCAAGGCAATGAATCTGGACTGGTTTGCCTACTCAGACACAGAGACTCCCTGTGAGGTCTGATCCCACCCTGAGGATATAGGATAACTGTGGCACAGAGTAGATGTGTCCCTGGAGCCTGTGAGAAAATATGAAGGCAATCACTAAACTATGGAATAACTGCCATTAATTTGGGAGATAATGGCTGTGGGAAACTCAGGCTCAACAGGGACCCTGATGGGTCTCAAGGATTAGGAGACATCCTTCAAGCACTGTGCTCAAGCCAAACCAGTTCCTCACAGCAGGTGGGTAAGAGGGTGTGGTCTCAGTTGGTGCCTAGCTACCTCTCCCAAACCTGTTGTCTTGCAGAAAGGGATTATGGTTCCCGTGCAGTCTGTGCCCCTTCTGAAGTATGCAGTAGTCAGCCTCTGACTGTTGGAGTCCCTGTGACCACCAATTTCTGTCATGAGCTCTGTTTTTCCTGGGATACATCAGATATCACATCTTATATTTTGCATTGTGTCATTTTAATATAGGCAAGATGATCCCATGTGCAAATAACACATCCAAGGGAAATCTTAAAATGAACATATGGCACATATCTTACTCCCTGAGTGGGTTAGGCCAAATGCTGTGTGTCAGGAGGCTCTGTGACACAGAGCATTTAAGTGGAGGCTTCACAGAGGAGTCACCTAAACATAGGGTTTCCTCTCTGTAGGTGTGCTGTGAGCTGATTGGATGAGTGGCTAAATGTATAATTAGGTGCTGTGGGTTACTCAGCTAGTTTTTCTGTTTATGTTCCTCCTCCAGAGTTTTAATTGAGCACTATTTAGTACTTAGGCTAAAATGGTATTACACCAATTATCTTTGTTTAAAAAAATCCCCATGACCCATCAATTCTACATTTTTCCCTAACGTGTGTTATTTTTATACCATGAGTATTCTAATTATAGACTCCATGTAGGAAATCATTTGTAATTATCAAACAAAGCAAAGCCAATTATTACAACCTAGGTTGGAAGATACCTAAGGGTTGGTCTGGACCTCGTTTGCTATGAACCATCTCCTTAGAACCATCCCTGGGAGGTCCTCTGACGCTGCCCTAGTGGCCACTGCAGGAAGATCTGCTCTGGTGAAAAGCAGGGGTTTTGGATTCAATTGCATATGGATTTGAATCCCAGTTGTGGTCCTTAGCAGTAAGTGCTTAGGAAGTTTACCGAAGCTCTCTGAGACTCAGTATCTTTGTAACATGAGCCTACTAATATATACCTTGCAGGGCTGTTACTTTTAAAAACATGTCACAGGGAGATTCTGATTTAACACACAGATTAAATATGTGTGTCTTTATTCCTTCTCTCCCCTGAAACTTCACTGAGAGTAAATGAAATTAAAACAAATAGGAAAGCTCTAAACCTACAGGATAAATGGCACAGAACAGGAGACAATTACAAACATGATATATCAACACATTTTTGTAAAAGGTGTAATAGAAACCAAATTTTACAGAATGGAGAAAGCTACAGCCTGAGAGTCTGCTGGGGAGATACGGACAGAAGTGAGCAAGGTCTAATGCCAGTTTGAAAGCTCAGGGTTTGGAGGTGGGGCATGGGCTGAAAAGAGAGAGATGGGTGAAAATCTTTACAGATTGCAGTTAGAACCTCAGTCTCTTTCTTCCATTTCACACATCAAGGCAACTATCCCTTCCCAACCTCAGGTGAGATGCGAAGCTTACAAAGGAAAGGACAGTAGAGACAGGATAAGAAAATTAGATATCAACTCAAGACATACAACATCTATCCAGTAGGATTTCTGAAAAGACAGCAGAGAAAGCAGAGAAGATACAACCAAGTAATGATGTCTTAAAAAACCAGCATTGACTGATATTAGTACACACACATACACATACTTCCCTAGGCACATCACTGGTGCTCTGTCCCACGTTAGAATGTCTCAGAGGCTGAAGGTTCATCCTCTGCAGTGTGGTGGAGAAACCGAAGTTCTTGTCCCACTACAAGTTGCTGTTCTGCTTTCTAACTAGACAGTGCTTTGTTGCTGAGGAGCCCAGGGCACAGTAGATTTTTGTCTGATTGAGATAATTGAGACGGGGAGGCTGGCATCGGCAGCATCATTTCCCTAAAACCGCATTTATTTCTAGTACTGTTTGGGTCTGTTGTTTTATTAGTTCAATTTTTTTTCTCCAGAATGTTCTTGGAAAGAAAATATCTACCCACACTATTATCCAACTTCAATTCTGAGAGAGCACAGCAGAAAGAAGAATCATAATACATCAGCCAATGAATGCTTCAGTGTCAAGATTGGAAAGCAAATTTCCAAACACAATTCTAAATATCTATTTTGCACTAGTCTGTTGAAAAAATTCTTTGCTAAACCTTCTCTATCTCTATACATCTGGAAAGCAGTAAAGACTGTTTTGAGTAATCTTTTCTTCCTTTCTCCCACCTATGCTCCCACGAATGCCCACACGCTACACACACACACACACACACACACACACACACACACACAATTAAGTGGGTAAGAGGTAGGGAGACAAATTACATATATGGAAAGTACATCTTAGGCTGCCGGGTAGAGAAAGTGAAGGGGAGAGCTGCAAATTACATAAAATAATTCTGAAAGGAAGATTTTTAGGAGGAAGCACATTAGAGGACAATTGTCTGATTGTTAATATTGGATTTCAAATTCCAAGTTACAATGTATAATTTCTAGATTCAGAAATGAATATATTTACTTCAACAAGTAGGATAGTCATCAGGATAAGACAGGCTATACTTCAATAACCAACAAACCTGAAACCTAAGTGGTTGGTCACATGAAAGCACATTCCTTTTTCATGCAAGGTCTGTTGCAGGCCCAGCAGCTCCCCAAAGCAGCTTGCTTCCAAGTGACCCACGCTTTCATTGTTGACATCATCATTTCAACCTGAGGCCTCTAACAGGGAAAAGGAAAATGCGTGAAGAGTCCTAATTATTCTTCTATGCTTCAAACTGGAAGTGACCCTCATCCCTCGTACTTCTAGTCCATTGGCTAGAACTAGTTCCAAGGCCCCAGTTTAATTACAAGGGAGTCCAGGAAATTAAAGGAAACACATGGGTATTTGATGAGCATTGTATGTGTCTACCACAGGCTGAAAGCTTGGCTGCAAAGGGCTGGTTCTGCCACTTCCTCACTGTGTAATTTATTCAATCTCTCTGACTCAGATTCTTCAACTGTAAAATAGAGATAGAATAATATCTAACTTATGAGGTTGCTATAAGGATTATGTGAGAATATCCAAGTAAAACTTTTAGAATAGTGTCTGTCAGAGAGAAAATTTTATGACTGTTAGCTATTGTGTTACCGTCATTACAGTATTACCTAACTCATTATATACACCAAGGATTGACTAATCTTTACTGCCTCTGTGACTTGAAGTTTAAATGCAACTCTAACAGGAACATGTTACATTTGAATGGTATTTTACAGTTTGAATGCCGACAATAAACCTGTGATGATGCAGGATGAACATAATTTTCATTTTATTATTTAGGAAACAGTTCAGAGACTGCTCAATTGGGTCAAAGTTACATCACTAGTTCTGGTGGAAAACTAGAATCCAGTTCTATGACTCTTTCAACAGACTTATCCACTAGCCCCAGAATGATTGATCAATGGGGAAACCAAGGTGGCAAAGGTGGCTTGATCCAAGGTGGCAGAGGGCCAGAGAGCAGATCAATGAAAGAGAGTTAGAAATCAGGCCCGTTGACTTCAAATATTTACGAGAAGATGACAAACAATGGATCCTGGGAGAGGTTACATTCCCAGGGCTGTCTCATTATTCGACTTATGTGAATAGCAAAATTCTTTCATGAGAGAAGAACTTTAACCCTGCTTATTAAAAGAAAACATCTGCAATGTCAGACAGATGCCAGGAACACATGTTTGTGTTGAGACTGTATAATGACAGAAACACAGTAATTTATTGTCCTTGTCAGAAACCAAGGGCTGCAATGGGAGTCTGAGGCTCACTGACATGAAAAAACTTTTTAAAAACAAATCTAACAGCAAAAGACTGAATCTTTTATTAATTTTAAATTCTTTTGGCAATTGTATAAGATTGAACAGCATGAAACTGCCATCTCTGTAGGTTAAAAACTTTGAATATAGGCAATTTTATATGGTTTGAGCTAACATTTTTAAAAAGACATGTCTTGCCCTATGAGTACCTCTATTCCTATTAATATAGCCATACATCGACAGAGCTACAGACTGTTTATGCAACAAAAACATGAATCCTGTATCCACCATGTGCCAGACAGTATTCCAGGCCCTGGGGGTAGATCTGTGAGCAAGATGAAGTCCTTGACCTATTAGCTGGAGTCAGGTGAATGGACCATCTTTACTGAGTAGGCGTCTCAGAGCTAGGGCTTCAGAATCAATTCAGCCTGGAATGAATTCCTGGCTCTGCCACTACCTAGCTGTGTGACTGTGAACGAGTGTCTTATTACACCACACACACACACACACACACACACACGCATATATATAAATAAAACTTCTCCCAGTTTCACAATGCAGAGGTACTAAGTACTCATAAATGTAGCAATTGTAACTATTACGTTTGTTATTACTTGCTGACTGAAAAAACTTTTCCTTCAAAGATGTTGCCACTTAAAGAAAAATAATACACAGATATATTAATTCAAGTGCTGAAACTTAAATATACAGATATATTAATTCAAGTGCTGAAACTTAAATATACAGATATATTAATTCAAGTGCTGAAACTTAAATATACAGATATATTAATTCAAGTGCTGAAACTTAAATATATAAACTTAAATATACCTAAATATTAAATATACAGAGAGAAATAAATAGTTTATGAGGAGAGGAGTGTAAACTTGGCAATATAAAGCATTCACAGTCTTGCTGAGTGACTCTATCCTGAAAGACTTAATCTAGAAAGACCAATAAGGAAGTGAATCTGCAGACAAGTTCTGAAAGTGGGTTTTGAAAGAGGGGAAGGCACACAGTTTAGCAAAAAGAGGGTGGTAAGTCATTCTAGGCAGAAGAAACAACTTGAGTAAAAACATCCAAAGCCTAGTGGAAAATATAACCTAAAGGATAGATGAGTTCACACAGAGAGAAGTGATATTGTAGTGTTTCTTCCTACAAATACTGGGGAAACACAACCTAAGTTGAAAAAGCAGTTACTCTTTCCAGACTAAATTACCAAAAGCAGAATTCAAATTCACAAGGGGCATTTCCTAGTATAGGAAAGAATTGGAGAAAGTCACAGCTCATTTTGAACTGGAGTCTTTTTCACTTTTGTCCAATTATTTCCCATCCAGAGTCCTTAGGCTGATATAACAAACAGCTTCAAACTAGGTGGCTTAGAACAACATAAATTTATTATCTCACAGCTCTGGAGGTTACGAATCCAAAATCAAGGTGCACGCAGGGCCATGCTCTTTCTGAAGGAGCTCGGGAAGGATCTGTCCTAGCTCCCTGCAGGCTTGTAGCAGTGTAATTCCACTCTCACACGGTGTTCTCCCGGTGTGTGCCTCAGTTTAGTTTATTTATTTATTTATTATGTATTTTTAACAAGGAAATCTGTCATATTGGATTACGTCCCACCTTAATGACCTCATTTTAACTTGATTACCTCTATAAAAACCCTATCTCCAAATAAGGTCGTATGGGGTTAGGACTTCAACATATTCATTTTGGGGGGACACATTTCAACTCATAACACTTAGAAAAAGGAAACTGATCTAATCATAAAAAGTGATACTGGCTAGAACAGCACAAGGTGGTATAATCGAAGGTTCATATAGGTAAAAATCCTATTAAATCTAAAACGGTTTTACAAAGCAAGGAAACTTCCTTGCAACAAGGCTATTTTTACCACAGAACTGTACTAGGTGTTAATTTGAATAACAAGTCATCCTCAGTGTATGATCTTGTACAACCAATGCCTTTGAAGTCTGGATTGGATGTAATTAACAAAAACGATATACCGAAACCTAAGGACTCCGGTTGAGACTGCAGGTGTGGAAAATGGAGCTGTGGGAGAGTTGGGGTTTTTGTTTCCTCCGATCCGTGTATGTCACTAAGCAGCAACAAATCACCCAACAAGCCAGTGCCCCTAACTCCATCACAAACATGCCAGCAGTTCCCAGCAGAAAAGTCAAGCCACTTATAGAAACAAAAATAATCCAAGCCTCAAAATGATTCAAGAAGATGGTGAAATGGGAGATGGTATATTCATTACAACTTTTCATTTGGTAGTCCGCAACAGAGAGGTTGGGCATCAGTAACAGTTTCACCTTCACCTCCTATCGTTTGGCTAAGTGATTTCTAGAAGTACAAGTTACTTCAGCAAAAGAACTGGAAATTCTAGAGATTCTAAGTGATAAGCTTTAACCTACACATTATACATGCACTTGATTTATAATATTTATTTTTTATTGGATATCTAAAATTATAATAGACAAAGAAATGCTGTGTTTAAAACAAATAAGTTGAATAATAAAAATCAATCGATGATGAGAGGCAAATATTCCCTGTTTACATGTGCAGCCCCACAACACCTCCCCAGAGGCAACCACTATTTATAATTTTTTAATATTTTAATTCCAGGAACAGCCAATAGAGCAATTTATATGTGGTTATGAAGAAAATTTATATAAAGAATATTTCTGTTTTTACAGACATACTAGAATACTATCTACACCATTTTTCACATTGCCTTTTTCATTTAACAATACATCTTGCAAGACAGTCCACATCCCCTTACAGAAATCTACCTTTTAAATGACTGCATAACATCTTATGTAATTGCTTCATACTACATTTAACTGTTGCCTGGTGGTAGCCACTTAGCTGGTTTCAGTTTTTCCCTGTTATTAAACGATGCTGTAATGAACAGTTTTGCAGGTATCTTTGTGCCTGTGCATATGCAAGTATATTTGTTAGAGAAATTTATAAAAGTGGAATATCTAGTCAAAAGATGCATAATTACAACATTTTGGACAGATATTTGCCAAATTACCAACCAAAATTTTTGCACCAGTTCAACGATGTGGGATAGTACCTCCTTCTCTGCAATATTGACGGTGGTGTGTTTTATCAATTTTTTTATCTTTGTAATGTAATGCGACAAAAACATTACCTCCTTGTGGTTTTAATATATATTTGTCTTATTTTGAATCAGGTTAGAGCATCTTTTCACATGTTTATAAAGTATATTTCTTTTTCTGTGAATTCTATATTTGTGACCTTTGCCATGTTTCTATTGAATTGTTGGTTTTATTATTGGCTTACAGTTATTTTTGTCTTTATAGATTTTTAAATTATTATTTTAAAATATTATACATATTTTTAAAATTTTAATTTAGTCAAATTTATTAATCTTTTCCTTTCAAGTTTCTATGTTTTGTGTCTAGACCTTTAGAGAGGTCTTTCCACTCCAAGATTATAAGAAATACTCTCTTTTATTTTCCCTTGGTATTAGTAAAGTTTGTTATACTTTCACAGCGTTTTCCCACTAATTAATATTTTAAAATAAAAAAGGTAATTGTTTAAATTTACATTACACCTCTTGGAAAGCAACAGTCATATTATCTTATAATTTAAAATATTTATTTTTCCAAACCATTAGAATCCAAAAATTTAAAGTTAAGTATTAAAGACGAAAGGAAAAGAGAATCTCAGTCAATTTTAATAATCTTAGAGAATCTTGCAAATGAATATTATGTTTGAAACGAATAAAATAGGAATAATTTTCACATTTAAAAATTATTTGGGCATGCACTGGACTTAGTGACTTGCTTCCAAATAATATAGAAAGGGCGAAATAATAACATTGAAGTGGAAAAACCTGAAAGACACCACCTTAACCGCGTGATGAATGTTGACAGCACCAGTGGTAAGTCATGTGGATCTCATGTGGAATGTGACAAGAAGGCCGCTTTAGCACTGTGATAATCTTCCCCAGACTCATAACTCCAGCCTACTCATGAGAAAAACATCAGATAAGCTCATATCGAGAGATATTTTACAAAATACTAGATGTACTCCAACTGTCAAGGGCATGAAAAACAAGGAAAGTCTTAAAAACTGTCACAGGCCCCAGAGGAGTCGAAGGGGACATGATGACTAAATATAGTGAGTATGTAGTATTGGATTGGGACCTCCAACAAAAAAAGGGAATTAGTGGAATAATAAATCCAAATGAAGTCTGGAGTTTTGGGTTTTATTTGTTTGTTTGTTTTTTGAGACACTCTCACTCTGTCACCCAGGCTGGAGTGCAGTGGCCCGATCTTGGCTCACCGCAACCTCTGCCTCCCAGGCTCAAGCGATTCTCCTGCCTCAGCCTCCTGAGTAGCTGGAATTACAGGCACGTGCCACTACTGCTAGGCTAATTTTTGTATTTTTAGTAGACACGGGGTTTCACCATGTTGGCCAGGCTGGTCTCAAACTCCTGACCTCAAATGGTCCACTCGCCTCACCCTCCCAAAGTGCTGAGATTACAGGCGTGAGCCACGGCGCCTGGCTTGGAGTTTCATTAATAGTAATATCCTGATGTTGGTTTCCTAATTTTGACAGATGTATCACCATAATGTAAGATGATAACATCAGGGGAAATTGAAACTGAGTGAGGATTATAGGTGGATTCTCCATACCACCTGCACAACTTTTATGTCAGTCTAAAATTACTCCAAAATAAACTGTTATAAGAAAAACAATTTTATGTTTAACAAGACTTTTCTGGGAATGGACACCGCCAAAATATTTGTAGTAAATTTTTATTTGTAATAATAATTTTTAAAGGTTAAAGATAATTTTCTAGCAGTTGCTGGCTGTAGCTGACCAACATGCCATTTGAATCCACCAAGTACCAAAACTACTTCTGCTGTGAATGCCTTATTCTTGGAGAAGCAGTAAATATAAAATGGGTAAAGAGAAATTTAAATGACAGACTTTCACTGTACAAGAAACTTAATTAAAGACAAATTTGTTGTGAAGTATTTTTTTAAATAATGGTTTTATTCAAATATAATCCCCATACCATACAATTCACCCATATGAAGTATACAATTCCATGGTTTTTAGTATATTCACAGAGATGTGAATGATCAGTCAATTTTAGAACCTTTTCATCACCTCAAAAAGAAACCCTCAATTTTTTTTTTTTTGTTTTTGAGACGGAACCTCGTTCTGTCCCCCAGGCTGGAGTGCAGTGGCATGATCTTGGCTCACTGCAACCTCTGCGGCCTGGGTTCAAGCAATTCTGCCTCAGTCTCCTGAGTAGATGGGATTACAGGTGCACACCAACATGCCCAGCTAATTTTTTGTGTTATTATTATTATTTTTTTGAGATGAAGTCTCGCTCAGTTGCCAGGCTGGAGTACAGTGTCATGATCTGGGCTCACTGCAATCTCGGCCTCCAAGGTTCAAGCGATTCTCCTGCTTCAGCCTCCCAAGTAGCTGGGATTACAGGTGCGCGCCACCACACCCAGCTAATTTTTATATTTTTAGTAGAGACAAGGTTTCACCATGTTGGCCAGGTTGGTCTCCATCTCCTGACCTCGTGATCCACCCACCTCGGCCTCCCAAAGTGCTGGGATTACAGGGGTGAGCCATTGCGCCTGGCCCATTTTTTTGTATTTTTAATGGAGTTGGGGTTTTACCATGTTGGTCAGACTGGTCTCGAACTCCTGACCTCAGATGTTCCACCTGTCATGGCCTCCTAAAGTGCTGGGATTACAGGCGTGAGCCACAGCACCTGGTAAGAAACTCCAAACTCTTTAGCTATCACCTTCCTATCCTCACATCTGTCCCCTCACCAGCCATAAACAACTACTAACTTTTCTGCCTCTATAGATTTAACTATTCTGAATATTTCATATAAATGGAATTATATAATAAGTGATCTTTTGTGACTGGCTTGAAGGATTATTTTGTATTCTCCAGATAGACTTTGAAGAACAGATAGCAAAAGTAACTTAGAAAAATGCACTTTTAGGGATGCAGATATTATATCATTTTGAAATATAATCTCAGTGCCCTACTCTCAAGGTGTCTTGCATCCCAGCTGCGTGCAAACATGCCACTCCACATTCCATTGTGAACGTTGTTTTGTATGTAGCAAAATAATAAATATAGAGTAGTGGTTAAGAGCACAGCCCAGAGAGGCAGACTGCTTGATTTAAATGCTAATGCTGTCCCTTAGCAGCAAATTACTCAACCTCTCTGGTCTCTGGTCCTTAATTTCCTCACCTGTAACATTGGGAAAATAATGGTTCCTACCTCATAAGGGTGTTAGAAGGATAAAATGAGCAAATAGATGCAAGGCCTTTGAAACAGTCTGTAGTACATATTAAGAACTATATGTATTTGGATGGGCGTGGTGGCTCACACCTGTAATCCCAGCACTTTGGAAGGCCTAGGTGGGCGGATCACTTGAGGTTAGGAGTTTGAGACCAGCCTGGCCAACATGGTGCAACCCTGTCTCTTGTCTATATTAAAAATACAAAAATTAGCTGGGCGTGGTGCCGGGTGCCTGTAATCCTAGCTACCTGGGAGGCTGAAGCACGAGAATTGCTTGAATCCAGGAGGTGGAGGTTGCACTGAGCCGAGATCAGGATACTGCACTCCAGCCTGGGCAGCAGGAGCAAAATCTTGTCTCAAAAAAAAAAAAAAAGGAACTATATGTGCTTTATTTACTATCATTATCAACCACGAGAGCCATTCAATGCAAATAGTGCCACAAAGTGTTTAAACAGTTCTCCTCATGACCTCCTGGCCCTGTTCAGTAGTGAACCATTTCAACTGGAAGTGCCTTTCTAATTCCCCAGGCTATTTCTTCTTGGAAGAAGAAAGTTTAGCCTGGAAAGACCCAATAATGTGTCCTTATCCATTTAACAAATATTTATTGAGGACATATTATGTACCATGCATTATCTCAAGTTCTGTGAATAAGATTGAAATGATCCTTTTCATCATGGAGTCTAGTGGTGGATACAGGTAAACAGTTATGACAGGGATCAAAGAATGTAGTAAAGAGAAGAATTGTATCATTGCATAAGGAAACAAAGAGAAATCAGGTAAGATAACATCTGGTTGGTTTCTGGAGAGCTTATAGAAGTTTCAGTGCATGGGGAGATAATGAGAGTAAGATAAAGAGAGGAAGCATTTCTGAGATGTTTTGCTGAGAGTTTAGATTGTGCACCCTCTCAGGCATTTTCGATTGCAGTAAAGAGACTTCAGTAAACATTAAAACACTTAATTACTTTGTGAACTTTTGACCACTGTTTCTTTAAATACAGACTGCATTTAGGATTGAGCTGTGAGGATCCTGGGCTTTAAATAGGTTCTAGCCTGTTACAATATTATACAATGCTGGGCAAAGTTAGAGGGAGCTTTGTGAGCATGCAGGAAAGTGGACTTGAACTTAGAAGATCCAAAAAGGAGCAAGAGACACCTAAACTGGGACTTGGAGGATGAAGGGGTTGCAATGGGGAAAGATAGTGCAGGAGAGGGTAAATGAGCAGAGGCAGGAACTGGGGAGAGCCAGGCATGTTTCAGGATCTGAAAGTAGGAGGGCATGGCTGGAACACACTAGCCAGAAGGCAGAAGAAGGCTGTAGATGAGGCTGTGAGGTCGTAAGGGTCTAAACTCCATCCTCTTGGCATTGGGAAACCATCAAGCACTGTAAACATTGAAAAGGGACGATTCACATGGCGCTAGTTAGTTGTTGGCCCAGCAAAGAGCCCGATTCTCAAGAGTGGAGTTTTTTTCATTACCCCATACTGACCCCACATCCCACCCTCAAGAATGGAAAGCTGCAAACTTCAAGAAAATTAACAAGGAACCAGAAGATGGCTGGAAAGTTTCCATAGCCTCCTAGCAAGCAGAGGGTATTTTATACCTTCTTGCCTAGTGCAAGACCTAGAGAGGTAATTTTTATTATTATTATTATCACTAGACAAAATTAGAAAAGAAAATTTTATTTTCCCTTTATTTCTACAATTCTTAGCAATTCACAGTTGCAAAGTCGTTTCTATATCTCTAAACAGTAGTATTAATAGCATGGCTGCTCTGTGAAACAAATTATTCTCTGGTGACCCCTTTAAAGGCAAACATCATTGTAAAAGGAGGAGAAATTTAACTAATGGGTAATATTTTCAAACCTAATATTCTGTTATGTAGAAATTTGACAGTATGCTTTTGCAATATTTATTTTCTCCTTCATTCTATTTGCAAAGTTTTATGGTATTATATAGCATTGTGGAGTGTGATGGACATGATAAGCCATCCGGATCCCCCTCAGGAATAACGGAGACTTTACCTTAGTTTCTGGGAGTGCTGCCAGAAGAAAGACCTCATCTGCAAAGGTCTGCCCCCTTTGGGGATTGCTACAGCTTCAGAGAGCCACCTCCCTCTCCTAACGTCATGATTCTTCCCCATCAAGCATACCCAGTGACTAGGTGATGCAGGTATAAAAAGGCCTCCCCTGTCTCCTGAACCCTGGACAATTCTAAAGGGCATTCCATCTCCATAACTCCCCGCAGGGTTGTCTGAGGCATCTAGCAGATCTGCATCCCAGCTCAGCTCCCCTTTTTTCCATTCCTCCCTTCCCTTCCATAGGTGTTGATCCCAAGGGCTCTTGTGGAAAGGAGATACAATCTCAGTCCCCCTTGTTCACAGAGGCAAGAAGCAGGACATTTTGTCATGCTGAAGAACAAGGCCTGATGATATTTTGTAGGTGTTTTACTATCTGGAGAAGAGTAAAGCATAAAGGTTGAGAAATATTCCTGAGGGCCTGGCTCTGGGTATGTGTGTGACTTAAGTTCTTGCTTGCTAGCAGTGCAAATTCAACATATTGCATATGCTATTTATTCTCTCTTTCTTCTCTTCTTCCTTTGTCCATCCATCCTTCCATCTCTAGAGTTTTTCCTCCCCTGGCCTCATCTGCTATCCATGCATAAAGCCCAGCGTAATCCAAGAAGCACCACAAGGTCCCTGTGGCCTAAATGTATTCTCCACTGGCTAACATGCCTTCCTTTCCTTTATGCACAAAACTTACCACTAAAGCCATCCTTTTGGATAATTCAACAGCCAGAAACAAGAAGTTCCTATTCAGATACATGCATGTCACATGAGAAAAAAGGCTCTGAGAGCCTTTGCCTATTTTACTAAGTAATCTTTGCCTATTTATAAGGATTCTTTTTTTTCTGGTTTACTCAGGAAAACATCATTATGGAATGAACTTGATTGAGAGGAGATGGCAAATAGTACAGGTAAGATTGAGTGGGATTGGAGGCAACTGGATGTCAATTAGAAGGTCCAGGCTTCCTGGAGTGGCTTCTCTTCCAGGAGTGTGTGATGGTGTAGAAATAAATGCCATCCAAAGTTGAGGGAACTACCCAAACCGTGCATACTCAAACAAAACAAAACAAAATTCTGGCTCCTTCTCAGTTTTACCCACTGAGTTACCAAAAAACTCTCAGCTGTCGGATCAAAAGGATACTCATTACATACTGTCTGACATTCTTTGGGTGACTTTTTAGGTTGATATGGTCCCTGCATGGCCCATCCTCGCCTTTGAGAGGGCCCTCCTCCCGGGGCCAGGCACCACTTGTCTACGAGCTCCCTTGTGTCCCCGCAGATCCTGTTCAGGTGCCATTGACTTCTTCCCCTCTGGACTTCATTCTGCCTTTCTTTTTCTCATTTTATACATTTTCTGAGAAGAAGTGATGAGTTTCTGAACAAGTGCAGGAGCAGTGGGGATGAAGAAGAGGAGATAAAATGTGAAGATTACTTAGCACAGGGTTTCAGCTCACTCAGGCCAAACATGGGAGGAAGGAGGCCCTAAGCTCTCCTATCTCTCCAGCCAGCCCACCCCTCAGTCAGGCTCAATGAGAAGTCCATCTTGGAATCCTACAGCACTCTCCAAATACCTCTGCCTGCCTCTGCCCTCTTCCTAGGATCATGTGGCTGTGATTATCTACTGTACATTGGTCACAGTATGGGGGGCCCTGTAGTTCAGGCTTCAAGGTGCTTGCACACCTTCACTGGATTAGGATGATTTTCATCTTTTTCAGATGAACGGGATGAGTAAGTCTAGAAATAGGAGTTATATACAATGTTGGTATATGATCTAATGATGTAGGACAAGGAACAGGGCCAAATGCCAACACATGGGCTGAATATCAAAAGATGGAAAAGATCCCGAGAAGATAGGAGGCCACCTCTGAGGACTAGTGTGTCTAGAGAAGGGATGAAGTCCTCTGAGGCAGGCTGTCTCTCTTTGAAAACAATGTCCTTAGGTGCTGCGGTAGAGAGAAGGAGATGAAACTGAGAAGGGATAGGGAAGTTCTGCAGTGGTAAAAGTTTGTTCTGCAACTTATTTGTGTTTCATTTAGAAAGGAATCCTTGGAATTAGATGGAACTGACACAAAATTTTGAGGCCCATGAACTTAAGAGGCCCACGGGAGGAGAAAGTTTCCTTATTGTTGACAACAGCCATGAATATGTTGGCTGAGAGGGACTTTGAGAGTTGAGCTGCTTATGGTGTTCTTACTGGTATATCAGAACAAAATCGTTCAAGCCCATGAATCAGAAGATAAGGGAAGGAGAAAACTTCAGCTGCCTTGTGTAACCCTAACCTTGCATGCACTGGCACAAAAAACACCAAGGTGTTTGGGGGAGGTCTAGAGGATCCCCAGAAGAATGTCAAAGGCTTTTCCTATGGAAGAGAAGCAATTTGGATGAAGGGCCTAGTAATGCCATTGCTTACAGATGTGCATTTTTTTGTTTGTTTGTTTTTTGTTTTCTTTGAGATGGAGTCTCGCTCTGTTGCCTAGGCTGGAGTGCAGTGGCATGATCTTGGCTCACTGCAACCTCCACCTCCTGGGTTCATGAGATTCTCCTGCCTCAGCCTCCCTAGTAGCTGGGATTACAGGCGTGTACCACCACGGCTGGCTAATTTTTTTTTTTTTAATAGAGGCAGGGTTTCACAATGTTGGCCAGGCTGACCTTGAACTCCTGACCTCAAGTGATCTGCCAGCCTCGGCCTCCCAAAGTGCTGGGATTACAGGCATGAGCCACCACACCAGGCCCAAAAGGGCATTTTGCTTAGTGCATAAAAACACCCAGATGAAGGGCCCAACCTCTTCCTTGCCAAGCTGCATGCCATGCTCAAAACTTCACTTAGTCAGAGAAATTGACTTTTCTCAGTTAGTCTAGTCAGGGGAGAAGTTTTTCCAAAATTTGCACTCAGGGTTTCCAAAAGATAGTGGTGGTCCAGGGATCCAGCCATCTCTTTCCAAAGCCCAGTCACACTTCTTCTTGCACTATGAACACAGTATCTAAGGCCAATCTTTAAATCTTTGAATTTATTTAGATAGACAAAATATTGTATGTTTCTTAAATTATCATATATTTCTTAAATAGTAAAATTTACTTATTTGGTAAGACATTGTTTTGCCCAAAAATGCAACTAGTGATTAATAAAAAAGAAAAATCTGTATTTAGAAGAGAAAATAAGCTATTTAGCTTTTATGGATTTTAGTTTTATGTTATTTTTCTGGGAAGGTATCTTTACCCTAACTCTTAAGAGTTGGTAACATGATAGCAATCTAATTTCTAAAGGATCATTAAGCCAGCCAGTCTTCATCTGTTTAATGTCACTTTCGGGTGCTTGAATTTCTTTGATTACTTGCCATACAACAGTTCACCATAGGAAGTTATTTGCAAAATGTGCCCTAAGAAGCTGAATTCATTTACCCACTCACAGACTAGAATTACTGAAAATGGAACACTGGAATGTTGGAAAGCCACATTCCAGAAAGGTAGTATAAATCCATGGTTACATATGGTGCTCTGGGGCTAAACCTCTGAGTTGCCTTGTGAACATACTAGCTTGAGCAAGCTACCTGGCCTCCCTGTGCTTTAGTTTCTCATTTGTGAAATGGAACTACCCCTTATATGGTTGCTACAAAAATTAGCTGAGAAAATAAATGTAAAGTGTTTAGACTTGCACCTGACACATAGTAAATATAGTAATAAAATTACATTAGCAACAGAACAACTAATATTGAGCTGACCTAAGACGTAATTGGCCAAGCCTCAGAGCACTATATTCTGTCCTGATGCTGCTCCTCATGCTGAGCCTGCAACTCTTTCATAGTCACAGTAATGGTCTTGAACACATGGAGAGGCAGAGAGGGAACCCCAGAGGGGGGACTGTGATCTATTCCAGCTCTGACCCCCCTGCCAGGATCTGCTGAAGCTGCACCTCCACCTCCCCCAACACCGCATCTTGACCCCCAACCCTTATCCTTCTGCTCCCCACGAGTGATGTGATGTTAGATGTGGCTACTCAGGTTCAGCAGCTCCAGAGTGCAGCAGAACTTGTCATCCTTCCCACACTTCTGCAAATGTCGTAAGGGAATCCCAGAAGCCACATCTGAGCCCTTTCCCCCACCAGCCACAGCCACCACTGACCAGTTTTCCTTCTGAATGTACATTTGAAAGCGATTCCAAATGCTACTCAACCTTTCATTCATTTAAAATTTCAACATTTTTATTTTACTTTTTTGTTTTCTTTTTATTATTCCCAAATCTAACAAAGTATTTTAATATTAGGGGATCAGCAGCACAAATCTAAGGGTATCTGAAGAATTTTATCATTTTTTTTTGCCAAATAAAATGGTAGTCCATAATACTAAGCCATCAGCGCCACTGATGACAGCTAAAGAAAATTTATGGGACATCTTAAGGAATCAGAGAAGGCTTTGGACATAGATGGGAAATGCCTGTATTTAAATAGATTTTTGACCCTAAAATTGGAATCATTTCCTTTAGTATAAAGTAAGGGTGGACAGGCCATTGTGAATACCAAATTTTTCCCACTAGTAATGAGTCCATCCCTCGAGTGCTGCTATGTGTCAGGAGCTTAACAATGTATTAGACACATCTTATTATACTCATTATCAGATGAGGAAACAGGCTAAAAGGTCAAGCCACAGCTAGCATTTGATGACATGAGGCCTTAAAAAGTGAACATTAGCTTCTATAGAGTGCTTACTATGGAGCAAACTCAGTGGGGAGTACTTTTTATAATTCCCACACAGCAAACTTATGAGGTTGGTACTATCACTATTATTAATTTTTGCAGATGAGGAAGTAGAGTCACAGAGGAATCAAGTTGGAATTCTAAGATTGTTTAGCTCTCAACGCTTGCTTCTTCCACATGGCTGTATTCCTAGATGAAATGGAAATTGACATTTCCAAGATTAAACACTAGTTATTGAGAGAAGCCAGGGTTCTAGGAAGTAGTAGGGAAGAAGAATTGATGATAGGGAAAAATAGAAAGAAGCCATCTAAATTTATCTATTGTGAGCCACAATGAAGAATCTTTAAAATAACCTGAAGTGGAAGCAATTGTCTAACTAAGCACAGATGAGAGTCATTTAATAGTTCAAAAAGGCAACTGAATGGCAATAGCTCAGTTTTGGAGGAGCTAGTGAAATTGGCTATGAACATTGACTGTTTGTGATTTTCACTAGGACAGAACAAATGCACAGGGCTTAGATAGGTCACAATGAGAGATACTTCAGTACACTAGTAGCAAGATTTTCTGATGCGAATGTTGCTGTGGAATTGAAAAGTTACCAGAGAGATTACATCTATATAGCTAGAAACTTTAAAATACAGCTTTAAACCAGTATTGGATGGCTTATCTCTTATCCTGCCTCAACCCAGAGAGATGGAGTCAGCCATTCAAGATCCCATCCAACCTCTTGATTATATGAAACATCCCGAATTCCCAATCAATTAGGAGAGGAGTATCTAGACTTTCCTTCAATGTGTGCATAACAACACTTGTTCTTTCTAGGCTTTCTTATCCTCTCCCCTTAAAAAGAGAGAGTTTGAATCTGGAAACAAAGAGAATAGCAAAGTCTATGTAATTTGATCCCATTTCCTATTATCTCCTTGTTATGCCACAGCAAAAATGCCTTTCTCAGGTAAAGAAGTTTCAAATCTCCTCATCCTTTAGAACATCAAGACCCATTTCTAGGTGCAATGTCTCTGCTCACATTGCTCTCCCTTGCCTGGGATGCTCTTTCTCTTAGGAAATCCACCCACCTACTGTGTCATGTTCTACCCAGTGTTCAAGGTCTCACTCTAATCATAGAGCCTCTAGTCATACTCTTCTGAGAATTTCTCTGATACTGTAAGTCTGTATCACAGTCTATTGCTGAATTACGTTGTTTGTGATTCTTTGGCATTATACAATATCCATCTTTCCAACCAGATTGTGAGTTCTTTAAGAAATCTTACCCAGTGCTCTTCTGAATCTCCCAAATCGCACAGTCAGAATGCAAAGATTTTGTTGTTGTTGTTGTTTTTAGTCACAAATAGTTTTGAGAACTTATTTTCAGTCTTGAGTTTTCATGAGCTTAAAAATTAAAAATACTAAAAATGCACAGGGGTTAGGTAGGGATTATTATATCCTTGCAGAATATATTAGGAATTAGTCAAACTGCAAACTGTGTTGGGCACAACATTATCTCATTGCAGAGGCAACACTATCTGATGATTTTTACTGAAAGGATTTGGAATGGAGATGCCCTTGACATTTTCATGTAGGCATCCAGGAAAGATTCAGGAAATGAGGCTGCTCCTGTCCTCTGAAGCTCCAATTCTCTGGTCCCCTATGTCAAGATAAGAGTCCATTCTGCTGGAATCAGTTCATCTGAAGTTTAAGTGTAGAAAGAATGTTGTATAATGAAAAAGAAGGAAGAGAAGAAAAACTAACATATGTGAATATGTATTTGCCAGGAGCTTTATATACATAATTTCATAGAATCTTCACAACAATCTTGCATTGTAGAACTCTGAATGTCATGAAGATCAGATGATGTGCACAATCAATGAGTAGAAGAACAAGCAGTTGAAGCCCTTTCACTCTTGTTGATCTCTATGATAAAGGTTAAGCCAACTGAAAAACATACTGAAAGCAAAATGAAATATACACACTCCACAAAAGAAATCTGCACATTCTTCTGAAATCAAAGCACTGTTTTGTATACTTACAGAAGATTAGTAAGTACGTTATGTCGTCAGTCAGCACAACCACAATAGACACAGTATAAAACTCGGTTTTTCTCAAAGAATTTATACTAGGCTAGACTGAACCCAGAGACATATTGAGGAAATAAAAAAATCACTTCTCTCCATTTGCAAAACAGTTTTGGGAAGTCAGGATGAGTCATGAGTTGTTCTAATTGGCTGGAAAATTAGGGAAGAGATATACACTGGCTGTGAGTAAAAGGAGAGGATAGATTTTAACAGGGGAAGGCCTGAAACACCATCTCTCAGAACGACTGATGTAGAGTGTGTTTCTGGGTGAAGCTGAACCTTTCGCTAGAATTATCAAGAAAACATCAAACCCATCTTTTCCCTCTAGCTAGCTTCATTCCTAGGCTTTGCTATTTCTGTTCACACTTTGTCCTGGGTGAAGAAAGGGAACAGAACATGATGGTCTTTGCCCACAAGCAAGGGAAATTGGCATAAATAAATAGGGCCTTAATAAATTGGCCTTTGGAATATTGTAATATGTTATAATACAGGTATCTGCCAGGTGGAGACATGACATTGAATGGAGTTGTCAATTCTCACTTAGGGGAACTAAAGGTCAGGGGGTTTTACCTGAGAGAAGATACTAATCTGAAAGTCCTATTAAGAAAACATTCAATTTAAATGGCATCAAAAGAATTAAAAAATAACCTTAGAAAAAATATTTAACAAAAGAACTGCAAGGCTTATACACTGAAAACTACAAAACATTACTGAAAGAAATTAAAGAAGACCTAAATACATGGAAAAACATATTGTGTTCATGGATTGGAAGAGATGCTATTGTTAATACGGCAATACTATTTAAATTGATCTATAGAATGGCCAGGAGCAGTGGCTCATGCCTGTAATCCCTGCACTTTGGGAGGCTGAGGCAGGTGGATCACCTGAGGTCGGTCAGGAGTTCCAGACCAGCTTGACCAACATGATGAAACCCCATCTCTATTAAAAATACAAAAAATTAGCCGGGCATGGTGGCGGGCACCTGTAATCCCAGCTACTCAGGAGGCTGAGGCAGGAGAATCACTTGAACCCAGGTGGCAGAAGTTTCAGTGAGCTGAGATTGCGCCACTGCACTCCAGCCTAGGCAACTAGAGCAAAATTCTGTCTCAAAAACAGAACAAAACAAACCAAAAACTTTAAAAAAATGACATATGGAATAAATGCAATCCCTATCAAATTTCCAACGGCAAGGGACACAAAATAGGAAAAACAATTTTGAAAAATAAGAGCAAAGTTGGAGAACTCACACTTCCCAATTTAAAACTTACTATCAATACAGCGTGCTACTGTCATACAGATAGAAATATAGACCAATGGAATAGAACTGCGAGTCCACACATAAACCACATGTTTATGGTCAATTGATTTTGACAAGGGTGCTGAAAGAATTTAATGAGAAGGAAGAAATAGTCTTTTCGACAAATAGCGCTGAGACCACTGAATATCCACATGCAAAAAAATAAATTAGCACTCTGTTCTCACCCTGTATATAAAACTCAAAAGATCAAAGACTCATAAGAGCAAAAGCTATAAAACTCTTCGAAGAAATATAAATGGAAATCTTTAAGACCTGGGATTAGCAAATGGTTTTTTAGATAAGACACCAAACACACAAGCAATTAAAAATATGTGTGTGTATAAAATATATTTCTTTATATTTATTTATCTTAGTATATTTATATATAAAATTGACAAAGCACAATTTTTATATATAAATTTTTATATATAAAAATTGGGCTTCATCAAAATTAAAAAATTTTGTGTGTCAAAGGACACTGTCAAGAAAGTGAGAAGACAACTCATAGAATGGGAAAAAGTATTTGCAAATTATACATCTCATAAGAGTATAGTATCTATAGTATCCAGAATACATCAACAACTCTTCCAACTCAAAAACAGAAAGACAACCCAATTAAAATCAGCAAAGTACTTAAATGGACATTTCTCCAAAGAATATATACTATACAAATGACTGACAAGCACATGAAAGGTGATCAACATAATTAGTCATTATGATGCTACATCACTTCATACCCACTAGGATAGCTATAATAATAATAATAATAATAATTTTTAAAAGGACAATAACAAGTGTTGGCGAGGATGTGGACAAATTGGAATATTCATACATTGCAGGTAGGACTGTAAAATGGTACAGCCCCTGTGAAAAACAGCTTGGCTGTTCCTCAAAAAGTTAAACATAGAATTACCATATGACCCGGCAATTCCACTCCTAAATATATACCTGAGAGAATGAAAACAAGCAGTCGGGCGCAGTGGCTCACGCCTGTAATCCCAGCACTTTGGGAGGCCGAGGCGGGTGGATCACGAGGTCGGGATATCGAGACCATCCTGGCTAACACGGTGAAACCCCATCTCTACTAAAAATACAAAAAATTATCCGGGCGTGGTGGCGGGCGCCTGTGGTCCCAGCTACTCGGGGAGCCAAGATCTCACCACTGCACTCCAGCCTGGGAGACAGAGCAAGACTCCGTCTCAAAAAAAAAAAAAAGTATTCACAGAAAAACTTTTACACAAACGTTCACAGCAGCATTATTCACAATAGCCAAAAGTGAAAGTAACCTAAATGCCCATCAGCTAATGAATAAATAAAATGAAATCCATACAATGGGATGTTATTTAATCATAAAAAGGAGTAAAGTACTGATACATGCTACATGAATAAAACTTGAAAATATTACACTAAATGAAAGGAGTCAGACAAAAAAGGACACATATTTTATGATTACATTTGTATTAAATGTCCAAAATAGCCAAATTTATAGAGATAGAAAGTAGATTAGTGGTTGCCAGGGCATGGGAATAGAGGTGAATTGGGACTAATTGCTGACAGGTCCTAGTGTCCTTTTTGGGGTGATGAAAATGTTCTGGAGTTAGATAGTGGTGATGGTTGTACAACAGAGTGAACTTGCTTTAAGATGGTGGATTTTATGTCCTGTGAAGTATATGTCAATTTAAAAAATGCTACTTAAAAAGGAGGAGATGCTTACATTGAGTCTTTAAGAAAGGAAGGCTCCTGTGAATGGACAATGAAGAAATATATTCTAGCTGAAGGATATCAAATGTCCAAAAGCACAGTGCCATGAAGCAATGCAGTCAGGTGGAGACTCTGTAAGAGATTATTTAAAAAAATTTTTTTTAGTATACAAGAATCAATTGTAGACCAAAACAAAACAACCTTTCTTTCTTTTCCTTTCCTTTTCTTCTTCCTTCCTTCCTTCCTTTCTTTCTTTCCTTCTTTCTCTCTCTCTTTCTTTCGAGTATGATACTTCATTATTTTATTTTATTTTGAGATGGAGTCTTGCTCTGTCCCCCAGGCTGGAGTGCAGTGGCACAATCTTGGCTCACTGCAACCTCCGCCTCCCAGGTTCAAGCAATCCTCCCACCTCAGCCTCCCAAGTAGCTGGGATTACAGGCATGCACCACAACAACTGGCTAATTTTGTATTTTTAGTAGAGACGAGGTTTCACCATATTGGTCTGGCTGGTCTCGAACTCCTGACCTCAGGTGATCCACCCTCCTCAGCCTCCCAAAGTGCTGGGATTACAGGTATGAGCCACCGCACCTGGCCTCAAGGGAGTATGATACTTTATTCACTTGTTTAGAAGTTAGTTTTCTTCCCTCCTGTATTTTAATGCTTAGCTCAGAAGTAACTTACTTGTTCAGTAAACAAAGAATGATTTGATGTAGCCTCTCTGCCTCGAATGCTCTTTCCTGACTCTCCCATGGCTTGTGTTTTCTTATTTTTCAGGCCCAACTTAGTCTTTTTCTAGAGAAGACTTCCCTGATAGCTAAGTATTAATAGATTCCCACTTATCACCTTCATTTTTCCGTCACTGCATTCTGTTAGTATCCTGCATGGCTAATTATGGTTAATTGCTTCTTTGCTGGATTTTTGTCTCTAACCATAGACTGTAAGCTCGGAAGACAGAGAACATGATTGTTTTATTCAATGATACATCCCCAGTTCTTAGGACAGTGCTCCATAAATATTATTTGAATGAATGACTAATTGAGAAGACAGGAAGCTGTGACAGATATCTCAAGCCTTCTCAGGTTACAGGCAGGCCCAGAAGTGGCCTGGAATTGCCTTGTTCTGTAATCCTGTTGAGTCTAGTCCACCGTACTGCAGGCTTAGCTGGTTTAGGGCTTGGCTGTGGTTTAAATCTGTGTTTGCAAATTCATAGTACTTCATAGAAGAAGAAATTCATCTCTGCCAAAATCAACACTAAATAAGTGCTGTGGTACATTGCTTAGCCTGATTAATCAAGTTTAGGCAGAGAGTGATGAAGAAAACATTTCTCCCAGACAGCAGAGCAGTGGGTTTTAAAGGTGGGAGGTGAACAAACCCATGTTGCTTGAATCAGATGCTGATAGGGAGGGTTAAAGAATGAGATTGGAAGGAAAGATTGAGATATAAGTTACAGTTTGATTTCAAGTTGGTTGGCCTAAGACCCTCCTGTTTAGCACTATGTTCACTGTCTGAAAGAAACTGAGGCAAAGTGCCAACCCATACTTTTTAGCAAGAAGATGCTGAGACAGAGTTTGTGGTACAAGATATTTATAAGGAATTAATACCTGCGAATGGAAGAAGGACTCAGCTGTGGGAGAAACTGAACCAAAATGGAGGCTTGGCAAAGTCTTGGCCCACCCAGAGGGGAGCGCTGGAAAGAATACTGTCTTAGCCTATTTTCTGTGGCTATAACAGAAGAACACCAGCTGGGGAATTTATATAGAACAGAAGTTTATTCAGCTCATGGTTCTGGAGAATGGGAAGCCCAAGAGCAAGGCACTAGCATCTGGTGAGCCATCTCATGGCTAAAAGGTGGAAGGTAGAAGCGAACACTCACCATAGAGAGAGGTACCAGAGGCTGGACTCGCTTTATATCAACCCACTCCCAGGATAACAACATTGATCCATTCATGCAAGCTCTGCCCTTGTGACCCAATTATCTTTTATTAGGCTCCACCTCCAAACACTGTTGTATCGGGTTTAAGGCATTTATAAGGAATTAATACTTGTGAATGGAAGCAGGATTCAGCTGTGGGAGAAACTGAACGAAAATGGAGGCTTGGCAAAGCCTTGGCCCACCCAGAGGGGAGCTGTTTCCATCACATGAACTTTTGGGGGATACATTCAAACCACAGCAAGTATGTGCATCAGAATTGCCACACATCCTGCAAAATGGCTGGGCCTTTATGACCCCCCGCCCCTCATGTCCTCTATTCAGTAGCCATATGCACAAGATATTTGCTCGTTGATTATGTGCTAATCGTGCAGGGAAACAACATCCATACTTGCTTCCTAATTTGGGTTCTGAAGGTTAAACTAATTTGGTAACTTTGCAAAAGCCACATATCTGTGACTTAGATGATCTCTGACTATTATTATCCTCCCTTCACTGATGAGGAGGTAGGGGTGGGTGGTGGTAAGTGGTGAATGTCGCTTAAGGACCTTATAGCTAGCAAATGGCAGAGACAAGCTTGGGGCAGATCTGTCTGGCTGGCTCTAAGCCCAGATACTTTTAACTATGTCACCCAGCCCCCCAGATTCTTAAAACAAGGAGGTTGGTTAGATACTTTCTAAATTTTCTCCTATTTTTAATGTTGCATGTGTTATTAGGGCACGTTTCAAGGACTTTAGGGTTATTGTCATGTATAAATGTAAACTTTGCTGAGTTCATCTACACAATGTGAATGCTGTGTGTTTATAGAAGAGTTGAACTCATTATTGCCATTCTTGCTCAGAAGTCTGAGTAGCAAGATGCTGGCATTTTCTTTTGAATACCAAACATTTTGGCCATAGGGCAGTGTCTGACCTGCTAAAGTTATATATTTATTAACCTTTTTTCCTCCATAGGGCATTTTTAATAAGTTATCAAACTTTTCCATGCATGCCATTACAAAAGAGGCCTTTGTGTGGTGAATGATAAGCAGATGATTAAGTAAAGTTTTTCTTCACTGAAACAGCACTTTAAAAGGATGCTTAACAAACAATATTTAAAAGGATTTACTGTATTTCCTTTCTAAATGTTTGTATAAGAGAGGGTGGCATTTATTTCCACATTCAACAAACATTCTGTTTCTACAACAGAATCACAGATGTCAATCAACGGAGCAACAAATATTCTGCCTTCACTTTGTAGGGTAAGGCACATGACTAGCGAAATGAAAATGAAAGCATGGCAAATAAAGGCAGGTTTCACCTGGAGGGTTTACTTTGTGACTATGAAACTCTGGGCTTCTAAGGGATAGGACTTGAAAATTTTCTAATGCCTTCCAGTAGTTTCCAAGGGACGTGAAGAACCAATTACCTATCTAGGTTCCTCTCCTTCTCTCATCTTCCTCCTCATAAATCACACAAGTCCAGGAGAGTGTAAAGACATTTATATTTCTGTGCACTGAGCAAACCTTTCTTTCCGTAAACAGGAGTTTGTTAAGGAAGTATTCTCCTCTTAAGAAAATTGGAACAACACAGTTTTTTACATTTTTATAGCTTTCTAAGATTTTTCACAAGGTGGATCCCAAATTTTTAGGTTTCACAGACTAGTAAAATTATCAAAAAATGTCTGACTTTGTATTTTGCCAGATAATGGTATTTGAGAGAGAAAAAGTTATATGTAACATCACCATTATTTATGAAAATAAAAGGTCATGATCATGGTCAAGGGGGTCATTTTACATAAAAGGTCTTTTAAATAGCCCAAAATTGACTCTTTGGAAAACTCTGCTGTCCAAAATTTTCGCCTTCTGCAGAGTTGTAGACACTTTCTCAAAAACTTTCATAATCACCCTCTAGAGTAGGCAAAGCATATATTGTTCTCATCTTGCCTGTTAAGAAATGTGTGCTAAGAGGTACGAAGTAACTAGTTGAAAATCACAACTATGTTGTGGTAGACCTCAAAGTTGAATGGAGCCATTGGACTCCTATCTTCCTCATTCTGCAATACTGCCTCCTGGAATGCTATTTCAATTGTTTCCCAGTTTCTCATGCATTTTTAACCTTGACATGTAGCTGTTCCCACATATTCTTTGTTTCCCTGTGAGCTGACTTTAGAATGATGTCTGTATACTTATTTGTATTCTCCCAAACAAAATATTCATGGTAAAAATATTAGAAAGCAATGCAGAATTTACTGAAAATTGTGTAGCAAAGATAAAGGATAGAGCTTATATCATAAACCTGCCGTCAAACTCTGCCAGACCTCATTTATTTAACAAATGTTGATGGAGCTCTTGCTGTGCGTGGGTACTGTCCCAGGCCTCGGCGATGGAAGGACAGGGCTCCTGATAACATAGTTTCTGCTTTGTTTAATTTTAGCGGAGAACAGCAATCTAGATAGCATTGGAGAAAAACTGTCATGAAGAAAATTAAATGGTAACATGGTAAGAATGGCTGGAAGCAAGGGGCTTTGTGGAAAGTGGTTAGGGAGACTCTCCCTGGCAGGGATGTTGGATCTGGGCTCTGACCCTGACAATAAGCAGTCCTGAGAAGATGGGAGGAGGTGGGGCTTCATCAGAGGAATCAGGAAACAGGACACTGACACTGCCAGGAGGGAGCGCATCCATGCATTTGAAGGCAAAGCAGGCCCAAGTGAGGAAGAGGGAGGGCAGGAGGAATGAGGATGGAGGGTGGAGCAGCATCCAGACCAAGAGGCCTGTGTCAGTTATGGTGCATTCATATGATGTTTCAAGAGTGATGGGAAGCTGTAGATGAGAGAGGACCTTACCTAATTTAATGCTTTGTTTTAATCACCCTCGGGAGTAAGAGAGGCAGCAGGGGAATCAGGTCATCATGGTGGACAATGATGGTGCCTTGGCCATTGGTGGTAGCACAGGAAAAAGGACAGCCTGATCTCTGATCTGTCCTCCAAAGGCTACAGGCCCCTTGCACTAGTGTGAGCTCAGGTTCTCATGTAGGTTCTCTTCCTCAGTGCATCAGTCCTTATTGGAGAAGCAGATGCCAGGATGAGATTAGATATGCCAGAGATTTATTAGGGGAAAGTGTCCGTGGAGGATAAAGGGGAAGAGGGAGGACAAGGCGGACACGGCCTTCAGACTACAATGCAGGCCTGACTCCTGAGGAGGATGGGAGGAAGACTGGTCAGGGGTCTCAGACTGCAGGCAGTTCTGGACGTCTCAGCTGGGTTGATGGGGAGTCCAGGAGGAGTGAGTTCGCATTGGAAGTGTCTTGCAAGGGGCAGGGATAGGCCTGCACTGCTACCTTCACCATGCTCAGCCGGTGACAGGCAGCAGACAGGAAAAGTATGACAAGTATGACCTCAGCACAAAAACTGCAGTGCATCCAACGAAGCTGCAACCGGGGCTGTCAGCCATCTGTCCTTCCCAAGACAGATTCTGTATTATGCACCCAAAAGGGACTAAAAAGAAATAAAAACAAAATGCAATTTTGTATTATGTCACTTTCATTTCTAGTACATTTTGCATACAATAGCAACCTTTGCTAAGGAATGTTACAGCTTTTCACTCTTCTTTAAAATTGGTTTCCCTTTTATGAGCTTAGGTCATTTCACTGATGAGAAACTGGAAGCACAGAGAGGATAGGGGAAATGCCCAAGACTCCAGATATGGTGGCAAAATTGGGAACAGAATTCTGCCTCCTAGCTTTCTATACAATTTCGCTGCTAGTTTCAGGTATTTATCTAGAAAACATTACAAGAAAACATTTTGGACACAATTTTGGTCTATTCCAGTTCAGTAAAGATAAAGGGGAAATTCATATTCTACTTTCTAAGTGTGCGTATGAGAGACAGAGAGAGAGAGAGACAGAGAGAGGGAGAGAGAAAGAGAGAGAATAAAATTTAACAAGAAACATCATTATTGTCACACTCTATACTAACTAGTAGTCCTAAACAGATGTTTGTTTTGTGACCCTTTGAGAGAAAATTGTCATGAAAAAAATGATCTTTGCAGTGTACTGGCACTCTTTATTGCTGCTCACAGAATTATGGATATTAATGTGAGTTCAAAGAGCCAAAAGTGCACCTTGTTTCTGCCTCAAATATTTACACCCAAATAAGGCATCATCACAGGGAATTAACCTTTCTTACTTAGAAGAGTCATATGTCTGTAAAAATTGCACACAACAAATAGCAACAATGCCAAGGACACTTACTTGAATCCACGTGTTGCCATGGAAATAAATAACCAAAATGATGCCTTGATTTCTTATCTCTAGTAACAATCCTTGCACAAAGGAAACACAAACACAAAGCTACACAAACAGAATGAGAATATTTGCTTATTAAATGGCGCTGGTTCATAGTAATGCCCTATGGGAAACCTGTTGGCTTTATTGTTTTATTGAGACCAGTTTATCTTTCCAGCTAATGAAAAATTGGCAAAGAGATACCTCTTTATTGTTAATGGCCACATTCATAAACAAGGGATGGGTGCAATGCTAAGAAGCCTCATGACACGTGACAGTGCCCCCAGCCACCCATTCTTTGCTTTGAGAATTTTCATGCCCATTAAAAATATTATTTTTGTGGGGCATTATATTAGCAGTACTCATTTATTTTAGCACAATTTAGAAGGAAGCAAAAAGGAAAAAGAAAAATATTCCTAACATTCAGTGGTAACCATTGTTATAATTCTGCTATAATTCCTTCCAGATCATTACATGCATATATTATAAAACAAACTGGACATGTTAGTTTGTGTGTGCACACACACACTTGCAAGATTGGAATCACACTATTCACCGTATTTTCCCAGACTCTTCTAAACTTGTTCAATGCCATGTGCTTAGCGTGTTGAAACACTCTACTGTCTAAGGATAGTTGCTTCTTTCCCATAGTGAGGTGTGCGTAGACAAAACCAAAAGCAAACCCCCCAAACACCATAACACAGAGTGGGTATCAGAACACTGTTCCCTTGAATTAGTTGTGGTTATTTTCTCATTACACTGAAAACATTTGTGGAGTGCCCTGGTGTAGCACATGGATAAAAGATAGGTCCAGTTATAATCTAGAAAGATGTGCAGAACACTTTGAGTGCTACTTAGATCTGGCCAAAATAACATAGCTTAGATTTCATTTAAAAATTAACACAATTGGCCAGGCACAGTGGCTCCCACCTATAATCCTAGCACTTTGGGAAGGTGAGGTGGGAGGATCGCTTGAGTCTCGGAGTTTGAGACCAGCCTGGGCAACATGGCAAGATCTCATCTCTACATGAAATAAAAAAAAAATAGCCAGGTGTAGTGGCATGCACCTGTGGTTGCAGCCAGATGGGAAGCTGAGGCAGGAGGATCACTTGAGCCTGGGAGGTTGAAGCTGCAGTGAGCTTGTGATTGTGCCACTGGGAAACAGAGCAAGGCACTGTTTTGGAAAAAGAAATTAACAAAATTATTATAATCCTAAAATAAAAAACCCCCAACATGTCTCCCCTTTTCTTCCAATAAGGTATGCTAAAATAATGTCAGAGGAGAAAGGAATTTCAACCTTCATGAGGCAAACAGGAACAAAGGGTCTGGGATTGAATTCAGACAGACCCAGATTTAAATGACACTGGCACTTAATATTTGTAAGACCATAATCTTCACTCTCCCCTTCTGAAAAATGATGTAAATGCTCCCTTAAAATTAAATAAGAATATGAATGTAAAGGTATCTGTAGAGTGTCCGGGCTCAAACTGGGCAATTTGCTGGGCAGCTATTATTATTATTGGCTTTTGAAAGAATAAATTCAAGGGCTCCATGCTCATGCCCATGTATTCATGTTATGAATTTAGCAGTGGCAGGTGGCTTTAATGTTCACTTAACAGGTTGCTTTTGAACTCATGGAAAAAAAAATGCCATTATTGTGCTTTAGAGTTTGTGACCTGTCACTAAGACACAATCACAGCAGAGGACAGAAAAGGGTATCAGGTTATTAAAATTATTGAGGTAGGCTGGGTGCAGTGGCTCATGCCTGTAATCCCAGCACTTTGGGAGGCCAAGGAGGACAGATCACGAGGTCAGGAGTTCGAGACCAGCCTGGCCAATATATGGTGAAACCCTGTCTCTACTAAAAATACAAAAATTAGCCAGGTGTGGTGGTGCGCACCTGTAGTCCCAGCTACTCAGGAGGCTGAAGCAGAAGAATAGCTTGAATCTGGAAAGTGGAGCTTGCAGTGAGCCGAGATCCCGCCACTGCACTCCAGCCTGGGCGACAGAGCGAGACTCCGTCTCAAAAAAAAAAAAAAAAAAAAAAAAGAGTCCCATAAGTCCTTAACTTCTTAAGAAGTTAATTTCATTATGCAGTTGAATAGCAAGTAAGAAACTGTAAATAGAATCTTAAGAAAATATATGAATTATTAAACTCTCTTATATGTAAAAAGACTACATAAAGTTTTTAAATCTTGAGACAGAACATACTTTGGACATCAGACCCTTTGGCTAATAATTGAACCCAAACTTCTCCAATACTAGCAAAACTCTCTTCATTATTTTATTAGTCCCCGAGAAGTGCTTCAATGTGGGGCTGCTCACCAGCATTGAGGGACAGAAAGATCTTCAGCTATAGTGATCCTGGCCTCATGTCACTTATCAACCAACATCCAGGGAAACAGAAGCTTTCACCAGTGACAGCTGACCATTTGCTGTATTTTCTACATGCATTCTCTCTTTCTCCCTTAGTGTCTGGAGCCAGATTTTATGTAAGGCTGAAATTCACCCAGAGGAGAATATGTTTTTCAAAATCATTGGCAGCTAGTGGTGACCACGTCATTAAGCTCTGGCCAATGAGACACAAACCTAAGTGTTTCATGGGCTTTGGGAAAGGCTGCTTAAAGAATGCTAACTCAGGCCAGGTGCAATGGCTCACACCTGTAATACCAGCACTTTGGGAGGCCGAGGTGGGTGGATCATGAGGTCAGGAGATAGAGACCGTCCTGGCCAACATGGTGAAACCCCGTCTCTACTAAAAATACAAAAACTAGCCAGGTGTGGTGGTGGGTGCCTGTAATCCCAGCTACTCAGGAGGCTGAGGCAGAAGAATCCCTTGAACCAGGGAAGCAGAGGTTGCAGTGAGCCGAGATTGCGCCACTGCACTCCAGCCCGGGCAACAGAGTGAGACTCCATCTCAAAAAAAAAAAAAAAAAAGAGAAAAAAAGAAAAAAAAAGAATGCTAACTCTAACTCAGTCAGCAGGTATTCCTCTGCCCCCTTTCAGCTTCCCTTTCTTATGGTCTTAAATGACCTACCATGATTGCAGCTTCAGCAGTCTTCTTGGAACAGGAAGTGACCTTCCAGAAGGATGTCAACAGTAAGATAGAAGGAGAGAAAGACTGAAGATGCAATGGTTCATGTCAGGGGTGATGGCTGTGAAACTGCCGCACCTGCTGATATGGTTTGGCTCTGTGTCCCCACCCAAATCTCATCTTGAATTGTAATCCTCATAATCCCCATGTGTGGAGGGAGGGATCAGGTGGGAGGTGATTGGCTCACGGGAGCAGTTTCCTTCATGCTGTTCTCATGATACTGAGTGAGTTCTCATAAAATCTGATGGTTTTGTAAGTGCCTGACAGTTTCTCCTTCACACACACTCTCTCTCTCCTGCTGCGATATGAGACATGCCTGCTTCCCCTTCCACCATGACTGTAAGTTTCCTGAGGCCTCCTCTGCCATGCAGAGCTGCGAGTCAATTAAACTTCTCTCCTTTATAAATTACCCAGTCTCGAGTATTTCTTTATAGTAGCATGAGAATGCACTAATATACCTGCCCTTATATGTGACAGAAAGAAACCTCCATCTTGATTAAATTGCTATGATTTTATATTTGCTCACATGGGCAGCTGAACCTAGCTGAACTGATATAGCCACCAAAGAGTCAACCTCTGTAGTGTGTGAATTTCCTTTAATGAGAGACAAAACCTTTCTTCTACAAGACAAGAGATTTAAAATGCAGACACTTACAGGAGTCTCTTTTAAATCACTCCAAGTACAAACGACACTTAACCCCTTTCTTCAGGGCAAATTTTGAGGTAGAAGACGTGGGAACTTGAGGTATCTGTGAGGAGGTTGAAGGAGGGGTAGGAGAAAGAAAAAAGATTCAGAAGAGGAGAGTTAAGAACCGGCTTTGCCTTGTGCTTTTTACAAAACAAGGGTACTAATTTACTAGAAATGTTTATACTTAGATGGACTCAAACCACATACGGTGACTGAAATCACCTAATTTCTTTGAGGAAGGAGCTTTACTAAATGGCAATGTGCTTTATAAATACCGTTTCCGCTTTTTCTTTGAAGAAAGAAGAGCATTTAAAATAATTGCAAGGTAATCCCCCCAAAAGCTATGCCAATACATTTAAGCATTTGGGCTTAAAATTTTTCCTAAGTAGTAGCTCTCTTGTTCACTGTCGAAGATAGTAAAATGGTGAATTTTTTTCTTTTTTTATGCTGCTTAACTTACAATGAGGTTATGTCTTGATAAATATCATAAGTCAAAAACGTATTTAATACACCTAACCTACTGAACATCCTAGCTTAACCTAGCATATCTTAAAGGTGTTCAGAACTTACATTAGCCTACAGTTGGACAAAATCATCTGGTACAGAGTACACTGCAGAGTACTGGTTATTTACCCTCATGATATCATGGCTGATTCGGAGCTGCAACTCACTGCTGCTGCCCAGCACCACAAGAAAGATCATGAAGCATACTGCTAGCCTCAGAAAAGATCAAAACTCAAAATTTTAACTACAATGTCGACTGAATGTGTATCACTTTTATACCATCACAAAGCCAATAAATTGTAAGTCCATTAAATACCAAAAAAAAAAAAAAAGAAAAAGAACTGGCTTCACCTGCATCACCTTTTTATCATGAGGCTGTCCTCCTACTCCTGATAACTAATTTTGGATTTGGGGCATATGATTGTCGCCCTACAGGCTCTAGAGGACAAGGGAGGAGAGAATTGCAGGAATTTCAGTAGCACTGAATAACTGCCAGAGCCTGGCCTTCCGGTCATAACAGCAGCAGTAATAGATTGCCATTCTCCTTACTGCCTGCCTGCAAATTAACATGCATTGTCATTTAACATGCATTGTCTCTAATGTAATTTTCATGAGAGCCCTGAAACATATGGGTGTTGTCTTTATTTTACAGAAGTGGAAACTTGAGCTTGGAGAGATTTAACCTCTTGCCCAACGTCACATGGTTAGTGAGGTACAGAACCCAATTCAAGTCAGGTAACCCACCATACTGGCTTGCCTAAGACTGAGGAGTTTCTTCAGATGCAGGACTTGTAATGCTAATGTGTCGGAAATTGGTGGTTTCTTGGTATGGCTGACTTCAGGAATGAAGCCACGGACCCTCGCGGTGAGTGTTACCCTTCTTAAAGATGGTGTGCCTGGAGTTTGTTATTCTGATGTTTGGATGCGTTCGGAGTTGCTTCCTTCTGGTGGGTTAGTGGTCTCGCTGGCTTCAGGAGTGAAGCTGTAGACCTTCGCAGTGAGCGTTACAGCTCATAAAGGAAGCGCAGACCCAAACAGTGAGGAACAGCAAGATTTATTGCAAAAAGCAAAAGAACAAAGCTACCACACTGTGGAAGAGGACCCAGCAGGTTGCTGCTGCTAGTTCGGGCAGCCTGCTTTTATTCCCTTATCTGGCCCCACCCACATCCTGCTGATTGGTCCATTTTACAGACAGCTGATTGGTTCATTTTACAGAGAGCTGATTGGTCCATTTTACAGAGAGCTGATTGGTCCATTTTGACAGGGTGCTGATTGGTGTGTTTACAATCCCTGAGCTAGACACAGAGTGCTGATTGATGCGATGCATTTACAATCCTCTAGCTAGACATAAAAGTTCTCCAAATCCCCACTAGATTAGCTAGGCAGAGCACTGATTGGTGCGTTTACAAACCCTTAGGTAGATACAGAGTGCTGATTGGTGCATTTACAATCCCTGAGCTAGACACAGAGTGCTGATTGGTGCATTTACAATCCTCTAGCTAGACATAAAAGTTCTCCAAGTCCACACTAGATTAGCTAGACACAGAGCACTGATTGATGCGTTTACAAACCTTTAGCTAGACACAGAGTGCTGACTGATGCATCCATGAACCCCAAGCTAGATACAGAGTGCTGATTGGTGCATTTACAATCCTCCAGCTAGACATAAAAGTTCTCCAAGTCCCCACTCGACTCAGGAGCCCAGCTGGCTTCACCTAGTGGATCCTGTGCCGGGGCTGCGGGCAGAGCTGCCTGCCAGTCCTGCGCTCAGAGCAGGGGGCAGCGCCTGTCGGGGAGGCTCAGGTCCCCCGGGAGCCCACGGGGTGGGGGAGGCTCGGGCATGGTGGACTGCAGGTCCCGAGCCCTGCCCTGCAGGGAGGCAGCTGAGGCCCGGCAAGAATGCGAGCTATTTGAGGGTGGCGTCAGTGAGCCGGCACTGCTGGGGGACCCAGCGCACCCTCCACAGCTGCTGGCCCAGGTGCTAAGCCCCTCACTGCCTGGGGCCAGCCCGCTGCCCCGAATGCGAGGCCTGCCAAGCCCGCAACCACCTGGAACTTGCGCTAGCTCGCGAGCGCCATGCGCAGCCCCGGTTCCCACCCGTGCGTCTCCCTCCACACCTCCCTGCAAGCTGAGGGTGCTGGCTCCAGCCTCAGCCAGCCCAGAGAGGGGCTCCCACAGTGCAGTGGCAGGCTGAAGGGCTCCTCAAGCATGGCCAGAGTGGACACCGAGGCCGAGGAGGTGCTGAGAGCAAGCAAGGGCTGCTAGCACGTTGTCACATCTCACTAAGACCAGGAGAATACCAGGCAAACCAGGATGGCTTTTCACCCTAGCCTGACTGCAAAGCTCTGTTACATTATCTTTAAGCCAAGAAGCACAGAGCTCAGATAGATCTCCCAGGAGGGCAAAGGACTCTCAAGAATATCCTAAGATGCTCAACATTTACCTTCTGCCTGAAAATCTGTTCTCCTCTCTGCAAGTGGGCCCTGGAGTTAGCCCTGTAGGACTGCGTGGATGGAGCTAAAGTCTCTGATCTGTTTTCCCATTCTAAGCCAAGCTCCTGCCACTGGCCCCCCTCAGTTAACACCCCTAGAAGATCCTTGTCCTGTGTGGAGAGCAGAGCCTTGTCCTATGTGGGACAGACCCCTGGTTCCTGTCCAGCTAGGCAAATGCTATTCCTTCCAGCTGAAGTAATCTCCAAATCCTCCTCCCTCCTTAAGACACCAGATAGAACTGCTTAAAAAATTAGAATAACCTCTACATCTTCCTAGTAAAATCCTTTCTCCTAAGAGTGTTTTTTTTTTTTTTTTTTTTTTTTTTTTTTTTTTTTTTTAGATGGAATTTTGCTCTGTTGCCCAGGCTGGAGTGCAGTGGTGTGATCTTGGCTCAATGCAAGCTCCGCCTCCCGGGTTCACGCCATTATCCTGCCTCAGCCTCTCGAGTAGCTGGGACTACTGGCACCCACCACCATGCCTGGCTAATTTTTTTTTGTATTTTTAGTAGAGACGGGGTTTCACTGTGTTAGCCAGGATGGTCTCGATCTCCTGACCTTGTGATTCGCCCGCCTTGGCCTCCCAAAGTGCCGGGATTACAGGCATGAGCCACCGTGCCCGGCCTCCTAAGAGTTTTAAAAGCAATATTATTGATGCCTGCATAAAGATTAAAATATACAAACTTCAGGTGAATAATGTCCAAGCTCTGTCCCTTTCTTTTTTTAGCTTGTCCTTTAGTAAATGATGACAATGGCATTTTGTAGGTGTTTTCCAATTTGAATATACCCAAATAATCGCCATTTTTGTTGGGGGTTCCTAGCCTGAGGTTTCTAGATAGGACTTGGGGGGATAAATGAACCCTACCTAAAGTTGTGTGCCCTGTTGTGTGTGTGTGTGCTCTTTTATAGGGCAAGAGTCTGTAGCTTTTACTACATTCTCAGAGCAGTCAGTGATTTAGAGATAGTTGAAAATCACTGGTGGAGAATTAACAAAAAATCAACTTGGGAATTTTTAAATAAAAGGTGTCTTTATTTTATAAAGTGATTCACAGTAGCAACCTGTCCCAGTGTGTTAGCCTATGATTCAAGCAATGGCCTTGATGTGTCAACGGATTAAGACAGAGCCATAAGAAAGGTGTGGTCAAGGCAGCAACAGGGAAGTGCGGCTGAAAGCTCCAGGGCACCATGCCCTGCCCTGCCATGAGAGAACCAGAGGCTTCGGACTCAGAGAAAAGAGTCCTGGGGTCCAAAACCCACTACCAAAAATTTTTTTGATAATCTTGGCCAGTGGTCAAGATGCTTGGTGTCTTATTTCTGGTGTATATGTATATGTATATGTGTGTGTGTGTGTGTGTGTGTGTGTGTGTGTGTGTGTGTGTATATATATAGAGAGAGAGAGAGAGCGAGCGAGCGCTTGGTGTCTAAGAGGCCACACATTGGACCCTGGACCTCAGTTTTAAGTTCATACCCCAACTCCACATCCTGTAGCCACATGATTTTGGAGAAGTACCCTGACCTGCTAAGCTGCTGTTCTCTTCCCTGTAAAGTGAAGATGGTACCAGTGCCTACCTCAGAGAATCTTGGTGAGGATGGAGTGTGATGATACATGCAAGTTAATTAGCAATACAGTCTGTGCCACATCAATGTCCCAGGCACTAAAGTGGATGGTGGCCATACATGAGGCTGGAATTCCTGACTTCTAGAAGCTTCTTGTCAGGAGGAACCTACTTGGTTGCTTTCTGTCTCTGACTCTTCAGTAGGACCTCACAGGCTGGAGAAGGGTTAAGGGAGGGGCTCCCTTAGGACACTGCCCTACAGAGCATCACTTCCATGCTTAGATGAACATCTTCTAGAGCTATGGATGAAGATTTAACACTTGGAGCCTGAGATGTAAACTGTGATGGTTAATACTGAGTGTCAACTTGATTGGATTGAAGGATGCAAAGTATCGATCCTGGGTGTATCTGTGAGGGTGTTGCCAAAGAAGATTAACGTTTGAGTCAGTGGGCTCGGAAAGACAGACCCACCCTTAATCTGGGTGAACACGAACACCATCTAATCAGCTGCCGGCATGGCCAGAATATAAAACAGGCAGAAAAACGTGAAAAGACTAGACTGGCCTAGCCTCCTAGCCTACATCTTTCTCCTGTGCTGGATCCTTCCTGCCCTTGAACATTGGACTCCCAGTTCTTCAGTTTTGGGACTCAGACTGGCTTCCTTGCTCCTCAGCTTGCAGATGGCCGATTGTAGGACCTTGTGACCATGTGAGTTAATACTCCTTAATAAACTCTAATATATATTTACCCTATTAGTTCTGGTTGTCAAGAGAACCCTAATACCAGAACATTTACACTTGCCCTAGTATAAGTCACTGAGTCTCAGTGGCATGGACCTGTTCTCGGGACCCCTCTTTCCCAGCAAATGCTTGAAGCAAGAACCATTAAATAATAGGACGGCTGATAATCTCCTGATTCCCTACTCACTACCATACACCTCCACCTGACCCCTCTTAGGCTCCCTGGCCTCCTTCCCTGGGGCCTGGCGTGGTGGAGCAGGTTGAATTCTCCCTCAATGTGCGTCTCAGCCAAGGACAGCCCACAGAATCCTTGTCTGTTTCATTCTCCCTGTTGCCATTGGCACATTAGCAAAGCAATCTGATAGACTGGACTATGTGAACACACTCTGGGAGACAGCCCTGTGCAGCAGCACAGACAGTGCTGACTGAGTCAATGGGAGAGATGGTTATGGCAGAGTAAGGGGAGAGGAGGAAGTGAGACCTGCCTAGGGACTGCCAAATGCCATCCTGTACAGCTGCTCTTTGGCTTACGATGGGATAAACTTACTGGAAATAGAAAATATTGTAAGTCAAAAATGCACTTAATACACCAAAGCTGCTGAACATCATAGTTTAGCCTAGCTTACCTTAAATATGCTCCAACAATTACAATAGCCTGTGGTTGGGCAAATCATCTAACACAAAGCCTGTTTTATAATAAAGTGCTGAATATCTCATGTAATGTATTGAATATTGTACTGAAATTGAAAAACAGAATTGAATTGCTGTATGGGTACTCCAAGTACAGCTTCTACTGAATGCATATGATTTCTGCACCATCGTAAAGTTCAAAAATCTTAAGTTGAACTATTGAAATTTGGGGGCTGCCTATACTAGGCTAAAGCCTACTCACAGCTCACTCAAGGCAGCGCTGAGGGCCTCCCCAGTGCCCAAATTATTGCTTTTAAGTAACTAAAAGGCAAGAGAATATAATGAACTCATTAGCCTTCTTAGTGACAGGTGCCTCATTTTACCAAGCTTAGGGTGGGAGCAGTACAAGATGATGGATCCTTTTCATAATTCAACTATATATATATATTCAGTTTTTAAAAAGAAAAAAAGCACTGAGGAAGAGGGGTAATCTGGCACCCCTGGGGAGAGGCTGGGCCTAGGCTTTGGATGGAGGTGGGTCCCTGGCATTATTCTTGGATTTCCTCTGAATCTTTGGACTCTGTTTCAGGTTTATCTGCCTGAATAGCTTCCCGTTCCCCACAGTGAATGAATCATTTCCTCTTCTAATCCCCTGCCAAACATTTCAAATCATGTTTCCTTTTCTTGGTTAAGTACCTAAATTGAACTCACTGTGATGAAAAAGCAACCCATGGAAAACAGTTTTCATTCTCATTTATAAGCCTCCTGCCATAAGGTTTTTGGGAGAAGCTCGTGGGCATGTCCCGGCTGGATGCTTTTGCTGAAAATCCCTTGTCAACACTGAGGCGCTGTAGTAGGTAAGATTGCACACAGCATCAGGAGTGAAAGGCCCTGATTCTGATTCACTTCACCGCAATAACCTAACGAGTCAGGCATTTGCCAACAGCTAACACTCCATCCAGAGGGAAATGGAATCATTTGAGACAAAATGATGAGCTTCTGCTGCCATCTGGTGGAGTTCTCACCTTTAATCATGTTAATTAAAGGGTTCCTCACCAGAAAATGCTGTAGAGTTAGTGGTGGTTCTGGAAGGGGTTCCTTGGACCGGCAGCATTTGTATTACCTGGTCACTTACTGCTGATGATATATTGTTAGTTACTTTATACCTTAGATTCCTTCATTACAAAATAGACATAAAACATCTAACTCATAGGGCTGTGAGGATACCCAGCCTCACAATGCAGATAAATGAACAACAATTTAAAAAACAGTATAAGGCACCCAGTATTAAATCTAACAAAAGATGTGCAATTATTTTAAAAAGTATAAAATTTCATTGAAAGACATTTGGGAATACCTAAATATTTGCAGGCTCCACCCCAGACCTACAGGATTAAGATGTACATTGTAATAGAAGTCCCAGGTTATTTGTATAGAGAATAAAGTTTGAGGTACTTAACGTTTTCTCCAGGGAGATAGGTAGTTACTATTGTTGTTGTTGTTTTGTGCCTTTGAATACCCTTAAGTTGTTTCATTTAAAAATGCTTTAAAGACAATCATCAGAAGACAGAGTATGGATTGGAGGTTAAGAACACAGAATTTGGGGTCAGATAGAACTTGTTTTGCATCCCGTCCCCATCACTGACTACTGATAACATGGTGAGTTACTTAATCTTTCTGGACCTTAGTTTCCTTAGCTAGAAAATGAACGTGAAAATATCTAACTCATAGGGTTGTGAAGACTTAAACAGAAAATACAGATAGCACAAATAGTAGTATTACAAAATCTGAAGTACCTAGTATTAAATCTAACAAAGGATGTGCAAATATGAAAAAAGTATGAAATTTCATTGAAAGACCTTCGAGAATACTTAAATGAAAGGAGAGATGAAACCATGTTCAAGGATAAGAAGAAAACTGTCATTCATCTTCAAATCCATCTATTCTAATGCAATTCAAATTATAACCTCAACTGGATTTTTATTGCTGAACTTGACAAGCTTATTTCAAAATTTGAATGGAAGAAAACAGCTAGGAATAGAAAATTCTGAAAGAGAAGAAGATGGAGAGGGTCACTCTACCAGATATCAAGACTTATTATAAAACTATAGTAGTTCAGGCAGTGTGCTATTGGCACAGTGATGGATGACTTGCCAGTGGAACAGAATAGAGAGTTCAGAAAGAGACTCATACATATTTGGAAATTGGATACATGAAGCAGTGGCATTACAAATCAATAGAACATGCATGGGCTAACTGATAAACATTAATTGGTTACCCACAGAGAAAAATTACATGTACTGTGTATTTACACATGTATATATGTGTGTATGTATGTATATATGTGTGTATATTTATTTAGACTTCTTGTTTATATCATACACAAAGATAAATTGTTACCCCGTTGATAAGAGATCTAAACATCTAAAGCAAAACTAAAATAAGTTTGAGGAAAATGCAGAAGAATTTTTGCATAATCTCAGTGTAAGAAAGAGCATATTAACAAAATCCAGTAAACCAAAATTATAAAGTAAAAGATTTGATATATTTGATTAGATTAAAACGTATTTATTTCTTTAAACCGGTACAAGTGCAGATTTCTCTGTTTTTGTTTTATTTTCTTCAAATTTTAGATTCAGCGGGTATGTATGCAGGTTTGTTACGTGGATATATTGTGAAATGCTGAGGTTTGGGCTTCTATTGAACCCAACACCCAGAGAGTGAACATAGTACCCAGTAAGTAGTTTTTCAACTCTTGCTCTCTTTCCTCCCTCCCTGTTTTGGAGTCCTTAGTGTTATTGTTCCCATCTTATGCCCACATGCATGCAATGTTTAGCTCTCACTTATAATGAGAATATGTGGTATTTGACTTTCTGTTTCTGTGTTAATTCATTTAGGATAATGTCCTCCTGCTGCATCCATGTTGCTGCAAAGGACATGATTTCATTCCTTTTTAAGGCTGAATGGTATTCCATAGTGTCTAAGTATCTCATATTCTTCATCTAAGCCACCATTAGTGGGCACCATGACTTTGCTATTGTGAATAGTGCTGCCATGAACATACAAGTACAGGAATAGCTTTAGTAGAACTATTTCTTTTCCTTCGGATAGACACATGGTAATGGGATTCCTGGGTCAAATTGTAGTGCTATTTTTAGTTCTTCAAGGAAACTCCAAACTGCTCTCCACAGTGGCTGAACAAATTTACATTTCCATCGACAGTGTATAGGTGTTCCCTTTTCTCTGCATCCTCACCAACATCTGTTATTTTTTGACGTTTTAATAATAGCTATGTGATTGGTGTGAGATGGTGTCTCATGCGGTTTTTGACTTGCATTTCCCTGATTATTAGTGTTGTCGAGCATTTTTCCATATGCTTGTTGGCTGCTTGTATGTCTTTTTTTGAGAAGTGTCTGTTCATATCCTATGCCCAATTTTTAATGGGTTTTTTCTTGTTGATTTAAGTTAAGTATAGATTCTGAATATTAGTCCTTTGTCAGATGTATAGTTTGTAAATATCTTCTCCCATTTTGTAGGCTGTCTCCTTACTCTGTTGATAGCTTCTTTTGCTGTGCAGAAAGTATTTGGTTTAATTAGGTTTCAATTTTTAATTTTATTACATTTGCTTTTGAGGTCTTAAAAGCATAAATTCTTTCCCTAGGCCCATATCCAGAAGACATTTTTTGTAGGCTTTCTTGTAGTATTTTAATAGTTTGAGGTCTTACATTTAAGCCTTTAATCCATCTTGAGTTAATTTTTGTATATGGTGAGAGGTAGGGGTCCAGTTTTATTCTTCTGCACATGGCTAACCAGTTTTCCCAGCACCATTTGTCGAACAGGGTGTCCTTTATCCATTGTTTATTTTTGTCACCTTTTGTTAAAGATCAGTTGTTTGTAGATGAGTGGCTCTGTTTCTGGGTTCTGCATTCTGTTACATGGGTCTATGTGTCTATTTTTGCACCAGTACCATGCTGTTTTGGTTACTGTAGTCTTTGTTCTTTTTGTTTAGGATTACCTTGGTTATTATGACTCTGTTGGTTCCATATGAATTTTAAGATTGTTTTTTCTAATTCCATGAAAAAATAATGTTGGTAATTTGATAGGAATTGTGTTAAATCTGTTAATTGCTTTGGGCAGTATGGACATTTAGAGCATGGAATGTTTTCCCATGTTTGTGTCATTTATGATTTCTTCCGTCACTGTTTTGTAATGCTCTTTGCAGACATCTTTCCCCTCCACGGTTAGACGCATTCCTAACTGTGCGTGTGTGTGTGTATGTGTGTGGCTATTGTAAATGGGATTATGTTCTTAATTTGGTTCTCAGCTTGAATGTCCTGGAGTGCATAAAAGCTACAGATTTTTGTACATTGATTTTGTTCCCTGAAACTTTACTGAAGTTTTCTATCAGGTCTGGGATTCTTTTGTAGGAATCCTGAGGGTTTTCTAGGTGTAGAATCATATTGTCAATTAACAGGAATAATTTGACTTCCTCTTTTACTATTTGGGTGCCTTTTCTTTCTTTCTTTTGCCTGATTGCTCTGGCTAGGACTTTTAGTACTGTGTTGAATAGGAGTGGTAAGAGTGGATATCCTTATCTTGTTCCAGCTCTTGAGGGAAATGTTTTCAACTTTGGTCCATTCAGTATGATGTTCATTGTGGGTCTGCTGAAGATGGCTGTTGTTATTTTGAGGTATGTTCCTTTGATGCCTACTTTCTTGAGGATTTTTGTCATGAAAAGATGTTGGATTTTATCGAATGCCTTTTCGTATCTATTGAGATAATCATATGGTTATTGTTTTTAATTCTGTTTGTGTGGTGAACCACATTTATTGATTTACATATTGTATTAGTCTGTTCTTGCACTGCTATGAAGACATACCTGAGACGGGGTACTTTACAAAGAAAAGAGGTTTAATTGGCTTATGGTTCCACTGGCTGTACAGGAAGCTTGATGGCTCACAGTTCAGCAGTCTGTGGAGGCCTCACAATCATGGTGGAAGATAAATAAAGAGCAAAGGCACATCTTACATGGTGGCAGGCAAGAGCATGTGCACGGGAATGGCCCTTTTTGAAACAATCAGATCTTGTGAGACTTATTCACTATCATGATAACAACATGGGAAAAACCTGCCCCCAATAATTCAATTACCTCCCACTGTGTCCCTCCCAGGACATGTGGGGATTATGGGAGCTATAATTCAAGATGAGATTTGAGTGGGGACACAGCCAAACCATATCATTTCACCTCTGGCCCCTCCCAAATCTCATCTCCTCACATTTCAAAACCAATCATGCCATGCCCACAGTCCCCCAAAGTCTTAGCTCATTCCAGCATTGACTTAGACTTTTGAATTAAGGCATTTAAAAAATGCCCCCCTGAGTAAGAAAGGGAAAAGCATTTTCCCTTTAAATTAAAAGGATAGAAAGAAAAGACATTCCTTCCCCCTTTTTGTACCAAAACAAAGTAATTAAGAATAGTTACATCTTATAATCATCCTCTGGTTTTGAAAGATCCACTTAATGTCACCTACTTCAAAGACATACAAATACTTACAATTTTAATTAAAATCAAAGAGGTTTCTGGAAGTCACAGTACCAACAGCTGATGTTTACTGGGTGATTCACATATTCCAGGACATGAGCTCAGTGATTTCAGCCCAGGACAAGAGCATTGGCATTGTTGGAGCCTGTTGGAACTGCAGAATATCAGACCCCACCTCAGACATACTGGATCAATATTTGGATTTTAACAAGATTATTAGTGATTTGTGTACATGTTAAGGTTTGGAAAGCACCGCTTTAAATGGTTTATCTCAAAGTCCATAAAAATCCTATATTTCTACTTCATGTCTTCTTCAAAAATTTGCACGTATTTTATATCTTCATTAAAAGCAAAGATGCTTCTGGAAGTTGTCAACCTATGTAACAGAGAGAGGCTCTCTAAAAGAAAATGATATTTATTCAGAATAGGATATTGCAATGGGAATACATGTACTATAGTAAACTATGTGAATACTCAAGGAGGTAAAGGTTTTTAAAGGAAAAATGATGAGGATTACATAATTGTTGTGAGATAATTACTTTTGGTTACAAGGATCAATAAGAAGGGTGATGTCTGTCTGAGGCTGGACAGGCTGTTTCTGGGTAGATGTCCTTGCAGAAGTATTTTTGTGTAAGGTGTGTAATATGGTTTGGATTTGTGTCCCTGCTCAAATCTCACGTTGAATTGTAATCCCCGGTGTTGGAGGAGAGGCTTGGTGGGAGGTGATTATTAGATCATGGGGGTGGATTTTCCCTTTGCTGTTCTTGTGATAGTAAATTCTCACGAGATCTGCTTGTTTAAAAGTGTGTAGCACCTCCTCCTGCTCTTTCTTCTGCCTGCTCTGGCCTTGGAAGATGTGCCTCCTTCCTCTTCACATTCCACTATGATTGTAAGTTTTCTGAGGTCTTCCCAGTCATGCTTCCTGTACAGCCTGCAGAACCATGAGCCAATTAAACCTCTTTTCTTTATTAATTACCCAGTCTCAGATAGTTCTTTATAACCATGCAAGAATGGACTAATATCCTGTAATGGCCTTTATGTGAGATTGCAGTTTTTGCAATCTTTTGTGATAGTTTTTGTTGTCATATATTTATGCATGAGAACTTTCTCTTCATAGCCTTCCCTGGCTCGATTTGTCAAGTTCTTTTTTTTAATGTAAGCAATTCAATTTTAATTTTGACAACTTTCACAAAGTCATAATACAAACAGGTAGTATTTATTGAGTATTAAACCTAGTCCACAAAAACCTTATGAGGCATGGGGTGGTATTACTGTTAACCTCATTTCCATAGATAAGGAAACAAGCTCTCAGAGATTAAGCCATTTGCCATTTGCCATTTGCCTAAGAACACAGCTAGTTAGTAGCAGGGGTGGGATTAAACCTAGGACATTCTGTCATTTGGTACAACATTGATGAACCTGGAGGACTTTATGTTAAGTAAAATAAACCAGGCACAGAGAGACAAATATTGTTTGATCTCACTCATATGTGGAATCTAAAAAATTGAACTTGTAGATGTAGAGACTAGACTAGACTGGGGGAAGGGTGTGGACAGGGAAAGGGGAGATGTTGGTCGAAGGGTACACAATTTCAGATAGACAGGAGCAATAAGTTCTGGTGTCTATTACACAGTACAGGGACTACAGTTAATAGTAATATACTATATATTTCAAAATAGCTGGAAGAGAGGATTTTGTATGCTCTCACCACAAAGAAATGATAAATGTTTGAGGTGATGAATATGATAATTACTCTGGTTTGATCATTACAAAATGTATACTGAGCCATCACAATGTACCCCATATGTTCAATCATTATTTGTCAATTACAAACAAATAAAACCTATTAAAAAAGAAAAAAAGGCCCACCTATTCTGGGCTGGTACCAGACCCTTACCTTCTGCACCGGCAGTCTCTCCTTGTGCTGTGAAGAGCATCGTGGCCAGACCAACTGACTTAAAGAACAAACTTAATTGTAAAGAGCAGCTGAGTAAACTGAGATATCTGGAAAAGTGATGATGAAAGGACACCCTCGAAAAGCACAAATACGTGTTTAAACATATGAAAGAACATACATTCATGCAGAGGTAGTTATATCATATTAATATGTAAAAAGGTAATTTTAAATGTCTTGGAGCTTTATCAAGTGAAGTCTAAGGGATGATATTCGATTTCCTTCTGAAGAATAATTCAATTATTTTGATATTCCCTCCTTTATTAAATATATTGGGCAAGAATACAAGAATTAGGAATTTAACATGACACAGCAGTGAATGAAGTGAAAAGTGCTGTGGCTTTTACTTATTGCTAACCATTTTTATTGCTGAGAGAACTTACTATAATACCTTAATACAGTGGTTCTGTTTTTTTGTTTTTTGAGACGGAGTCCCGCTCTGTCGCCCAGGCTGGAGTGCAGTGGTGCGATCTCGGCTCACTGCAAGCTCCGCCTTCAGGGTTCCCTCCATTCTCCTGCCTCAGCCTCTCGAGTAGCTGGGACTACAGGCGCCCACCACCACGCCCGGCTAATTTTTTGCATTTTTAGTAGAGATGGGTTTTCCCTGTGATAGCCAGGATGGTCTTGATCTCCTGACCTCGTGATCCGCCCGCCTCGGCCTCCCAAAGTGCTGGGATTACAGGCGTGAGCTACCGCGCCCGCCAATATAGTGGTTCTTAAACTTTAGCACACATCAGATTCATCTGGGGGCTTTTAAAAACACAGATTGCGGGCCTTATTCCCAGAGTTTCTGATTCAGTTGGCCTGGGGAGGGCCCCAAGGCTTTTGCATTTCTAACACACTTCTAATACATTTATAAGATGCTAAGCTGCTGGTCTGGGGACTACACCCTAAGAACCACTAGGATAGTATAATGTTCTAGAGTAAGCACCAAATCCCTAGAGATAGGTTTCAAGTTGGGCACAGGTGGCACAAACCTTCCCATGGTCAAAAACAAAAACAAACAAACAAAAAGGTGATTGGGAGCATCCAGCTTTTCCACATTGCAGGCCTTTCTCATGGTAAAATTTCTCCTTCTTTCCGAGCCAACCTCTTGCTGGCTTTCAAGAAGAATACGAGAACCAGGAAACAGATATTTATAAGGCTGAAGCAGGCCTAAGTTTGCCTTGTGGGCCTGTTTTTCTGCCTCTCTGCTCAGGCTTCTGTTCCTCCTCTAGGCCTGTCCTCCAGTCCCAGTGTCTCATGCTGGCTCTTTCTGCATCCAGCCCTGGGCTGAGTACACTATGCATTTTATTCCTGATCCTCAGGATCACTCCATCAAGTATGTAGTATTCTTATACAGATAAAAATCTGACACTCAGAGAAATTAAATAACTTACCAAATATGACAAAGTTAGTAGGTGGTAAGGTACGGTTTAAATACTGGTTAACTGCTTCCAAACCTCTTTCCCATTTCTCTGTTCTGCCCACCTTGGGGCAGTGGTTGTCCACATTGGCTGATGCCTGGGCCCCACTCTGCCCTGGGCAGTGTTTTTTTTTTGTTGTTGTTGTTGTTCAGGTGATTTAAATGTGCTTCAGGGTTGAGAGCCACCACTTTGTGGGTACCTGTGTGACTCCATCACAGATTTAAGAAAATTCTATTACCCCACAACTCTCTCAGATTGACCCAAAGGAGTGGCAGAGTGAACTCCATATTTGATATTTGAGGGAAAATTTTAAATCTTACCGCCAGTAGCAGCTTTGTCTGAGACTTCTAAAAGCTTCTTTCAAATACAGTTATCACAGCTATGTTAACAGGTGGGGAAATCTTGAAATACTGAATTTTCACAACACAGTAACTAGATTTACTTTAGGAAAGTAGAGCCCAAACTCTCTCTCTATAGTCCACTGTTTAACAAAGAATTGGTGATGGTAATTTATTAATGTTTTATAAATAATGATTTCTTATTAACAAAATACCCACTTTACCTTATGAAATAAGATAGTTATGTTTCTAGGGCTCAACTCACAAAACTCTCATCTGTTTGTTTGGACTTACCACACTCCAGAGGAATTCAGCTATATGCCTCAGAGCAAGTATTTTTATTATTTCTTCTTCTACCCTGGCTAAGAATGAAGTGAGTAATCTATTTTTTTTCAGGCTAGCAACGTTTTATACATCTAATTAAAACAGGTAGGCTGAATTGTCTCTTAGGGTAAAAGGGAAAAATGCTACAAGATCAGGAGAAGGCAAAATATGTTGGAAGACAAAGCCTTTAGAATTAGGCAAAACTGGATTCAAATCTGGCTTTGCACATTATCAGCTGTGTGATCTTGTGCAAGTTTAACATCTCTGAGTGCTCATTTTTCTTCTCTGCAATGTGTGGCTGTTGACATCTGCCTAGATCAGTTGTCATGAAGCTTAGCAGGCAGTATACAGTATGCAGTCTGTGAAAAGCAGCTATAAGTGTATGAAATAAAGTGATGGGGAGGGGGAAGGGGCTTAGGCTTTTAATTAAAGGTAGGACAGCTCTACCTGAATGTTCCCCTAGAGTTTCATACACAATGTGTTGGAAACCTAAATGTATCCTTCTCCTCAGTTTTGTATTTCAGTGTGTGGCATCATCAACATTTGACCCCCTAGGTAGTGAGAGACCTTGGAGTCAACCTCAATGTCCCATCTCCTTCCCTCTCCTTATCACAGGGTGTTGTTGGTTCTCTATGTCCCGGGTCTCTTAAAACCACCTCTTCTCCTCCGCCTCTACAGACACCAACATAAATCAAGTTTCCATCTTCGTTTGCCTGGACAAGTGGCAAGGCAGCACTGAAAGGATACTCCTTCCTCTAGTCTTCTCTGCCTTTTGCCTACTGAGCCCACTCTTCTGAGCTGCTGATAAAGGAATTTTACATATCACACATCCTTTGATGGATTGCCATTGCTACAAAGCAGAACCTAAATCCCATGCCTGGACGTTAGGCAGTCTACATTCTGGCTTCTGTGACTTTTGGCCTAATTTTTGCATCAGCCCCAAATTTCTGTTGTGCCACCATCCCAGTGGATTCTAGAATTTAGTCTTACACAATCATTCCATATTCCTTTAATGAGTCCTTTAGCATTTGTTCACTCCTTTCATGTGCCCTATCCCCGTACCTGGAATTACTTTTCCTCTTTTACTTACTCAAGTCCTGCAAAAGCCAGTTCCATTATGCTGGTCTCACTGACCTCTTTCTACATATTTCTGGTAAGAATGAATTACTTTCTCCTGAAATACCTCTGCCATATTGTTTAAAAATTGCCATATGGTGCTGGACATGAGTATGTGTTCACATGTTTATTATCTACTCTAGTCTCAATTTCTAAGGTCTTGAATATAGGAACCAATTTATTCATCACCTTATTCCAGACATGATGGAACTCAGCTTTATTGAGAATCAAGTGATTATAGTAGATAGTGACCATCCTGAGTATGTTCATGTGTTACATAACAATGTTTTGGTCAACCAAGGACTGCATATAGGAAGGTGGGCTCATAAGATTAATATGGAGCTGAAAAATTCCTAATGCTTAGCCATATCGTAGCCATGATATTGTAGCACAATGCATTACTCATGCGGTGATGCTAGTGTAAATGCTGCCTTACCAGTCATATAAATGTATAGCACAAGGGGCCAGGTGGGGTGGCTTACGCCTGTAATCTCAGCACTTTGGGAAGCTGAGGGGGGAAGATTGCTTGAGCACAGGAATACAAGTCTAGCCTGGTTAATGTAGGGAGGGCACGTTTCTACAAAAACTAAATAAAATTAGCCTGGCATGGTGGCATGCACCTGTAGTCCCAGCTACTCTGGAGGCTGAGACGGAAGGATTGTTTGAGCCCTGGAGGTTGAGCTGCAGTGAGCCATGATCATGCCACTGCACTCCAGTCTGGGCGACAGAGCAATCCCCATCTCAAAAAAAAAAAAAAAAAAAAAAAAGAGTACAGCACATACAATGATGTACAGTACATAATACTTGATAATGACTGTGTAACACGTTTATGTATTTGCTATATTATACTTTTAATTGTTATTTTACAGTGTACTCTTTCTAGTTATTAAAAAAAGTTAACTGTAAAACAGCCCCAGTCAGGTCCTTCAAGAGATATTCCTGAAGAAGGCATTGCTATTATAGGAGATGATGACTCCGTGGGTGTTATTGCCCCTGAAGAGCTCAGTAGGACAAGATGTGGAGGTAGAAGACAGTGACACTGATGATCCTGGCCCTGTGTAGGCCTAGGCTAATGTGTGTGTTGGTGTCTTAGTTTTTAACAAAAAAGCTTTTAAAAGGTTAAAAAAATTAAAAATTTAAAAATAGAAAAAAGCTTATAAGATATGATTATAAAGAAAGAAAACATTTTTGTACAGCTGAACGATGCATTTGCTTTTTAAGCTAAATGTTATTACAAAAGAATCTTTAAAACATTTGTCCTCTCTTACCTCCCTGAATACACATGTAGTTTACTATAGCATGGGTATTCCCATATTCCCATTACAACGCCCTATTCTTAAATAAATATCATTTTCTTTTAGAGATCCTCCGTTCTTCATTTAGGTTGACAAACCAAAAGGCATTTCAATAAATATATGATCCATTACGCATTGATTTCAAAATTTAAACCTTGGAAGGCAATTCTTTTTTTCACATCCTGAATCAGCAATGCTTAGAAAACAAACACCATCCTATCTGCCACTTATCACGCTTCAGCTGTATTTTCCTTCATCCTGGTCCTTGAACACAGAGGCCCCTTTCTTCTTCCAGGCCTTTGCATTTGCTGATCCCTCCTCCTGGAATGACTTATTCTAGCTATTTTTATATTTGGAATATTCTCCGTATTTGAGTCTCACCCAAATGCCTCTTTCTCAGAAAGGCTTTCCTTCACCACCTTAAACAAAATGGTCTTCTCCCATAAGTTTATCATGACCCTGTTATTTATCTATTTATTTTTGAGACAGTGTTTCACTCTTGTTGCCCAGGCTAGAGTGTAATGGCGTGATTTGGCTCACTACAACCTCCGCCTCCCAGGTTCAAGCGATTCTCCTGCCTCAGCCTCCTGAGTAGCTGGGATTACAGGCATGCACCACCACGCCTAGATAATTTTGTGTTTTTAGGAGAGATGGGGTTTCACCATGTGACCAGGCTGGTCTCGGACTTCTGACCTCAGGTGATCTGCCTGCCTCAGCCTCCCAAAGTGCTGGGATTACAGGCGTGAGCCATTGTGCCTGGCCTCATGACCCTGTTTAGTTCCTTTATAATATTTATCCTAATACAGATTCATCATGTTTATTTGCTGTGTTCCTCCACAGAATGTAAGCTTTATGAGGGCAGGACTCTTATCTGACGCTGCTTCATTCCAGGGCCTGGCACAGTGACCAGCACATAGTAGAAATGTAAAGGTTTGTGAAATGTTAAATTGAAATGTCATTGCAATCACTGCATGGAATTATTGTTGAGATAGCAGTATAACATTAGCTATGTACACTTGTCATGTCATATTACTGTTTCAGCCGTCCTCAACCATCCTTTGCTCTTCCATGGTGTCTTGAGTCAGAGCACTCCTTTGAGTATTCTCATATATAGACCAGAGGGACCCTACTCTATTGTGACAGGCAGGATTCTGCTGTTCAGAGTGGGTAAGTCAGGTCTAGTCACCTCTCACAGAGAGAGCTGCCTGCCACTCAAGAGAGTTTGAAGCTAAACCCCAAGAGTCCAATGAGGAGGGCCAGAGGGAGCCGGAAGACCTTAGTTGAGTGGATCCTTTGCTGCAGTTTTTAGTTAAGACACTAGGTGGCAGGTGACTATACTTTTGGATACACCAGGAGCAATTAGCATTACGGTGCTTATCAAATGCCGGATAACTTTCCCTGCTGACATAAAATGTACAAAAATTTTAATTATTTGACAGGATGAAAAGAATTATGATAAGGGTGTTAGCTTTAGTTTTGGTCTATAGAGGGTAAGATGTATCCTGAAACTTTATTTTCAGATGCACAAAGGAAATGTACAAAGTGGGAACATTAAAAAACCAATCGAGTAGAAAGATTAATGTCAGCTCCAGGGTATCACCAGGAGAGATATCTTTATATAATAAAACTGAAATCGGTACTTTCACTGCAATAACAGCTTTGTACCTTTTGGATTAATAATCTAATTTAGTAAATAATTTATTGCATTTTTCTCTTTTCAACTTGAATCTCCAGAGGGATTTAAAAAAATCCTTTCAAATATAAATGGATCAAAGAATCCATTGTTTCCGTAGTAACCTTCTATGCAGAGTCCTGGGTGAGACTTTATTTTCTGCCAAGGTCACAGATCCTGCGGAAATTAGTCAATCAGGCAGCACATGCAAAAGCAGATTGTTTAGGTATTTCCTTCTGTTAGGCGAAAAACGAAATGCTCAAGTCACCTGCCATTCAATAAAGAAAGTAGGACACAAAATGTGATAGACACAATAAATTCTAATAAACAGATTTCCTTTCCATTTTGTGGTCTTTAAAGGGTGGTAATAAGGAAAGTAATAGGTAAATGGTCATAGAGGCACCTAGCAAAGGAAGAGAGTGTGAAAGGAGGAGTAAGGGAAGGAGATGTTGAAGGAGAGAGGGAGAGAGACATTCACACAACAAGGAGACCAAAGGGAAACAAAAGGAGTCACATCAGAGAAAGATAGATAGCGGAGGGGGAGATGGGAGGTAGGTTCGTAAACCAGAAGAAAAGCAGAAGGAAAACAGAGGGAGACCAAAATCCAGAGAAGGAGGAGCAGGGGCAGAGGTTAGTATGTTTTGAGATGTTTTCATTGGTGGCTATTTCTCTAGGATTTCTTAATCTTCAAACTTTAGAATAAAATAATCTGTAATTTGAATGTTAAATAATCAGTAAATTATTTATTGCTCTTTACTCTTAAGCTTATAAAGCTTAAGCCTTATAAGCTTTTCTTGAAATAAATGTGAGTGAGCTTCCTTCAGGTTGCAAGAAATACAGAGAGGCTCAGTTTTGCGCAGAGGATTAGGATATGCAGAAAGAATATGCAGGTAAGGAAGGAAAACAGGGACACATAGAGCTGGGTTTTTCCGAAAAAGAGGAGTTGGAGGACCTCTTAGGTGAGAACATAGTTCTAATAACTAGGTGTCTTTTCACTAGGTTAGCACCAGGGAACTGTTTTTCTCTCTTTGGTTCTTCATTCCCATCACTTCTCTTTCTCCGTTTCTGTGACTTCTCCTGTTATCAATGATTTTTTGTCTATGAATTCAAACTTCCTAATATGAAGGGTCCATACTTGGTCCATCGTCATCCATATAATGTGCCCTTACTGGGTAGGGCTCTTGCTTGAGGCTGTGTCAGAGACTGGCTACTCTTGGGTTAGGTGCCCACCATAGTTCAAAGAAATCTGATTAAACAAGGAGGACCATGTGGTGCAATGCATATATAAAACCTTTCTATATTAGACTGTGTGTTTGCCAGGTATCTAGAAAGGGAGAGAATAAAACTAAAAGGCATCTTGGTTGGTCTTGATTGGCAAGAACGATATACTCTACCCCATGCCCATAAGGCAAACCATACCTTTTTTTCTTAGACACAAGGGTTTAATAATGCCCATACAACCTAATCAAACCACTACCAGTACACTTCCCTCCTGAAAGTTGTCTAGCCACTACCTTTGGAAGAAATGATACAAAACACTTCAAACTTGCAGTCTGAAATCAACAGAGCTTGAGGGTTTTTTTTTTTTTTTTTGCCTAATGAAGCAATAATACAGGATATTTTGGATAAATGAGAAGGGGAAATGTGGGAATTAAATAAGCTCTTTGAGGAAAAGGAGAGAAAGAGCAGAAAAAGGAAAAAGACTTCCCTCTTGTGAGGAGAAAAGTGTATGGGTTGTGGGTGTACCTGGACCCAATTACTAATAGAAAGAAAATAGCTTATTTCAAATTTGCTGTAGCTTAATTCTGTGCCCCAAGTGTGTGGCACAGAATTAATCAGAGTTGGTAGTGGGGCGCCTATGGAGGGGGGTGGATTTCCAGTCTCTGCAAACATTTTTGTATCTGCCATAAGATGACCTGACTTAAAGTTACCAGAGTGTGAGGGACCTGGCACTTAGGCAATGTAGATGTAGTGGCATTCATGATGGCCTGAAGAATGAAGACCCCCAAAGCAACTGAAGGATAGAGGTATTTTCTAAGCACAATTAAGACTTCCAGGTTCTTATTAGATTTGAATAGGAAGTCAGCCCGATATTACAGTAGATGAATTTTTAACATTACAGCTTGCTTAGATAGATACATTTATATTCCACTTGATTTGAGAAAATAAAGAAACAGATATTTTCTAATTCCTGAATTTAGAGACTAGAAATCATACCACCTGCATTGATTTCAGCACTGGGGACCAACAGTGAATAAGATCAGTCTGAGGACAGATTGGGGCACTAACCACCAGTCCCTCCTTCTCTTTCACCCCCTAAGTTAAGATAGGCCTTAGTCAAATTGTGTTTTTTACACTGTGCATTTGTCTGACAACTTGAAAATATTTTGTAAACATAGCCATACTCTAAAAGTCTCACAAAAGCTGTATATCAGTGATTGTATTAGTCAGGGTTCTTCAGAGAAACAGAATGAGTATGTATCCATGCTACGGAATTGGTTCATGTGATTATGGAGTCTGAGAGATCCACGGTCAGAAGCTGGAGACCTCCAGTCTGGGTCCGAAGATGTAGGAACCAGAGAAGCCTGTGGTATAGTGCCAGGCTGAAAGCTGGCAGGGTCAAGATCCAAGAAGAGCCAGTGTTTCAGTTTGAGTCCAAAGGCAGGCAAAACAACAACAAACAATGTCCCAGCCCAAAGCAGTCAGACAGGAGGAGTCCTCTCGTACTAGAGGGAGGGTCAGTGTTTTTGTTCTATTCAGGCCTTCATGTGATTGGGCCATCCACACTGGGGAGGGAATGTGCTTTACTCCGTCTACTGATTCAAATGTTAATCTCACCCAGAAACACCCTCACAAACACACCCAGAATAATGTGTGACCAAATACCTGGGCACCCCATGGCCCAGTCAAGTTGACATATAAAATTAACTATCTCAGTGATTATTTTCCATTTTTCTCATAGAAAAACGGAGGTAGGACAATGTTTATTGATTTGTCCTGTGGGATCCAGCCCATGTCACCCAACTCAGAGGCCACAGAGAGAAATAAGAGAAGTAGAGCCAGGCCATTGCAAATCTTCCCAAAGACATAAAAGCTGCAGCCCTAGAGACAGGGCAGCTGAGAGGGGAGCCAGTTTTCCCCAGTGCTTGGATGGGTGGGATATGACAGGACTTCTTGGCTCTGGTCATATCTGAGGCTGACCCAGGGAACTAGCTGGCCTTTGGGCAGACTTGGGGGTCCTGTTCTAATTTGGCTGGAGAGAAGTCCATGAAAGGCAAAAAAAAGTTATTTTCATGCACTGGGCACCAAAGGAAATTGATGGCAAAGACAGAACATGTTTTCCTGTAGGCTGAGTGTAAGCCCTCATTAGGCAGAGGAGCCAGAGCTTATTTATAGAGAAGCACTACCATTTTGTTATGTATGGGCAGCAAGTCCAGCGAATTCTCATCAAGCAGGTTGTACAAGCTCTGATTACAATGAATTTTCATGGAATTAGTCTCTGAGCACAGGACCTTCGGGAGTGTGTAGAGTCATCTTGACCCTGTGGGGAGGTAGAGATAGAGCCTTGCAGACTTCACTACTGCCAGCCCCCTAGTACTGCTGGCCTCTCCCCCTCCCCCCTTCTTTTTCCATTTTTCTCTCCCCCTTTCTTTTCTTCTTCCACCCCTCCAGATCCTCACTGGGGTGACTCAATGCTGTTGTCAAGCCACAAAACCACCCTGACCCCCACTTTACACATCTAGAGGGATGATATTTACTTAGCAGGGTTATAATGAGGCCTGAATAAATAGCATATATGAATGTCCTTGCATAGAGGAGACACGATAATTATTTGGTAGGAAAGAAAGAAGGTGAAAAGAAGGCAGTTGCTTAAGTGCTACTCAGTATATGGAAAAATAAATCACTCAATGGAAAGTTCATCACGGGTAGGATGAGAGGAGGGTGAGTCAGAGCAAACTAACGGAGGAGTGTGATGTTGGAAGGTGCAGGTTGCCTCTGCTGCTGCTGACGTTATTTGAAAGAGATATAAGACTAAATCTCTAGTTAGTGGTAATTAGAGGAGCTCCCTAGGCACTTCATGTAGCTGGGATGGTAGCCTTCTTGTCCTGCCTGAAATCAATTCCAGTTTGTATAATTACGTCCAGACAGCAGGGTCCCAGCTGCAAGGTTTTACACAAAATATTTTCTCCATTGTACTTTCTATAATTAGTATTTCACGTAGGTGAGTGGGGGAAAAGGCCACAGTATCCCACCTGGTATCCTTTTCTTTTTTAGGGCAGATGGATAAATTCCTTGACATATTCTGACATTAGGAAAGTCTTGAGAATGCATGAAAATTAAAAGATGTTTTGCAAGTATTTTTCATTTTGCTTTCTGATATGCTCTTCATAACAATGAAATATATGAGGTCGTGGATCCTAAAAGTACAGGATGATGCCATCTTGATCACTGTCACCTGTTATGGACTAAACTGTGTCCCCCACAAAATTCACATGTTAAAGCCCTAATGCCCAATATGACTGTATTAGGAGATAGAGCCTTTAACGAGGTAATAAGGTTAAATGAGGTCATAGAGGTTGGACCCTAATCTGATAGAACCGGTGTCCATATAAAAAGAGGAAGAGACAACAGAGATCTCTCTCTCCTCACATGCTCAGAGAAAAGGCCATGTGAGCACACAGTGAGAAAATCACCAAACACAAGTCAGAGAGCCCTCATTAGAAACTAACCCTGCTGGCACCTTCGTCTCAGACTTCCAGCCTCCAGACTGTGAGAAAAAACCTGTTGGCAGCTGAGGATTCTCAACATGGTGCTGTAGGTTGAATTCAGTGGAGCCTCCACTCTCCAGGGCTTATCTCGAGGTGGGCTGCTGTGTTCCATCATGAACACAGAAGAAAGCATCTCACAGCAAGTTCCCTCATATGCTTGGCTACATTTGTTTTTCATGAGCATGGCTGTAGTGACCACAAAGAGCTCTATAGCTTAGTCCATGTTTCCTATTGCTGGTTTTAGTTTCCTATTTTTGCTGAAACAATTTACAACACACTTAGTGGCTCAAACAACACAAATTTATTCTCTTACCATTTTGGAGGCAAAAGCAAAAAATCAGTTTGATTGAGCAAATATCAAGAGGTTGGTGGGGTCGTTCCTTCTGGAGGTTCTGAGGGGAGAATCTGTCTCCTTGCTTTTTTCAGCTTTTAGTGGCTGACTGTATTCCTTGGCTTGTAGTTACTTCCTCCTTCTCCAAAACACATTGCTCCAGCCTCTGGTTTCATCTTCAGGAGTCAGTCTTCTCCTCTGGCTCTGACTCCTCTTGTGTCCCTCTTGTAAGGACAACTGTGACTGTATTGGGCCTACCTGGCTAATCCAGGACAATCTACCCATCTCAATCCCTTGATCTCATCTGCAAAGTTCCTTTTGCCATATTAGGCAATATTCACAGGTTCTGGGGGATGAGATTAGGACATGGACATCTTTGGAAGAGGCATGATTCAGCCTACCATACTATTCCTACACCTCACACTCCTAAGCACAAACCCCTTATAGAGACCACCCCATTTGCAGCTCTCTGCAGGCTCAGTATATCCCTCCTGAGTGGATTGAATATTTTTTCCTTGAACATCCAGGTCTTATGCCACGCCACCTCCTCCAGGAAGCCTTCTCTCCCTTCTCCAACTCACTTTGACTTCTCATAGTACTTAAATAAGAACTCCATTATTTGGGTCTAATATGTTATGTTGAATTTTAACTCTATTTTGTTTCATATATATTTGTCTTTTTTCTCTAACCAAGCTATATGTTTTTTATCTAAGTTCTGCATATTTTCTCTATGTTCTTCTTCCTCGTTCCCCTGAAATACTTTCTTTGGCCTCTAGGTGGCCTTCTCCTTTATTCTCCCTATCCATTTCAGGTTCTGTGTCATCCAACTGAGTGCCTTGCCTGAGCCCATCACTGTCTCTGCTTCTTTGCTCCCCATCCCACCCTTGGCATTGGTTATGAGTCAGGCTTCTGCTCTGGTCCTTTCGAGGTCTTGTTCTGGGAAGATTCCCTGACCCCACTTCCCTCCATGACTGGGGTCCTGTCTTCCCCTTCGGTGGCCCTTCCCTGAGGCCTGGAGTTCTGCTGCTGATTCACAGCTTCCCTAGTGACGAATTCCCAGGTTGTTTCACATAAACTCTCCACGTAATTCCTGTTTGATAATAATCTGGGGACCCAGGCCACTGACTACACTTGTGGCTGGTCCTAGTCCATATGTTGGAACTCTTTTTCCTCACCTTGAGCCACTGGAGTTGCCAATGGGGGAATCATGTTTTTATCTACCTAGATAAACATCCGGTTTAGTATCTGAGGCAAATCTCCCAGCCCATTTTATGCCTGCATGTGCATGTCCATTGCCAGCTCTGATCCTCTGCACTTGCTATCCCACGTTTCTGTGAGTAAGCAGATGGGCTTCATGAATGATTCCAAGATATAATGTGAATCTCCCACAGTGCCTAACATAGACCTAGCCAGTGTTCAAATCCAGGGCCAATTGACCGGGGAATTGGTTTTACTCTGTAGATTCCATATTTGACACACTCAGGACAAAATATACTTGAGATGCATCTGGAAAAAGAGCTGCTTCCTTGGTCTTGCCTTTCTCGAAACATTAAACTTAACTGCAATTGCCATTTGAAATCCATTTTTTGAGAGCTTGCTATATGTAAACACCAGGAATAATAAGAGAAAAAAAAATCTTGCCACAATCCTCACCTTTAAGCAACTCCTAAGTTAATGTGGTGCATAGAAAACAAAAACAGAGTTTACTATAATATCATAGCCGGTGATATCATTTGTAGGATTTACTGCAAAATAAAAATTTGAAACCTCTTGTTGAAAAAGCAGATAAAAGGTGACATAAGCAGTACTAAAATTTGAAAATTCTTTGTTTTCTGTAGGTTATCTTGACTTGGCATGGTATTTTTTAATGTGGTGTTTAATATTCTAAGTAAATAAAAAATTAAAATTTAAATTACTAGAATGAATTTTGTCATCCATCTTTATATTCTACAACGCTGGTTTTAAATTCAAATATGACAACATTAAACTCACGCAGAATCATCGAAATTACATAATCTTAGTATTTTGTTTTTGGCAGAACAGTAGAAATGCTCCACAAGGCTAACTCGACTGTTTTTCTGTTTACATCTTGACATTCATGCATTCTACCAACACTCTACTTTTAGTTTGCTAATGAGTAATGAACTGCAAGCAAAGGAGCTATGGGTTGCCCTATCTTTCCCTTTCTTCTATATGATTTTCTGCAGGAACGGTTGGCTAATATAGGGAAGTAATAAGAGGTGGAAAAAACGAGAGTTTCTTGCTCATTCATGTTTCTTACAACATCATTGCTTTCTTTATGCATTCAGAGAAAGTTCTATTTGGAAGGTGAGGCATGGCCTCTTGGAATTGCAAGTGCCACTGCTTCCTCAGTAGTACATGTAACATGCTTACCTTGTACTATAATTTTGAGTCTTGCTGAACTCTCCTGCATTGTGGGTGCACTGGAATTCTGTGATCTTTGGCATTGCAAATTATTTATGCGAATGGGGCAGTAAGGAATGGCTGACATGCATTGGCTTAGTTCAGCTGCTATAATAAAATGCCATAGACAGTGTGGCTTAAAAACAACAGAAATCTATTTCTCACACTTCTGGAGGCTGTAAGTCCAAGATCAGCGTGCCAGTGTGGTCAGGCTCTGATGCGGGCCTGCTCCTGGGTGGCAAATGGCTATCTTCCTGGATTCCCACATGGTGGAAAGAGGGCAAGAGAGCTCTCTCTGGGATCCCTTTAATAAGGCACTAATCCTATTCATGAAGCATTCACTCTCATGACTAATTTCCTCACATCTCCTAATATCATCACACTGAGGGCTAGGATTTCATATATACATTTTACATGCACATTACATGTATCTCTTCTGCTCATTCAGTCCATTGCACACATATTGCATGTATCTCTTCTGTTCATGTGCATACCTCATTGTTCCATTGGACTTCAGCTACAAAACACAAATCAAAGCTAAAATTATTGAGAATTTCAAGCTGATGGCAACAGAGCATTAAATAAAGTGTGGGGCCCTTCAGAGTACAAGGCTCAATGATACTGCATAGGTCACACACCCATGAAACGGGTCCTGATGGCAATACCCTCTAAAAAATTCCATGATCAAGACATGCTCAGGGTTAGAGAACACGTCACAAGATGGAGAGAAGAGAGAAGGACTTTCTACAGGAGGTGACGCTGGAGCTGAAGCTTCAAGGATAAGAAAGATTTTGCAAGTGAACAAAGGAGAAGAGCATGTTCGTAGGGTGACAGCAGGTGCAACGGCACAAGGCACACTAAAGCATTGTGTGTTTGGGGGACGACAGCAGTTTGATGGAATTGGATGCAGATGGGTATGGGGCCACAAAGGAAGCTGAGATTTAAGAAATCCTAAAGAAATGTAAGTGCCAGGCTGGGCACAGTGGCTCACGCCTGTAATCCCAGGACTTTGGGAGGCCGAGGCGGGCGGATCACGAGGTCAGGAGATCGAGACCATCCTGGCTAACATGGTGAAACCCTGTCTCTACTAAAAATACAAAAATATTAGCCAGGCGTGGTGGCAGGCGCCTGTAGTCCCAGCTACTTGGGAGGCTGAGGCAGGAGAATGGCATGAACCCAGGAGGCGGAGCTTGCAGTGAGCAGAGATCACGGCACTGCACTCCAGCCTGGGCGACAGAGCAAGACTCTGTCTCAAAAAAGAAAAAAAAAAAGAAAATAAAACAGAAATGTAAGTGCCAAATGAAGGAATTTAAACAATCCAGGAAGCTACGAGTGTCATTGGAACAATAGAAGCAGGAAGGTGACACAAAATAATTTGTTCTCAAAGAGTTTCTTTAATAATTATGTGGAAAATAGGTTTGGAAAAAAAACTATAGAGAGAAACCAACTTAAAGTCATTGCTATGCTATAAGAGAGAAGCTAAAACTGGGATTCTTTAGTTTTTTTCTCTTTAAAATAAAAAAGTGAGAAAGAACCATATTAATGAATGAAATAAAATATTAGCTGAAAAATTAAAGCATAATGCCACATACAGCAATGACAATTGCTATAGCTGGGTTTTCCCCCCCTTTTTTTGAGACAAAGTCTAGCTCTGTCACCTAGGTTGGAGTGCAGTGGTGTGATCTCGGCTTACTGCAACCTCCACCTCCCGGGCTCAAACTATTCTCCTGCCTCAGCCTCCCAAGCAGCTAGGACCAAAGGCGCACATCACCACACCTGGCCAATCCCCCTGTATTTCTAGCAGAGACAGGGTGGTCTCTGCTAGAGGCCAGGCTGGTCTCGAACCCCTGATTCCAAATGATCCGCCCGCCTCAGCCTCCCAAATTGCCAGGACCACAGGCATGAGCCACCGCACCCGGCCATAGCTGGGTTCTTATATCAACTTCTAAGCCATTCCTTCAAAGCACTGGTCAAACACTTTGACAAACATGGCTAAGAGAAATGTCTACTCTAATTTGGTCTATATTCTATTATTCTCTTGATATTTGGGCTTGCTGATCCTCTTCTGAATTTTCTACTGTTTTTCTCATACACCCACCTGTACTGAACTATTGACTTCTTTATTATGAGCTACAATACAAACTAAAGTGACCACCCAGTCTTGTTAGATAAGTTTTTCCAAAGTTCAGTCTTTGGTAAGCACAGAATCCTTATAAACAGTACTGCTTTTCTCCAATGTGCTTTGCTAAATGTCCTCCACCAATGACTTATTTATTACTTCGAGGCTTTTCTGTGTAAAAGAAAATAAAATTGCAGGACCCTCTAAATTTATTATGCCAAGGAAGAATTTAAGCCCTGGAGACTGAGTCACAGAGCATATTTGCAACTTCTGCTTCTTAGATTATAAATTAGCTCTCTTCCTCATTGTTCTTGTTCTGTAAACAACCAGAGGCCAGACCTATTCGCCTTCCAGTCACTGATCTTTTTTATAGATTAATTGCCTCCTTTATTGTCCTGTACCTAACTCAGACCAGATGACAAAAAAGACCCCATGACTGTTACATCTGTAATGTTGAATTTTAAATATGCCTTCTCGAAAGAAAAAGACCACCTCGACTAATCAGATCATTGTAACTATACATCAAGCCTTATACAGAAAGATGTTGAAATTCTGTTCACCATCCCCAAGCTTTATCTAAAATAACCCCAAACTTCTACACTTCAGAGCACTGACTTCCATTCATCAGAATCTGTGTTTTGCAGGCAGCCATCCTCAAACTTTGTGCTTGAATAAACTCTCTTTAAACTAGATTCTGACTCTTTCGGTTATTTAGGCTGACATCTGTTTCATAAGTGCTATTTGCTCTGCTTCTCTTCTCTTCTTTTGCTGTTCTCTGAGAACTATGGGATTGGTGTCAATGTATCCATCAGTACTTTTAGTAAGGGAAGAGAGGAGCACTTTATGCTTCTGTTTTTCTGTGAAAGGGACCTGCCCATACTGAGGGAAAACTGGAAGTTTTCTCACTATGGAGAACAGGGATTGTGCAATATTCATGAAACACCGTCAAGCAATCCTTCTGTTGCCATTGCTAAAGGTTTAACTGTGGAACAATTCTATGCATGTTGCTGGCTATGCTGGTTTATCTTTTTAATTAATTAACTAGTTAATATTTATTAATATTATTTTTAATTGACGAATCATTTTTAAAGCAGGAGCTTAACTCTGCCAGCCAAGAACTATTTTTCCAACATTGTTTAGTTGTTGTGCAGATCTTACTTATTTAACTTTGCAAGGAGTTGGAGAATAGGAACCAGTTTCCAGTCTCACCCTGACTTCCTCACTGTTGATTTGTCTGTGCCCAAGAACTTTGACTTCCTACTTCTATTTACTTTTCCCCTCTGGTTCGTCCCATCAAATTATTCCTTGATTAAACATAATTTATCACAGCAGCGCTTTGCTATCTTTTCCATGTAGTGGCACATTTAGGACATGGTGTCTGTATGGCACACTGGGGTTAAGGGACAAGGCCACTTGCAGGTGGCAGGAGATGCTCTGGGGGGTTCTGGCCAAGTCAATTCCACCCATCTGCTCCAAGGGTTGAGAGAGTCCTTAGGTGAGTCCTTACCTGCAAACCATTTGCAGCACAACAGCCTTTCCTAGCACATACATTGGAAAACTCTGTAATAAAGAATATTTAGCCCTTCCAAGTATCAATGTTAACTATATCAATGCTTCTTAAATTTTTATATGCTTGTGTATCATCTGGGTATCTCACTAAAAATGCATATTCTGATTCAGTAGGTCTGAGATGCTGCATTTCTAACAAGTTCCCAGATGATGCCAGTGTGGTTCATGGACTGCATTTTTTGTAATAAGGAACTGGATGATTTATTAATACAACTTGCTCTGAAAAATTATAGAAGAATTCAAGTCACAGGAAATTTCTTCACTTTTAAAATTAGTTAGCAGAGCATCAGAAACAGTATAAAACAGCCTGTTTCAAATTGTAAGTGCTCTAATACTCTCATTTGACTAAATCTGCCTTGGTTCAGTTTCACATATGAAATATCTGAGAAACTTCAAAAGTGTTCTTCTTGATAACCCTCTAAAGCCTATTTTAAAGTGATTTTAATGGGCAGTTCCTTGTATAAGGAACAGTTGCCTGGAGTGCAGAGAATTACTACTAAATTTGTTTTTCTTATAATCGAAGAAAGACCCTTATGAATGAGACGTGATAGCTGATTATTTAGCAAGGCTTTTGTGCTAGATTGAACATACTCAAAGAAAAGCATAATTATGTTAAAAATTATTATATTCTCCTAGTCCTTGCTATAGAGAAGTTATGCTATTAAAGGAATCACTCAACTTTAACAAAATATCCTTTCTCCTCAAATTGTAACTAAAACTTTTTGCTCTAGAAATTACTGTTTCTCTGTCAATGAATGCAGATTCAGAGACGATAGGTGATATGTTCCATCTCCAAATGGAAATAAATTTAAAAGCAAGTGCAAAAATGACTTTAAGATAAGTGAAAAGTGTTATTATAATGTCTTTAAAAGAGGGAAAGAGTTCCCAAGATTCAAAACATTTTGAAAATAAAAATGTAAACTTTCCATTTTTAATACACACCAGTTTTTAAAGAAGAAAAAGGATTGACATACTATGATATTGAAAATGAAATATACGTCTATTCATATTCAAATTATAGAAATTTTGGAAATTTTTGCCAGAATACATGTTTACAAAAGATCCAAGCATCTTTCTTGAATGTCCTTGAAAAGTTTACTGAACATTTGACAATTTACTCTATCAATCTTTGTAATATGAGCATCAGTTGGACCTTTGAACATAAATTGAAGAGTGGGGAATGAGTTTGACATTACTTAGATATCTGTTATCTTTAGAGTAATGTAAATTAAATCATTTTCTGAATGAAACTGTTTTGGGAAGGAAGGGTAGTTGTGGTAGTAAATTTGAAAAGCTGAAAAAGAAAATCGTTGTCTAACTTTATAACCTGGGGAAGAAAGAAAGTATGTGGGAAGACAAATTAATAATTCTTGAGGCCTAAACATTAATAGTCAATTGAATAAAATATATTATGAATGTTAACTGCAGAATTCCAGTACCAATATATGGCAGTCTTCTTCCTAAGCAGAACTAAAAAATGTAGGTGGAGCTTTTTCTATATGAAGTAAATAGTTAACCAATTTCACATGAATCCTTTCTTTGAAGATTGCATAGAGAAATCATGGGACAAAGTGAATGACTATGGATGAGTAGTTTTATGGCCAATAAATTGTAGTACATGGTGTGTTACATTAGAGAAAAGGGCAGTCAGACTTCATGCTTCAAAGTGTAAATTGATTACTCTCTTGGGCTCTGATCATAAATCGTTTTTCTGGCCATCTTATTGTAATTTCATCCAATTGGTAAAAAGCAGCTTTAAAAAAAGTGTATTTGAAGAATTAGACCACTATAGTTATCAGATAAAAAAGCCCAGTAAACTTATGTTTGCATGAAGAAAATATGAATTTAAGCCGGGTACCGTAGCTCATGCCTGTAATCCCAGCACTTTGGGAGGCCGAGGCAGGCAGATCATGAGGTCAAGAGATCAAGGCCATCCTGGCCAACATGGTGAAGCCCCATCTCTACTAAAAATACAAAAATTAGCTGGGCATGGTGGCGTGTGCCTGTAGTCCCAGCTACTCGGGAGGCTGAGGCAGGAGAATTGCTTGAACCTGGGAGGCAGAGGTTGCAGTGAGCCGAGATTGCACCACTGCACTCCAGCCTGGCAACAGAGTGAGACTCCATCTCAAAAAAAAAAAAAAAAAAAAAAAAGAAAGAAAGAAAGAAAGAAAATAATATATGAATTTAACATGGCTTATAACATCCATATTAATTGCATCAGTTTTGTTTATGAAAAAAATAATAACACCCTAGAAACTATTATTCCTTTTGAAGTGACTACAGTTGAGGTAATTACATCCAGGTGATGACTGGATCATGGAACAAAACTCTATACAGCTAGAGTGCCAGTAAGGAAAAGAAACCTGAGCTACATGAGCTGCCTCAGCGAGCTGGCACTAGTATAGGCACTTTGCACATATGATCTCATAGAGATAATTATTTTTAAGAAAGACCACAGTTAATAAAAATAGAAGCTCTCTGAAACAGTTAAGCAGAGCTTCCAGAATATTCCTTATTTAAATATCATGCATAATTGGAACAAAAATAAAGAATACTATTACCTAAATAGTAAGGGGAATTTGTTGATCTTCAATGTTTCTCAATCAGCATTTCCTCCTGATTTGAATATAACTGAGCATTTCTTGCAGTTAAAACCTCCTAGAATGTGTCCACAGAGCTGAAATTGGCAATAGCTTCACCATTTTTCATGATTAAGTATGTTCAGTATTCTTATTGGTTACCCATTTCCTACTGGTCTTTCTGCTTACAAAAAGATAGCTTTTACAAATTAAAGAAACAATCACTTACCTTCTGTGTCCCAACAACCCTCTCATCACAAAGATGATATTCAAAATATTTGCCTACTTAACGTAAGTAGCAACTATTCAAAACACCATACCAGTCCTCTCTGTATATTTACCAGCATGACTATCCTGCATTAGTCAGGAAATCAGGAGAATGGATATTCTCCCCACCTAACCACCTTCAATCCTAGCATGTTACTCTTGAATGTTGGAGTGCATTATTCTATTGGTGTGTAGGATTTGCAAACTCTAGGCACATGCTATAGACCTTCTGAGCTAGAGGGACAAAGGTCTGAGCGGCTGTAATGGGTTGCTCTTAAAGTCAATTTTGCTTTTCATGGCAAAAAATGTGCTGTACAAACCTTTCTAGCTGATGTGGTGAATTGAAAATGAGGGGTTCTGTTTTCTGAACACAAAATTCTATTGCTTAAATAATCAGAGCTATTATAGAAAGAAATAACACTCTGTTCAATAATAGCTGAGGCAGTGTGAGGTAGTAGAAAGAGCAGAGGCTTTAAACTTGAATAAATCTCGGTTTGAAGGTGGTTTTCCTACCTTGATGATCTTGAGTATGTTACTTATTCTAATTTACTTCTATTTCCTCATCTGTAATACGGAGATAAAAATGCTCCATGGGGTTTATCTGAGGTTAAAATGGGATCACATACATAGAGGGCTTAACAGAGTGCCTGGCTAACACCTAGTAGATGTCTGATAAACAGTAAGATTATTAATTGTCTTCTCAACTCTTTGTGAATTAATCTGTGGTTAACTCATGGTAGGTATGTAATTTATACTGGAACTTTTACTTTGTACCAGCAGTTCTTTACTTTGGTGTTGGTTGTAAGGGTCAAATCTATCACCGATGTGGCTGCCTTTGGAAATACTTGCTTTTATGAATTGCAATCTTCTGCCAAATGGTTACTAGATTTCCAACTTATTCTGATGAGCTAACTTTCTCATCATACTGTTGCTTCAGCAAGATCTGTCTCTGATTCAGCTAAGCCCCTGGATTCTAACCTACATTGAACTCCCAGGATAGGAAATGTGGCTTCTCTTCTGTCTTGTGGCTATAACTATTCTTGTTTAATTCAAGGCACAATTGAGCTCATTTATATTATAGTATCTATCAACCACTAAATTAAAAAGCCACCTGCCAGTGTTAAATTATGATATGATACAGCCCATTGAAAAAATTATTTCCCTGGACCTTTAAAACCCCATTTAAACAAAACGAAGATTTAAACCAAATACAAAAACATATTTCTAGCCACAGGGGAAAAAAAAGGAGCCATTCACAAGTAGTTACTAACTTTTCACCTTATTGACCCTCAAAGAGCTAGTGCTACCACCACCTAGTAGTGGGCAAGATAATTAACTTCATAGAGCCTCAGCTTCCTTATCTATAAAATGGGATAATAAAAGTATCTACTTTATAGGGAGCTGGTGAAAAATAAATGAGCTGGTGAAAAATAAATGAGACAATATATGTAAGTGCCTAGAATAGAGCCTGACACATAAAATTTTTCAGTATATCTTAGCTGTTAGTTTTTACTCTTGAAAAGACATTTCATTATTGGAAAGATATTACAATCGTTTTAAAACTGTTTTGTTAATAGAAACGCCAGCTGTTTCACCAACTCGTGTCTAAGAAAGTTGTTAATAATACAATCCTTGGACACCAAAGACGAGAAAATTTGTCCTGCACGTCTCTATATCTTTTCAAAAACCATTGCTTGGCTATTATTTATATTTTTGAAATATTAAACATCCAAAAGTTTTAAAATATGTGTGTTTGTTTTTATATGGTTTCTGGTCCTTGGCAGATTTTTATGAGTTGTTGGGTGACTGGGCAACTCTCTCAATGTCCTTCTTTCTGTTAGCCCCTAATGCTTTTGCCAGCAAGAGAATGCTGGGTGCAGTTAATCATAGATGTGTTTGATTGTGGTAATTCTTTCATTCTAAACACATATTGCTTTTCCTTAGCTCCCCAGCCTACCCCTCAACTTTGCTATGGTATAATATTAAAGCAAAGGTTTTGAGCAGTTTTAGTATAGATGAGATCTGAGGTAGGAGGTGGGCAGGTTGGAAGGAGAGGCAGCCTGTATTCTATGAATAAGTTTAGATATTATTCTGTAGGTTAAAGATTAATTAAAGGCCTTAAGAGTGGAGTAATAGGAATTGTTCTGTTGGCAGGTAGGATGGGCTGGAGGTAGTAAACTTGGAGGTGGGGAAATCAACTGGAATAAGCCAACTAAGACATGATACGGGTTTAGTCTGGAGCGTTGTGAGTGGGAATGGAGAAGGGCTGAAGAAGCTGAGATAATATATAAGATAAACAGTAAATCAGGACGTAAAGTCCGATTAGATATAATGGAGTCTAGGAGTTTCCCAGTAAAAAAAATAGTTTCTTCCTCTGTAGCACAACTTACATATTAATATCAATTAGCCATAACAGTATGTGCATATATCTGCCAGTTGTTAATCTATTGTCTCAGTTCCAAACTCACCTGTGATGCTGGGGCTGGCTCTCTGCAAACCACGTTTCAGCTTGGCCTGATGGTGCCATGCTAGACTCTGCCAAAGGGTGCTAGAGGGAGACGGGAAACTCGAGAAAAGGGAAGTGACCGAGTCCTTCCTGTTTGTTTCCTGTTCCTGCAGCATCACCCAGCAGTGCATTTTCGCCCTGGCAGCCTGCGTTGTTCCAGTTTCCAGTTGTTTTTCTCCCTTGCAGAAGCCTCCTCCTCATACACCCACAGAAACACCAGTGCCAACTAATCAGCTGCCTTCTCCTGGGAAGTTTGAGTTTAACTTGAAAAGACTCCTCCTCTAAACTTCTGGATTCTAATGACCCCAGCTTCTTCCCTGTGTTTCTCCCATCCCTAGAGGTGAAGGCTGCACTCACTTTCTCCATATTATGTCCATGTTCCTACTTGCCTTTTCAGACCTCTAACACCAACTTCCTATATGACGTTTTGTCTGTTAAAATAACTGGAGTGATTTTGTTTTATTTTCCTGATACAATATCTTTGCTAAATTCTTTCCTACTTTGCTCCACCTAGTTTAGGTGCTGCCCAATGTCATATATATTTACACAAAACAAATATCAGAGGAGTGAATGAATGGGCGGTTACCATCTAGGTCAGGGGTCCCCACTCCCCTGGCCATGGACCGATACTGATCCCTGGCCTGTTAGGACCTGGGCCATGCAGCAGGAGGTGAGTGGTGAGGCAGCATTACTGCCTGAGCTCTGTCCCCTGTCAGATCATCATCGGCGTTAGGTTCTCATAGGAGCACCAGCCCTATTGGGAACAGTGCATGCCAAGGATCTAGGTTGTGGACTCATTATGAGAACTTAACAAATGCCTGATCATCCAAGGTGGAACAGTTTCATCTTGAAACCATCTCCTCCCACCCCTTGTCTGTGGAAAAATTGTCTTCCACAAAACTGGTCCCTGGTCCCAAAAAGGTTGGCGACTACTGACCTAGGGATCATCGGAATTCCATACCTATCAAAAATAATGAAGAGAATAAAAATTTGGCAACCCATGGTTAACATTAATAAATCTTGGCGTCTATGAGAGAAGGAACACCATGGAAGAAAGGGTACTGGACTTGGAGTCAAAAGCCCTTGTTTCTGTCTACCCCCTCTACCACTACCACTTGCTGTTTGGTGTCTTAACTTCTCAATACCTTGGTTCTCACTAGTGGACAGCTCACAGGATTTACTGAAAAATCAAGTAACAATACAAATGTCTTTTTGACGAGTATATGACATAAATAGATGCACACGGTATCTCCTTTTTCTTTTAGTCTCCCCCTCTATTTTTCTGTTTGTTACTTAACAGTTCTCATAGTAAATGTGGGCAAAAAGTTGTACGAAAATAATAATGGTACTAACATTTGTGGAATGCTTATCATGTGCTAGACACCATGTTAAACATTTTACATATATTGAGTCCATTGGTCCTTACCAGAGCCTGATAGTGTCAATATTATTATTATCTTCATCTTACAAAAAGGGAAACTGAGCCAGAACTTCGAAATTGTGCCCATGTTAAGCTTTACTTTAAAGATAGTGGATCTAGAATTTGAACATATGTGCTTAAACTCCAGACCTTGTCCTGGAAACTTTCCCAGTTCATTTAATGTCTCAAAATATGTTTATAATAGAGAAAGAACTGAGTGTTTTGAGAAGAGCCCCCTCCTTTGAACAGAAATTGTCAAGCAAGTAATCATATTAAACCTTATTACCAAAGATTCAATTCAAATACAACTCCTGGCATCAACCTCCTCCCAGCCAAAAAAATACAGTAAAAAAAAAAAAAGAATAAGAGAAGAAAATTATCCAATTCTGAAAAGAATAAAATACACTTAAATGCTCTAAGTTTAATAAAGACTTTTTTAAGGTGGGGCGTTCTGAAGGACAGCCATAAAAACCATTAAAGGTTTGGGCAATATATGCACTAATCATTCTAACAGCGATTTCTCAGGCTCTGTTCCTTTCACCCTTACTTTTCTGTCTTTCCCTAACTTGTGATTTTGGGAAGGGTCTATAAAAATTCTAGCATAATTTGCTTTTTCCAAAAGAAATCACAAATCATGAAATCATGAATCACAAAATAGGTAAAACAGTATTTTCTATACAAACTTATGCATTGACATTCACATTCTTTTCTAAAGAGCCTATCAATAAGAATATATATTAATATTTAATGGTTTCTAGTGTGTTAAAACTTGGCATATATTCCATTGAATGTGTTTTCTGGTTTTTAATTAGTTTTTTAAAAATAATTATTTAAACATATTTTAAACACTTGTAATAAATGCTTGCTGAGCCCCAGAAACAACTCTGAGGGAGGGTTACAGTTTGCAAACCGCTAATGGAGGGAAATGCAGGCTTCCAGCCGCGCACTGCTCACTCCGTCCCAGTACATAATGAGATGCCATTCTCCCCTTCCTGAGTACATTTATGCTGGCCCACGCTCCTGGCAAGGGAGCAGGCGTCAGGCTCCATCGATCTTAGACACACAGCGAGTCACTTATCCATATGCTCAGAGTGTTTGACGCTGTGTCCCTGCCCAGTCATAAATTAGTCACTTTCAACGAGTGACTGTGAATATGAAGGAGGCATTTTCTGAAATACGGATCTTGTTTGAACAATTAGAGATAAAGAAACCAATAACCATTTTTCCAAATTTATTATGTATCTAAATGAAATAGCTTCAGTCTGTGGCCTCTATACATACTAATGAAAATATTCTACCCCTTAAACCTACTCCCAAAACCTCAATTCTAAAATGAGGAGAGCAGATATAAATAAAGTGAAAAATTTGCCTCTCTTTCTTTTCCTTTACCATAAGAAGGTCACTCTGCCTAATTTGTAGACATATGTTTTAGAGTCAGAAGGAAACTTAGAAATAATGCAGGCTGGTGTCTTGCAAGATGTCCTGTGCAAGAATTTCCCAAACAGTATTTCTTATGACCTCGGATTGAACATTCTATTGCAAAGAGTTTACTAATTCCTCATCCCACCCTTGGGAGGCAGGAATTTATTAGAAAGTTCTCTTTTATTGCATGTGCTACAGTTTAGTCAATTATTAGTTGATGGGTATTCAGATTGTTTATTTATTTATTTATTTATTTATTTTTTGAGACAGAGTTTCGCTCTGTCGCCCAGGCTGGAGTGGAGTGGCGCAGTCTCGGCTCACTGCAAGCTCCGCCTCCTGGGTTCACACCATTCTCCTGCCTCAGCCTCCTGAGTAGCTGGGACTACAGGCACCCGCCACCACGTCCAGCTAATTTTTTGTATTTTTAGTGGAGACGGGGGTTTCACCATGTTAGCCAGGATGGTCTCGATCTCCTGACCTTGTGATCCGCCCGTCTCGGCCTCCCAAAGTGCTGGGATTACAGGCGTGAGCCACTGTGCCTGGCTATTCAGGTTGTTTTTAAGGCTTTGCAGTAAACATATTTGTATGTATATATGTAATTCTCAGTTTATTTCATTAAAGAAGACTCCTGTAAGTAGAATTGACAAACCAAAGTATATGTGTGCACTTAAGATTTTTTTAAATAGATAATGCTATATGACTTTTCAAAAAGGTTGTGGCAATTCATATCCCAACAATTTATGATGGTGACTATTTTCCCACTGGATTTTATCAAACTTTTGCCTATGTACTGGCTGAAAAAAATATCCCATTGTTATTTTAATTTGTGTGCCATGATCACTACTGAGGTCAAACATCTCTTCATATGTTTGTTTGTTATCTGTGTTTGGTCTTCTGTGATTTTTTTTCTCTTTTTGGTTAACTTGTTGGCCTCTTTTTCTTTGGATGGTTTATATTATAAATTTGAAAGAATTCTTAGCTAATTAAAGGTTGACCTTTCTACTGTTACTGTTAAAACTTAGTTTCTGTTTTAGCCTTTCAGGCTGCTGTAAAAAATGTTATAAACTGGGTAGCTTATAAACAACATGAACTTATTTCTCACAGTACTAGAGGCTGGGAAATCCAAGACCAAGGCACCAGCAGATTCAGTGGTTGGTGAGGGCCTGCTTTCTCATAGATGGTGCCTTCTCATTGTGTCCTCACATGGAGCAAGGGACAATTGAGCTTCGTTGGACCTCTTCAATAGAAGCAGTCATCCTGTTCCTGAGGGCTCCATCTTCATAACTCTCCCAATATCATCACCTTAGGGTCTAGGATTTCAACACGATTTTTGAGGAGACAGAAACATTCATACCATAGCAATTTCTAGCTTCTTACTACCTTGCCTTGCCTTTTCTGAACAAATTCATTTTTCAGTGATTCTCTTAAGATGTGATGCTTTCTCATAAATAAATATCTCACCCTAGAAGTGATCCGTATAAGGCAGGGCCTTGCTACTCCAAATGTAATCCATTGACCAACATAACCAACATCGCCCGAAGCTTATTAGACTGCAGAATCCCAAGCCCTACTCCAGATATGCTAAATCAGAATCTTAAGTTTTACAAGATACCCAGCTAATCTGCATGCACATTAAAACTTGAGAAACACTGTAGTAGAGCATGAAGGGCCCATAACTCCTGCTGCTGACTTCAGTATTTACGTTAAGATTACTAAAGTTTTGTAGATCATAGTAACGAAGTTCTCTATTTGGTTTTCAAATAAACTATTGGTAAACTGTTTCTTTAGTTAATCATGAACATTTTGTCCCTAAATGCAATATTTTGTCATTATCGTCATTAAATTTCATCACATTTATTTCAATTCATAATTCTGATTTACGATACTTTTTCTACATTTTAGTGTAGAAGCTCTTATTACCCAGTTTCTGGGGAAATTAATATAAAATTTTTAATAAAGACGTGTGGTAGGGCACCAGATTAGTCCCATTATACTCACTTTCCTTTGTCTTATGGACATATTAAATCCAGTTAAGATTAATTTTAAGACTAGCCTTATGGGAAAAGAGAAGGAAGAAGATATCATGTACAACACTTACATGAAAATATCTATGTATGTGGAAGTACTACAGTGACTTTGATCCTGTTTACAAAATAATCACCTCTTGACCCCTTGTTCTCACCAGCTGCTTGCAGGATAGATCCAGACATCAACTTAGGACTGTGTTATTGCCCCACGGCAGCGGTGCCTGAAAATCATTACTGCAATGATGACTAGGCCCATAATATTTCCAAGTTTCTAAATGCAGTAGAAGGCATCTGAGAGCCAAAGACAATTTGTTTTTCAAAAGTATACTGAACCTCTGTTCTGGACAAGATGTTGTAAATTTGTTTCTTCCTGTTCTGCCCCATGAACTACAATGAACTGTAAACCCTTGAAATTACTCAAGAGATGGCTGAAAGAGAACTCTGAAAGGTGATAAGAACAAGGAAAACTGGTGTGGGACACTAGTCAGGAGGAATAGCACAGCGGAATGGCATCTTATGGGCCCTAGCTGCCACAAGAAGGCAACCTAGACTTGGCATTTCCTGACCCCCAACCTACAATAGAAGATAGCCCAAGTTGGCTCATTTCTCTCCCACATCAAAAGAGAGTCTCTCTGAAAATATCCCTCTGAAACCAGGTGACACGAAGGGCAAGAGGAATAGAGCTAGAACCCCTGCTAACAATAAGTGTCTGGGAAGCACTCCCCTTTTCTGCCAGGTGGTGACTATTCTCCTGTGCCGAAATATACCTAAGCTAGAGGGAGAAACTGGCAAGAGGGATGCAGCCATAACAATTGGCCAGGCCTCTGGAAGCCTCTTTGAGCTCAGGACCCTGCCCAGGGACACCAGGGCAGCACTGGGGCATATTTGTAAGAGGATTATGCCACAGTAGGTACCTGGCCTAGGAAGCTCCCCACCTCCACTTCCACGTGCCTAGGACTCCTTCCCCACTGGGACACATGGGAACAGGCAGGCAGAACCAGCAGAAAGGACCCAGCCACACAAATGGTTTCCCCCAGAAAGCCTCTTTGTCCCTGAGACCTGAGTTCTTCCTCCATGGAGAGACAGAAGCAGCCTAGTCTAGGGAAACCCCTTCCACTTTCTTCAAGCAATACTGGCAGGAACCAGTGGACGCTCCAGTAGCAACAGGTAAGCCAAGCAAACCAAATAACAGGCCAAAGCTCTGAAAATTAAACTGCTATTGGAATCATAGCCTGCAAAAGTAAGCCAGGACCTGTGTGCTAAACCTAAATAGGGTAACTGCCTGCTAAAAGAGCTTTAAATAAGACCTAGCATCTCCTAAAAAAACAGACAAAATGTCCAACATACAATTTAAAAACACTGGCTACACCAAGAACTAAAACATCCCCAACTTCAACAGGAAAAGACAATCAACTAATGCTAACACTGAGATGAGTCAGGTGTTGGAATTATTTGACATGTATTTTAAAGCAACTGTCATGAAAATGTTTCAACAATAAATTGCAGATTCACTTCAAACAAATGAAAAAGTAGAAAATCTCAGTAAAGAAATAAATATGTCAAGACTAAATTTTAATTTTTTTTTCTGAAGTAACCCATAGGAAGATAATAAAAGATAAACAGAGGAAATGAAACAAGGAGAAATGAACAGAAAACAAATAGTAAAATGGAAGCCCTAAGTGCCCTAAATGTACATTGTCTAAATATACCAATCAAAAGGTGAGATTGTATTACCTATTTTCTTATGGACCGCATACAGTTGAGCATATGCTCAACTATATGCGGTCCATAAGAAACTCACATCAAATTTAGTGACATAGGTATGTTGAAAATAAAAAAAAAATGGAAAAAGATTATCATGCAAACATTAACAAAGAAGGCAGAATTGGCTATATTTATATCTGATAAATTAGACACCAGAGCCAAGAAAATTGCTAACAACAAAGAGAGACATTACATAATGATAAAAGAATTAGTTCACTAGAAAGTCATATGTTTACATACCAAGCAACAGTACTTCAAAATACACATGGCAAGAACCAATAGAACTGAAAGGAGAAATAGACACACTCACAACTATAGTTGAAGACTTCCATACCCTTCTCTCAGCAACTGACAGAAAGACTAGAAAGAAAATCAGCAAGGATATAGAAGATCTGAACAACACAATACACAAACAGGATCTAATGACATATATATTAATGTCAAAAAATATATATATGGCAAAAACTGCAATTACTTTTGCATCAACATAATAGAACGAAGATTCCATCCCAAAACAGTAAACTATGTACCCTTTTCAAGAGAACACAGAACATATACTAAGACAAACTGTATGCTGGACCATAAAACAGACACCAACAAATTTGAAAGAATTAAAATCATACAGAGTATGTTGATAATAGAATCAAACTAGAAACCAATAACAGAAGACAGGAAAATTTCTAAAAATAAGGAAACTAAATAACATGCTTCTAAATATTTCATACGTCAAACAGGGAGTCTCAAAGGAAATTAAAAATATACAGAACTGAATGAAAATGAAAATACAACATATGAGATTATGTGGGATCTATCTGAAGTAGTGCTGAGAGGGAAATTTATGGCACTAAATGCTTACATTAAAAACAAGGAAAAGTCTCAAATCAATAATTTAAGTTCCTACCTCAAGAAACTAGAAAAGTAAGAGAAAAATAAGCCCCAGACAAGCAGAAAGAAGAAAATAATAAAGATCAGAGTGGAATTAAATAAAATTTAAAGCAGCAAAATGACAAAGAAAATCAATGAAAATAACTAATTCTTAAAAAAATTAATAAAATTGATAAACCTCCACCAAGACTAACAAAAATGAAAAGGCAGAAAGTAAAGTTAGATCATTACAAATCCTACAAGATAATAATGGAATTCTGTGACCAACTTTATGATCATATATTTAACAACTTAGAATATAAATCAATCAATTTCCTGAAAAACCACAAACTGGGACATGGATGAAGCTGGAAGCCATTATCCTCAGCAAACTAAGGCAGAAACAGAAAACCAAACCCACATGTTCTCACTTGTAAGTGGGAGCTAAGCAATGAGAACACATGGACATAGGAAGGGGAACGACACACACTGGGGCCTGTTGTGGGAGGGCGAAGGATGGGAAGAGCATTAGGGAAAAGAGCTAATGCATGATGGGCTTAATACCTAGGCGATGGGTTGTTAGGTGCAGCAAACCACCATGGCACACATTTACCTATGTAACAAACCTACACATCCTGTACTTGTACCTTGGAACTTAAAAAATAAAACTGGAAAGAGGTCAGTTAGGGCCACTTACAAGCTGTATAATTAGAAAAAACAAAAACGAAAACAAAAAAGAAATACCACAAACAACCAAAATTCAATCCAGATAAAATAGGTAATACAAATAGCCCTACAACATTTAAAAAAAATGAATTCATAATAAAAAATATGAAAAAAAATCTTTAGATATATGTCAGGTGCGGTGGCTCACACCTGTAATCCCAGCACTTTGGGAGGTAGAGGCCAGTGGATCACTTGAGGCCAGAAGTTCAAGACCAGCCTGGTCAACATGGCTAAACCCCATCTCTACTAAAAGTATAAAAATTAGCCGGGCATGGTGATGTGTGCTTGTGACCCCAGTTACTCCGGAGGCTGAGGCACGAGAATCACTTGAACCCCCAAGGAGGAGATTGCAGTGAGCCAAGATTGTGCCACTGCACTCCAGCCTGGGTGACAGAGTGAGACTCTGTCACCAAAACAAAACAAAACAAAACTTTAGATCTAGATGATTTAACTGGAGAATGCTACCAAATACTTAAGGAAAAATTAACTCCAATTTTATAACCACATCCTCCAGAAAATAGAAGAAGGAACACTTTTCAACTCATTTTATCTGGCCAGTGTTGCCCCGATACCAAAATCAGACAAAGATAGTAAAAAAAGAAAACAACAGAACAATATCTGTTATGAAATTAGACAAAAATTTCCTCAACAAAACACCAGCAAATCAAATCTAAAAATGATTTAAAAGAATTGTGCACCATGACCATGTGGGACTTATTCTGGGTATGCAAGGCTGGTTCCTCATTCCCAAATCAATCAGTATAATCAACCATATCAACAAGGTTGATAACATTCAAGAAAAATTATATGGTCATATCAATTGAAGCAGAAAATGTATTTGAAAGCCTGGTGCAGTATCCCTAGCAATTTGGGAGGCCGAGGTGGGAAGATCCCTTGAGCCCAGGAGTGCAAGATCAACCTGGGCAACATAGTGTGACCCCATTGCTACAAATGATTAAAAAATTAGCTGGGCATCGAGGCACGTGCCTGTAGCCCCAAGTACTCAAGGGTCTGAGGTAGGAGGATTGCTTGAGCCCAGAAGAGTGAGGCTAAAGTGAGCAGTGATTGTGCCACTGCACTCCAGCCTGGGTGACAGAGTGAGACTCCGTCTTAAAAAAAAAAAACAAAAAACAAAAATTGTAAAAGCATTTGAAAAAATCCAATGCTCATTCATAATAAAAATTTCCAGTTAGTATAGAGGAGAATTACCACATTTTGATAGATAGCATCTACAAAAATCTTACAGCTGACATCATACTTAATAGAAAAGGACTAAACGCTTTTCCCCCAAGATCGGTAACAAGGCAAGGATGTTCATTCTGTCCATTCTTACTCAACATAGTACTAGAGGTCCTAGTCATTGCAATAAGTTGAGAAAAAGAAATAAAATTCTAAAGATTGAAAAAGAATAAAATTATTTCTGTTTGCAGAGGATATGGTTGTTTATGTAGAAATTTCAAGAAATGTACCAAAAAGTACTTCTAGAATTAATGTGAATTCAGCAATGACTCCATACAAGATCAACACACACAAATAAATCTCATTTTTATATACTAACAATAACATGTGAAACTGAAATGAAAAAATACAATACCATTGCAATTCCTCCAAAAATTAAAATATTTAAATATACATTTGACAAAATATTTTATAGGATCTATATCTTGAAAATTATAAAATGCAGATTAAATCTTTTAAAAACTAAATAAATGGAGAGACATATCACATAGCTAGATTAGAAGACCCAACAAAGATTTCAATTCTTTCCAAATTGATCTATAGGTTTAATGCAATTTCTTTCACTATTAATTAATTAATTAATTAAATATACAAACCAATTCTATGGTTTATTTGGAATGGCATGGGCAGAGAGATAGACACATGTAACAATGAAGCATAATAGAGAACCCAGAAATAAACCCATAGGAATGTGCTGTTTCGTATGGTGCACAGGTACAAAAACAATTTAATGGTGGGAGGATAGCAGTCTTTTTGACAAATCCTGGAGCAATTGGACATCCATATCCAAAAAGATGAACATAGGCAAGAAAACTTCATGCCTCAAAGAAAAATTAACCAAAAATGGATTGTAAACATAAATGTAAAATGTAAAATTACAAAACTTTTAGGAAAACACAAGGAAAATTTGAGAATTAGGGCTAGGCAAAGAGTTCTTAGACTCCATGCATGAAATACAATCCATAAAAGGAAAAATTGATGCATTGAACTTCATCAAAATAAAAACGATTGCTATGTGAAAGCCCATGTTGAAAAAAGATGAAAGACAAGCTACACAATGGAGAAAAGATTAGCAGACCGTATGTTCAATAAATGACTAGTACCTAAGATACACAAAAAAGCTATCAAAACCCAACAGAACAAAATGAATCAATCCAATTAGAAAGTGGGCAAATGAGGCCGGGCGCGGTGGCTCACGCCTGTAATCCCAGCACTTTGGGAGGCCGAGGCGGGTGGATCATGAGGTCAGGAGATCGAGACCATCCTGGCTAACAAGGTGAAACCCCGTCTCTACTAAAAATACAAAAAATTAGCCGGGCGCGGTGGCGGGCGCCTGTAGTCCCAGCTACTGGGGAGGCTGAGGCAGGAGAATGGCGTGAACCCGGGAAGCGGAGCTTGCAGTGAGCCGAGATTGCGCCACTGCAGTCCGCAGTCCGGCCTGGGCGACAGAGCGAGACTCCGTCTCAAAAAAAAAAAAAAAAAAAAAAAAAAAAAAAAAAAAAAAAAAGAAAGTGGGCAAATGTGTGATGTTTGGATAACAAATTTGGTGTATTTCCAATGGAATACTACGTAGCAATAAAAATGAATCAAATACTGAAGACAAATCATAGAAGATCTCAAAAACATTATAATAATCAAAACAGGCCAGAAACAAAGAATATACTATATGATTCCATTTATATGATGTTCTAAAACAGGCAAAAATCATCCCTCATGAGGAAATCAGAAGAGTGGTTGTTTGAGAAAGTTGGATTGTCTGAGAAGGGGCACAAGGGAACTGTTTAAATTTATGTAAATATTCTCTATCTTGTTTGCAGTGTGAGTTATATGGATATGCCTATGTCAGCATTCACCAAACTGTGCATTTATGATCTGTGCATGTCATTTTTTTTTTGAGACAGGGTGTTGCTCTGCCACCCAGGCTAGAGTGCAATGGCATGATCATAGCTCACTGCAGCCTTGATCTCCTTGGGCTCAAGCCATTCTTCTACTTTAGCCTCCTAAGTGTCTGGGACTACAGGCATGCACGATCACACTAGCTAATCATTTATTTTTTTATTTATTTTGTAGAGACGAGGTCTTACTATGTTGTTCAGGCTGGTCTCGAACTCCTGAACTCAAGCAATCCTCCTGCCTCAGCCTCCCAAAGTGTTGGGATTACAGGTGTGAGCCACCATGTCTGGCTTGTGCATGTCGTTTAATGTAAATTATGCCTCAATAACAAAGCATAAAAAATAAAACAAAAAAAACAAGAAAAAATTACATTTCAAGGTAACTCAAGATGCCTTAAAGCTCAAATTTCTGTCCTTCTGGAGACAAAAGATACATTAGAAAACCATCTGGCCCTTACCCAGTTGAGTCATCAAACCCAGTGCACAATCCAAGAACATAAACCATAAAAGGTAAACAACTACCTTATGGGGTAGACTCAGCAACCACACAGTTACTTACATCATGCATTGCTCCTTCTTGTCCTTCAGTATCATAGCTTTGTCCTTCTCTCCAATTAGTCATCGAGTAACTTCTTCCTGTCAACACTGGACTCCCTGCCTGGTTTACTTCTATCTTGTTGTGAACACACTTGTTACTCACTTAACCTTCCTTCCTTTTGTCTTACTGAGTCCCACCAGGTTGTGCATGATGCTGTGCATCCATACTTCCCAGGACTGCCAACACTTGGTAGACAAACACACAGCTAGCTCCCTCAGCTCTGATAGACTTGTGGCTGTTCTGCTTTCCTCACATGCCTGAGGAAAGAGAAAGCCTGCCCAAGGTGTAGAGACCAGCACAAGCAAGCTTTATTTTTCAGCCCAGGGACCCAGGCGAGTCTTGTTTTGATGCCCAAGTCAGATGTAATTGGGAGGAGGTAGGAGATGGAAGAAAAGGCCAGGAGATACCAAGTCCAACACTAAAGCGTCATTAAATCATTTCCTTTAAGTACTCTCTTTAGCATTATAGTTTTGAAGGATATTAAACTAGCCTGACCTATAGCTTTTGCACAAAGTGAAGTGTTATAAAAATAGCACAAGTTGGGACAGGGTGCAGTGGCTCACACCTGTAATCTCAGCACTTTGGGAGGCCGAGGTGGGCAGATCACCTGAGGTCAGGAGTTCGAGACCAGCCTGGCCAACATGGCGAAACCCCGTCTCTACCAAAAATACAAAAATTAGCTGGGTGTGGTGGTGTGTGCCTGTAATCCCAGCTACTCGGGAGGCTGAAGTAGGAGAATTGCTCGAACCCAGGAGGCAGAGGTTGCAGTCAGCCGAGATCGTGCCACTGCACTCCAGCCTGGGAGACACAGTGAGACTCCATCTCAAAAAAAAAAAAATAGCACAAATTGTGTCATCGGAAAGAGCCACGTTCAAATCCTAGTTCTGCAACCTATTGTGTGCATATATTTTGGGCAAATTATTTTACCTCTCTGAGTCTCATTTTCTACATCTGTCAATCAGATGAAAGCAACACTTCCCTGACAGGGTTGAACTTGATTTAAATGTTTATTATTTGTAAACCATTTATCCACCATTGCTGGCATATTATATGTGTCCATTCATTCATTCTATTAATTTCATTGGACAATTTATTTATTCACTCAACATCAATATATTTAATGATACACATTGAGCACTTTGTATATGTTAGAAACTGTTTTAGGGTGCATCAGTAAAGTCCCAACCCTAATGTAACTCACATTCCATTTGGGGAGGCAGGCAATAAGTAAGTGGATAAGCATGCGTTATAATGACAGAGTGATAAGAGCTACAAAGGAAAGTAAAACAGGGTAGGGATATAGAAGGTGGCACAAGATGCTATTTTTGGTCAAAAACCCCCTCTAGAGAGATCACAAATGAATGGAGACCTGACAGATGTGAGAGAGCAATCTACTGGAAATTTGTGATTCTTTTCCCCTTTGCTTCCTGGAATGATTGTTGATAACAGAAAACCTATCAAGCATGCTAGCTCCATTCAATGGTCGGTTCAGTTAACTGTGTAACTATGATCATCTTTAGAGGAATGGACCTAGATCAGAACACATGTGTTTCTTTATAACTCAATTCTGCCACAAGCCCCATCAATAACTATGAAATATTTTGAAAATTAATAGTATTGTTATACTAAATAAAATTTTTAACAAAGGATGCCCAGAGAATGCTTGTGTGAGGAAGGGTGGAGCAGTTTCTACTGGTCAAAGTGGAGAGGTATTAATGAGCAATCAGACTAAGCCTCTGTGGTGTTTTTTAAAAGCACCAGTGACTAGGCTATTGGTTTATGAGACCCTCTAGCCCTCCCTGCGCTGCCTATCTCTACGGAAGTGAAGAGCCCTGCAGGGTTTGGAGCTGGAATAAGGTCCAGATTTGAATACATTAGAGATGGCTTTGAGCTCAGACTCATTGCAGATGACAGGTCTGGATTCTTGGACCACTCCTCAATGCTTGACATTCAATGTCAGAGGTCAAGAAAACTCCAACAGTCACCAGAATGAAGCTCTGCTGGCTACATCCTGCTCCTCTGAATATATACTTGTTTCCACCTTGTGTAATATCATCATGCAGAATTGCCCCAAATTCATAACAGTGTTCAAACTTATGAGAGAGCACCAGACACGGCCAATAAAAAGTCAGAGGAATTCACATTGGATTGCTTGGTCTGTGACAGCATTCACCCTCCACTTACCCAGGAAATTATTCCAGTTCCATCTATAACTCAAACAAACTTGGGTTTGAGTTGAAGGTGACTCAAACTTGGGTTACCTTATGATGTTTCAGCATTGCATTCATTCAAAAGAGATACCAGTTTAATATTTTTCCTAAAGTAGTAAAAACTAATTTAAATCTTTACCGAAGTTGCTTGGAAAAATGCTACAAGGGAGAAACTCGCTATAGGGCACACTCTACATGTTTTAAGCATCCTCTTTACCTTCATTCTATTTTCATTGTATTCATTACAGAAAGGAATCCGCTCAAATGTCTCTTTTCTCATCCATCCCTTCTTCATCTCTATTTTTCTTGGCTTTTCTCCCTCACTCCCTCTCTCTCCTTAATTTCACCTTTATTATTAATTGCCCTTCTTTGAGTTCTAGGCTATTCTAATGTACACTAATTTAGCTTTTCCCTAATCCTTTCATTTCAGCCACTCTTTCCATTACCTTGATATCTACAACAGTAATCCAGGCCATGGCTCCATGATTACCAAAGAGTATTTCCTTCTTCACCAGCTGACATGGTTGGGGGAAGCTGTGAATACCTAAATGCTATTATTTTTATTGCTCTTGAAACTCATTTTATAAATCTTTTTGAGTGCCTACTCTGCCCAGCATCATGGCATACACACAGTGGTGAAAAAGACAAGTCCTCTTCCTAAGGATATTAAGGATCTTATTGTCATGTTAGGCAGACAGACAAGTTCATAAACTTGTGGTTCTCAACCACGGTGCTGTGAAACATTCACAAGTGAGCAACGGATTTTAGATCAGGGTACGATTTTCTTTGTTGTTCTCTCTGAGGATACAGCCTGTCACTATGATGTCAGTCAGATGGAATTAGATTGAGAAGGTCTTAGACTGGGAAATGTGATTGAGCTCCAGGTGCCACCTTCTCTGTGGGAATGAAACAGGTGAAGCACAATGTTAAACCCCTGCCGAATCAGATGTATAGTTTACTGACTCACAGGAGAAATGTGCTTTGTGCACATATAAGAGGGAAGGCAGGCAATAAACAGTAAAACAATGCTGAGGAGAAAGTAATAGCTGTGAGTGCTTTTCTAGGCACCATAAGATATTGTACTGGATCAGTGATCGTGTTGTCGCTATGGATGACTTGTTTAGTGCTGTGTTGAGACTTTTAGTCCCTTCAAGTGAGACTTTCCTAAACTCTAGTATTTCTAGGTTAGCAGTAAGACAAAAGAAACTGAGAATCACAAACCAGGAAATCGCAGATGGATGTGGAAATTGACAGGGTGTAATGGGGACTCAGAGGAGGGGAGCCTGCACAGTCTGGTATGTTTGGGATGAGGGAAGCAAACAGCAACAGGTGCAAAGAGAAGTGGCTTATAAGAACAGCGGCATAGGATTGGCATCTGGGTCTTAGAAATATAGCATTCAGTGGGTTTCCCAGTAGACTTTCGTTTTAAAAATATATATAAATTATTCCTGTTTATTATTCATCTATCTTCAAGTAGCTGAGCCAGAATTTGAACCTAGGTCAGTTTGACTTTTCATCATGAATGCTTCCCACTCTGACATGATACTTTTTGATTGTCACACACATTATACCTTTGTGGCAGAAGCAGACCCATGAGTGGGAGGTCTCTCATTGCATCTGTTTCTTCCAAGAGCTGGGACATTACGAATGTTTTTTGAATGTCTACTTCAGCAGGGAGGAATTCCATAAAATGAAGTTTGTTTGTATTGGTTTGGTACCTAGAAATGCTCAGGGAGTTCCTTCCACTCATGATCCTAAAATGTGTCACAGCAACAGCTGAGGAGGTGGCCACCATGGGTTTGTGTTCCTGGAGTGGCAATGTCCAGAGAAGAGTTGGTCTGAGCAGAGCGTAGCTGCTGCCTTGTGCCAGCCCACTCTTCTATTTTCTGCTCTGACACAACAGCAAAAGCTGCTTCACTGCTGACTTCTCATCCATGCTATTGTCTTTCCATACAACTTTCATTGTCCCTTCTGCTTGGTTTTCTCTCACAAGATTCTGCATAGGCATAGATTTAGTTATTATAGCTATTGGTGGAGAGCTGGTCCTTTTAGTTTTCTTTGACCATTCCTTTAAATAACTCCCCTGTCCAACAAGGAAAAAAAGTAAATATTCCCATGAAAACAAAAAAATATGCACACAAAGAAGGAGCACCTTTATTTCTTAGTAATCAGAGGCAAAATATAATGCCAGAATATTCTTAAACTCCCTCAGTATTAAAGATATAAACCAACTGCCCTTATCTTCTTTTTTTTTTTTTTTTTTTTTTTTGAGATGGAGTCTCGCTCTGTCGCCCAGGCTGGAGTGCAGTGGTGCAATCTTGGCTCACTGCAAACTCTGCCTCCCAGGTTCAAGTGATTCTCCTGCCTTAGCCTCCCAAGTAGCTGGGATTACAGGCACCCCCTGCTATGCCCAGCTAATTTTTGTATTTTTAATAGAGATAAGGTTCTAGCATGTTGGCCAGGCTGGTCTCTAACTCCTGACCTCAAGTGATCTGCCTGCTTCGGCCTCCCAAAGTGCTGAGATTACAGGCGTGAGCCACCGTGTCCGGCCTTCTGACTCTTAATAGCAAACAAATAGATGAAAGAACATCTGTCAACAATGTATGACAGTTTGAGAGTCAAGGGGGTTTAAGCAATCCACCAACTTTCTGGTATGGATTAAGTCTCAACCCAGCATCAGATACACGCTTGCTCTTAACACACCTAAAAATGCGAAAGGATCTTCACTACCCAGAAAAGAGGTTTTCAGCCTTTGTTCAGTCAAAAAGTACCCTTTTAGATGAAGTTTTAATCCAAAGTCTAAGAAATCTAAACCCCTGAAGCAGATAAAAATGAAGCAGCTCTGATCAGGACAAAGAAGGCATCCTGCCTCCCCTGCCACCCTCTCCTCCTCCATGGAACTCTGAAGCTCTGACAAAGCAGATTAAAAGGCCAAAATCATGAGGGGGCTTTAAAATGTGAACATTGTCTGGTTCTGAACTACCTTGTCCCTGTCATCCCCTGTCTACATTCCCAACTACAAGCTCTAAATGTCCAGGTGAAGCCTCCTTATGGGTCTTTATATCTCTCCTGGCCGAATGTTCCATAGATACTTACTGAATTAATACGTGACTGGCTGTAAATGTACTATGGGCATCTATACATGAAAAGAAGAAAAGAACGGGAAGCCTGATCTCAAGGGGTCAACAATTTAGTCAACAGAAAAAATAAGAGTAGGTTAGGAAAATGGTTAAGTACAAACAGAATGGAAGTCCCTGTTTACACAAGCAGCAGCCCCTCAGAGAACACCTTTATGGAGGAAGTGGCATTTGCACTTTCTCCAAGGATGAATTAGGACTGATTAGGTAGTGAGAAGGCAATTCCTGCTGGTGGAATGCAATGGAGCTGAGAATTAGTAATAATGCCTTTTTGTGGTCAGGAAAGAGACGGTCTGGCAGGAAGGAAGGACTACCACTGGGGAGGCATAGGAAATATGCATGGATAGATATGCTGAGGCGAAGCTGTTGGGCGCGTTATAAATCAAGCAGCAGAGTTGGGTGTGGTTTGATTTGTAATGTGGAACCATCATCTCTTCTTAACTAGGAGAGTGCCATGCAGAAAGCAGTAAATTAAGATCTTGAGGAGAGGAAAAACGTGATTCAAGTCTTACTTAGACTAAGAAAATTTGTCTGGCAGTGTTGTGCTGAGGAAAGAGAGTAGCTAGAAGGCTGTTTTAATAATGAATGAGCTCTCTTCTTTTCTGCTGATAAGGAGATGCAGATGCCTACACTCAAATGCAGAAACTCCCATATAATTTGCAGCAAATGCTGACACCAGCCCTCGTGGCCCTTCTTGTGCAGATGAAAGGAACCCAATGCTGGGCTTAAAACAAGTTGGTACGTGTTTGCAAACAAGTACATTTGAAACAAAACAAAGCAAAACGAAACTAAAACATAAGTAAAGCACTCTCAGTGTTTTACAAACTCAATGACCATCTTGATTATTTTAAAACTCCATTTCTATGCTCAAAGTTGTGGCAGTTTTTTATTTTATTAATTTGAATTTTTAAAACTTGTATCATCAATGTGCTGGTTTCTGTATATGTTTCTTGTCAGCAGAAGGGGTCATGTGTAGTTTGTGTGCATTTTAAAATTGCGAATCTATCTCACCCCTCCTTTAGTTTTAGACTTTAAATGACTTGAGGTATTCTGCTTTGCAACACCCTGTAGTGCCTAGCTCAGTGCTCTGAATATGGTGACTAGTAAGTGAATACAGTGGGTCATGGACCTCTCAGACCTTGTCTTCAGCAGGTCCCCTCCATCTTTGCAGATTCCTAGCTTTCTTGCTTTATAACCTGTGGTTCCTCCTGTTTGAAGAAGGGAGAGAACCACTTCTGGTTGTTTTCTTCAATTTTGCGTCATCAGTGATAGATTAGCATCACCTTGTCACGTCTTTTCACTAATGTCTTCCCTTCCTGTTTTGCTTTTGGGACCCATCTGTTTCCATCTTAATTTGGAAAAGAAGGGACTACATTAAAGGAACAATGGAATCAACAAGTCTAATATATGATTCAGACAAATTCCAAAGTTGCTTTTCTCCAAGGCAGAATTTGCACACAGAAATTCACGTTCATTAGGCTAAAGGCAGAGCGTGTCAAGTCAGCTACAGGTTTAATTGAGAGGTCAGAACCTTTTCTCTCTGTCATTCCCACTGAAGACATCATTAGAGCTACAGTAAAATAAGAGAATGTCACAGAATGTCAGCCTAGTCATAGTGCAACTGTTCTTTTTCATTAGTGACTCAGCTGGTTGCTATGGAAACCTCACTCTAGTATCAGGGATACTAGGGCTGATGATTCTCCGCCTCTATTTTCAGTTAGGATAAATTGTGCTCCCACCTCATGGGCTCCTGCCATGATATTTATATCTGGGTCACGATAATAAAGCCAGTTGGAAATATGCCTGTTGAAATTCTAGCCAGGCAGAGAGGCTTTCTACTAAAAGGAAGAGAGAATATAGGATTTCTAGGTTGATTTGAGCACCAATTACCCTGTAGGAGAGCAGGTATTCCCTTCTGCCCGGTACATCTCATGGGGAGATGGCTGTTCCCCTCACGGTCTTCTCCTATACGTTCTCTAGCCTGGCGGGCTGCCTTAGGAAAAATTAGATTGTCTATTTTCAGTGTCCCCTTCCCAGCTCACCCAGGGGACCACTGATTTAAATGCTTACACTGAGTGGACCCAGTACCACTTCATTTATTCACTCATTCATTTAATTGCAGAATAATTATAGTGGTCCAAGGATCATGTTAAATAGCATGTGTAGTTGCTAATTTGTACCCTAGTCATTCACAGTATGATTTGGGGATGTGTCCAATAAGGAGGGAAAAAGGGTGTATGAATAAATGCTTATAATGCCATGTGATGTACTACTTGTTTTATCTTTTTATTGGAAAATATTAGTTGTATATATATATATGTGGGTACAATGTGATGTTTCGAGACATGTATACCTTGTAGAATGATCAAATCAGGCTAAGTAGCATATTTATCACCTCAAATATTTATTTCTTCATATTTATCATATCATTTAAAATCCTCTCTATATGATATATATTTTAATTGAGGTATGGGCATGTTTTGAAAGTTCAGAGTTAAGGAGAGGCTATTTTTTTTAGTGTGGGAAAATTTTTATTAATTGCTTCTAAATTTTCCATTACACTTAAAAAGACTTGTCCACTCTGATACTTTACACACACACACACACACACACACACACCTTTCCCATGTGTTTTTATACTTTAATTTTTAAAATATTTATTTATTTTGATCTACCTAGAATTTTAATTAAAAAAGTAAACTAAGGGCATAGCTTAATTCACTTTTTACTGACTCCACTCTGCCTGGGTGAGCTCATAGATACTTCGCAGAATAGGTGACTTTTTTTTGAGACAGGGTCTCACTCAGTCATCCAGGCTAGAGTGCAGTGGCACAATCACAGCTCACTGCAGCCTCAACCTCAGGCTCAAGTGATCCTCCCACCTCAGGCTCCTGAGTAGTTGAGACTACAGGCACATGCCATCATGCCTGGCTAATTTTTTGTAGTGATGGGGTTTCACCACGTTGCCCAGGCTGGTCTGGAACATCTGAGCTCAAGTGATCTGCCTACCTCGGCCTCCCAAAGTGCTGGGATTACAGGCATGAGCCACTGAACCCCGCTAAATAGGTGACATTTAAGTTGGAGCCTTCACAGATGTGTTATCCAATAGAATGTCTCAGCAATTCAGAGCTGTGGCTAACATAAAGGACTTCCGTTACAGCAAGGTATTATCTGGATAAAAGTCTGATTGCACTTTGAATGTGTATTAATCCTCTTTAATACAACACATTTTCCGGCAAGTAGAATGGGATTCTGTTTTGAAAAGGAAAAATATCTGGAAAACAAAATACACTTCAGAAAACTTTCTTGGAATCAGAGCCAGCCCAAGTGAAAAAGTCAGCTTGAAGATCTTGTTGTCAATTAACCTTTTTTCTGGAATCGATATATTGAGAGATTCATCTGTTGTAATTCCAAAGCAAACGAACAAAAAGGTACTGAACATAAGTTCTCTGTGATCCTTACAGTTGGTCGGGCATAAAAGGATTCCTCACTGTACCTATTTCCTATAAAATGAAGGTAATTGGTGACTGTGGGTTAATAAAAGTGGATCTTTTTCCTGCATATCAACCATTGTTCAGAAGTAGAGGCAAAAGCCATTATGCAGCGGTCAGGGTTCTTTATGAAATACTTCCTGAAACAGGACCTCATCATGCAGCCAAAATGATATTTATAATGGCCTGGGAATGTCCTTTCCTACAGAGCCTGTGTCAGTGCATAGCTCATAAATTAAAGCAGCACCTTCTAAGATGAATACGTTTCATAGCCTGCTGACAGCCTGAGTCTTGCTAAAATGGTAAGCAAAAGGCAAGGAAACACTTGCGTCTTTGTATCTGCAGATCAGATCAGATGCTGAGGGCTGTTTAGGCTCAGAAGACCTCACCAATGTCCTCTGCCAGACTGGGCTTCGTTGGAGGAGGCTGTTTGCAAAACTGTGCTCCTTAAAATCCAATTAGCAATGGAATTCAGTAAGTGCGGCAGTGAACCGTATACCATATACCGTATACCGTAATCTTAGATTTTTAAAAATAAAGAATGCTTTTTTTTTATAAGTAATACATGTAATATGGTATAAAATTCAAAAAGTATCTGAAGATAGACACAGTGACAAGTATGTTTCACTCCCACTTCCATGCCCCAGTCAACAGTTCACCTCCTTGGAGAAAACTACCATTGCCAATTTCTTGTTTCTCTTTTCAGGGAATCTGAAGCGTATATCTTATATAGATATATATAAGCACTTATGGAAATAGTGGAATACTACGCAAACTTTATGCACTTCATTTTTTCACTTACAATGATTTTGTACATATGTAGGGGAAGAAAAATATTTTTCCTCCTACTCATCCTGGGTCCATGGCCGAGAACCATATGACAAAAGACAGATTAGCAAGAGAAAATAATACACATGTATTTAATATAAGCTTCATGTGACATTGGAGCCTTCACAAGGAAATGGTGACCCAAAGAAATAGTTAAACCTAACTATTTTTTATGGGAGTTTTGTTGAAGAGTGAATAGTTATGAAGAACTATAATGGGGCAAAAAGAGTATGATCTAATGGCAATAAACTGGGGTAAACTTAGCAGGCCTGTTTGTTCAGATTCTTTTTGCCATATCTGTGTCTTCAGAGTCAAGGATGTTTCTTTCCTCCAGGTATAGGGAGGGCACCTCTCATTTGAGGGTCTTATAACCTGCTTTAGAGGGAGGACAGAAAACTCCTTCCTAAGTTTTATGACCTCCTTCAGGAGAGAAGGGCAGGAAAAGTTCAGAGAAAACTTCCTGCTTCTGCTGTTTTCTCAAATTCCTTCAGCTTAAAATATTTTGGGGTAGTATATCATGAATCCTGTCAGACATCCTTCCACATTCCAAGTGAGCTGCCTCATTTTGTTTCTTTTATGAGCCACATAGTATACCATTGAATGAAAATATCATAAGCATTTAACCAGCCCCATCTTCCTGGAGATTGGAAGCAGTTTCAATGTTTTGCTATCACAAACAATAGTGCAATGAGTATCCTTGCCCATATGTCATTTCACACCTATGCAAGTACATGTATAGTAAAATTCATAGATGTGCAAGTGCTGAGTAAAATAGTGTGTGTACATGTAATTTTGATAATTTTGCAGAATAATTGCTTATGATTAAGATTGTATCATTTTGTACTCCCGCCCAGTATGTATGACAGCTCTTGTTTCCCCACACCCTTACTATCACAATGTATTATCAAGTTTTTTGCTTAGTACTCAGTTTGAGAGGCAAAGATGTGTATTTCATTGTGGTTGTAATTAGCATTTCCCTTATGAGGGAAATTTAGCATTTTTTTCATACATTAAAGAGGCATTTGTATTGTTCTATGAAATATTATTCATGTGATTTTGATAATTTATTAGTTTGTTAATTTCTTACTGATTTGTCTGTGATATAAGTTGCAAATATTTTTCTCAGTTGTCATTTCTCTTGAGTTTTTATAATATTTTACCCTATGGATTTGTGTGTGTGTGTGTGTGTGCATGAAAAGTTTTATTAACGCCTTCTAAATTTTCCATTATATTTAAAAGGACTTGTTTACTCTTGATATTTTACATACATATGTAAAAACATATATGGCCGGGCGCGGTGGCTCACGCCTGTAATCCCAGCACTTTGGGAGGCCGAGGCGGGCGGATCACGAGGTCAGGAGATCGAGACCATCCTGGCTAACACGGTGAAACCCCGTCTCTACTAAAAATACAAAAAATTAGCCGGGCGTGGTAGCGGGCGTCTGTAGTCCCAGCTACTCGGGAGGCTGAGGCAGGAGAATGGCGTGAACCTGGGAGGCGGAGCTTGCAGTGAGCCGAGATCGCGCCACTGCACTCCAGCCTGGGCGACAGAGCGAGACTCCGTCTCAAAAAAAAAAAAAACAAAAAAAAACATATATATAATACACATATATACATATATATGGACATATATATCCTTCTCATGTTTTTATACTTTAATTTTTTTATTGTACTTTAAGTTCTGGGTTACATGTGCAGAACATGCAGTTTTGTTACATATGTATACACATGCCATGGTGGTTTGCTGCACCCATCAACCCATCATCTACATTAGGTATTCCTCCTAATGTTATCCCTCCCCTACCTCCCCACCCCCAACAGGCCCCGGTGTGTGATGTTCCCCTTCCTTTGTCCATGTGTTCTCATTGTTCAACTCTCATTATGAGTGAGAGCATGAGTGTTTGGTTTTCTGATCTTGTGATAGTTTGCTGCGAATGAAGGTTTCCAGCTTCATCCATGTCCCTGCAAAGGACATGAACTCATTCTTTTTAATTTTTTTATTTTCCTTTTTTTCTTTTTTTTATTATACTTTAAGTTTTAGGGTACGTGTACACAAAGTGCAGGTTTGTTACATATGTATACATGTGCCATGTTGGTGTGCTGCATCCATTAACTCATCATTTAACATTATTAGGTATATCTCCTAATGCTATCCGTCTCCCCTCCCCCCACCCCACAACAGGCCCTGGTGTGTGATGTTCCCCTTCCTGTGTCCATGTGTTCTCATTGTTCAACTCCCATCTGTGAGTGAGAACATGTGGTGTTTGGTGTTTTGTCCTTGCGATAGTTTGCTCAGAATGATGCTTTCCAGCTTCATCCATGTCCCTACAAAGGACATGAACTCATCCTTTTTTATGGCTGCATAGTATTCCATGGTGTATATGTGCCACATTTTCTTAATCCAGTCTATCATTGTTGGACATTTGGGTAGGTTCCAAGTCTTTGCTGTAGTGAATAGTGCCACAATAAACATATGTGTCCATGTGTCTTTATAGCAGCATGTTTTATAATCCTTTGGGTATATACCCAGTAATGGGATGGCTGGGTCAAATGGTATTTCTAGTTCCAGATCCCTGAGGAATCGCCACACTGACTTCCACAATGGTTGAACTAGTTTACAGTCCCACCAACAGTGTAAAAGTGTTCCTATTTCTCCACATCCTCTCCAGCACCTGTTGTTTCCTGACTTTTTAATGATCGCCATTCTAACTGGTGTGAGATGGTATCTCATTGTGGTTTTGATTTGCATTTCTCTGATTGCCAGTAATGATGAGCAATTTTTCATGTGTCTTTTGGCTGCATAAATGTCTTCTTTTGAGAAGTGTCTGTTCACATCCTTTGCCCACTTTTTGATGGGGTTGTTTTTTCTTGTAAATTTGTTTGAGTTCATTGTAGATTCTGGATATTAGCCCTTTGTCAGATGAGTAGATTGCAAAAATTTTCTCCCATTTTGTAGGTTGCCTGTTCACTCTGATGGTAGTTTCTTTTGCTGTGCAGAAGCTCTTTAGTTTAATTAGATCCCATTTGTCAATTTTGGCTTTTGTTGCCATTGCTTTTGGTGTTTTAGACATGAAGTCCTTGTCCATGCCTATGTCCTGAACGGTATTGCCTAGGTTTTCTTCTAGCATTTTTATGGTTTTAGGTCTAACATTTAAGTCTTTAATCCATCTTGAATTAATTTTTGTATAAGGTGTAAGGAAGGGATCCAGTTTCAGCTTTCTACATATGGCTAGCCAGTTTTCCCAGCACCATTTATTAAATAGGGAATCCTTTCCCTATTTCTTGTTTTTGTCAGGTTTGTCAAAGATCAGATAGTTGTAGATATGTGGCATTATTTCTGAGGGCTCTATTCTGTTCCATTGGTCTATATCTCTGTTTTGGTACCAGTACCATGCTGTTTTGGTTACTGTAGCCTTGTAAGTATAGTTTGAAGGCAGGTAGTGTGACGCCTCCAGCTTTGTTCTTTAGGCTTAGGATTGACTTGGCAATGTGGGCTCTTTTTTGGTTCCATATGAACTTTAAAGTAGTTTTTTCCAATTCTGTGAAGAAAGTCACTGGTAGCTTGATGGGGATGGCATTGAATCTATAAATTACCTTGGGCACTATAGCCATTCTCACGATACTGATTCTTCCTACCCATGAGCATGGAATGTTCTTCCATTTGCTTGTATCCTCTTTTATTTCATTGAGCAGTGGTTTGTAGTTCTCCTTGAAGGGGTCCTTTACGTCCCTTGTAAGTTGGATTCCTAGGTATTTTATTCTCTTTGAAGCAATCGTGAATGGGAGTTCACTCATGATTTTGCTCTCTGTTTGTTATTGGTGTATAAGAATGCTTGTGATTTTTGCACATTGATTTTGTATCCTGAGACTTTGCTGAAGTTGCTTATCAGCTTAAGGAGATTTTGGGCTGAGACGATGGGGTTTTCTAGATATACAATCATGTCATCTGCAAACAGGGACAATTTGACTTCCTCCTTTCCTAACTGAATACCCCTTATTTCCTTCTCCTGCCTGATTGCCCTGGCCAGAACTTCCAACACTATGTTGAATAGAAGTGGTGAGAGAGGACATCCCTGTCTTTAGCCAGTTTTCAAAGGGAATGCTTCCAGTTTTTGCCCATTCAGTATGATATTGGCTGTGGGTTTGTCATAGACAGCTCTTATTATTTTGAGATACTTCCCATCAATACCTAATTTATTGAGAGATTTTAGCATGAAGGGTTGTTGAATTTTGTCAAAGGCGTTTTCTGCATCTATTGAGATAATCATGTGGCTTTTGTCATTGGTTCTGTTTATATGCTGGATTACGTTTATCGATTTGCATATGTTGAACCAGCCTTGCATCCCAGGGATGAAGCCCACTTGATTATGGTGGATAAGCTTTTTGATGTGCTGCTGGATTCGGTTTGCCAGTAGTTTATTGAGGATTTTTGCATCAATGTTCATCAGGGATATTGGTCTAAAATTCTCTTTTTTTGTTGTGTCTCTGCCAGGCTTTGGTATCAGGATGATGCTGGCCTCATAAAATGAGTTAGGGAGGATTCCCTCTATTTCTATTGATTGGAATAGTTTCAGAAGGAATGGTACTAGCTCCTCCTCATAGCTCTGGTAGAATTCGGCTGTGAATCCATCTGGTCCTGGACTTTTTTGGTTGGTAAGCTATTAATTATTGCCTCAATTTCAGAGCCAATCATTGATGTATTCAGACATTCAATTTCTTCCTGGTTTAGTCTTGGGAGGGTGTATGTGTCGAGGAATTTATCCATTTCTTCTAGATTTTCTAGTTTATTTGTGTAGAGGTGTTTATAGTATTCTCTGATGGTAGTTTGTATTTCTGTGGGATCTGTGGTGTTATCCCCTTTATCATTTTTTAGTGCGTCTATTTGATTCTTCTCTCTTTTCTTCTTTATTAGTCTTGCTAGTGGTCTCTCAATTTTGTTGATCTTTTCAAAAAACCAGCTCCTGGATTCACTGATTTTTTTGAAGGGTTTTTTTGTGTCTCTATTTCCTTCAGTTCTGCTCTGATCTTAGTTATTTCTTGCCTTCTGCTAGCTTTTGAATGTGTTTGCTCTTGCTTCTCTAGTTCTTTTAATTGTGATGTTAGGGTGTCAATTTTAGATCTTTCCTGCTTTCTCTTGTGGGCATTTAGTGCTATAAATTTCCCTCTACACATTGCTTTGAATGTGTCCCAGAGATTCTGATATGTTGTGTCTTTATTCTCGTTGGTTTCAAAGAACATCTTTATTTCTGCCTTCATTTCGTTATGTACCCAGTAGTCATTCAGGATCAGGTTGTTCAGTTTCCATGTAGTTGAGCGGTTTTGAGTGAGTTTCTGAATCCTGAGTTCTAGTTTGATTGCACTGTGGTCTGAGAGACAGTTTGTTATAATTTCTGTTCTTTTACATTTGCTGAGGAGTGCTTTACTTCCAACTATGTGGTCAGTTTTGGAATAGGTGTGGTGTGGTGCTGAAAAGAATGTATAGTGTGTTGATTTGGGGTGGAGAGTTCTGTAGATTTCTGTTAGGTCTGCTTGGTGCAGAGCTGAGTTCAGTTTCTGGATATCCTTGTTAACTTTCTGTCTCGTTGATCTGTCTAATGTTGACAGTGGTGTGCTAAAGTCTCCCATTATTACTGTGTGGGAGTCTAAGTTTCTTTGTAGGTCTCTAAGGACTTGGTTTATGAATCTGGGTGCTCCTGTATTGGGTGCATATATATTTAGGACAGTTAGCTCTTCTTGTTGAATTGATCCCTTTACCATTATGTAATGGCCTTGTCTCTTTTGATCTTTGTTGGTTTAAAGTCTGTTTTATCAGAGACTAGGATTGCAACCCCTGCCTTTTTTTCGTTTTCCATTTGCTTGATAGATCTTTCTCCATCCCTTTATTTTGAGCCTGTGTGTGTCGGCACATGATATGGGTTTCCTGAATACAGCACACTGATGGGTCTTGACTATTTATCCAATTTGCCAGTCTGTGTCTTTTAATTGGAGCATTTAGCCCATTTACATTTAAGGTTAATATTGTTATGTGTGAATTTGGTCCTGTCATTATGATGTTAGCTGGTTATTTTGCTCGTTAGTTGATGCAGTTTCTTCCTAGCATCGATAGTCTTTACAATTTGGCATGTTTTTGCAGTGGCTGGTACCAGTTGTTCCTTTCCATGTTTAGTGCTTCCTTCAGGAGCTCTTGTAAGGCAGGCCTGGTGGTGACAAAATCTCTCAGTATTTGCTTGTCTGTAAAGTATTTTATTTCTCCTTCACTTCTGAAGCTTAGTTTGGCTGGATACGAAATTCTGGGTTGAAAATTCTTTTCTTTAAGAATGTTGAGTATTGGCTGCCACTGTCTTCTGGCTTGTAGAGTTTCTGCCGAGAGATCCCCTGTTATTCTGATGGGCTTCCCTTTGTGGGTAACCCGACCTTTCTCTCTGGCTGCCCTTAACATTTTTTCCTTCATTTCAACTTTGGTGAATCTGACAATTATGTGTCTTGGAGTTGCTCTTCTCGAGGAGTATCTTTGTGGCATTCTCTGTATTTCCTGGATTTGAATGTTGGCCTGCCTTGCTAGATTGGGGAAGTTTTCCTGGATAATATCCTGCAGAGTGTTTTCCAACTTGGTTCCATTCTCCCCATCACTTTCAGGTACACCAGTCAGATGTAGATTTGGTCTTTTCACATAGTCCCATATTTCTTGGAGGCTTTGTTCATTTCTTTTTATTCTTTTTTCTCTAAACTTCTCTTCTCACTTCATTTCATTCATTTGGTCTTCCATCACTGATACCCTTTCTTCCAGTTGATCAAATAGGCTACCGAGGCTTGTGCATTGGTCACATAGTTCTCGTGCTGTGGTTTTCAGCTCCATCAGGTCCTTTAAGGACTTCTCTGCATTGGTTATTCTAGTTAGCCATTTGTCTAATTTTTTTCAAGGTTTTTAACTTCTTTGCCATGGGTTCGCACTTCCTCCTTTAGCTCTGAGTAGTTTGATCTTCTGAAGCCTTCTTCTCTCAACTCGTCAAAGTCATTCTCCGTCCAGCTTTGTTCTGTTGCTGGTGAGGATCTGCATTCCTTTGGAGGAGGAGAGGCGCTCTGCTTTTTAGAGTTTCCAGTTTTTCTGCTCTGTTTTTTCCCCATCTTTGTGGTCTTATCTACCTTTGGTCTTTGATGATGCAGATGTACAGATGGGGTTTTGGTGTGGATGTCCTTTCTGTTTGTTAGTTTTCCTTCTAACAGTCAGGACCCTCAGCTGCAGGTCTGTTGGAGTTTTCTGGAGGTCCACTCCAGACCCTGTTTGCCTGGGTATAAGCAGCGGAGGCTGCAGAACAGCGGATATTGGTGAACAGCAAATATTGCTGCCTGATTGTTCCTCTGGAAGTTTTGTCTCAGAGGAGTACCCAGCCATGTGAGGTGTCAGTCTGCCCCTACTGGGGGGTGCCTCCCAGTTAGGCTACTCACTTGAGGAGGCAGTCTGTCCGTTCTCAGATCTCCAGCTGCGTGCTGGGAGAACCACTACTCTCTTCAAAGCTGTCAGACAGGGACATTTAAGTCTGCAGAGGTTTCTGCTGCCTTTTGTTTGGCTATGCCCTGCCCCTAGAGGTGGAGTCTACAGAGGCAGGCAGGCCTCCTTGAGCTGTAGTGGGCTCCACCCAGTTTGAGCTTCCTGGCCGCTTTGTTTACCTACTCAAGCCTCGGCAATGGCGGGCACCCCTCCGTCAGCCTCGCTGCCGCCTTGCAGTTAGATCTCAGACTGCTATGCTAGCAATGAGCTAGGCTCCATGGGCGTAGGACCCTTCAAGCCAGGTGCGGGATATAATGTCCTGGTGTGCCGTTTGCTAAGACCTTTGGAAAAGTGCAGTATTAGGGTGGGAGTGACCCGATTTCCTAGGTGCCGTCTGTCGCCTCTTTCTTTGACTAGGAAAGGGAATTCCCTGACCCCTTGCACTTCCTGGGTGAGGCGATGCTTCACCCTGCTTCGGCTCACGCTGGGTGCGCTGCACCCACTGTCCTGCACCCACTGTCTGACACTCCCCAGTGAGATGAACACGTACCTCAGTTGGAAATGCAGAAATCACCCATCTTCTGTGTCGCTCATGCTGGGAGCTGTAGACTGGAGCTGTTCCTATTCAGCCATCTTGGCTCCACCCTCCGAACTCATCCATTTTTATGGCTGCATAGTACTCCATGGTGTATATGTGCTACATTTTCTTAATCCAGTCTATCACTGATGGACATTTGGGTTGGTTACAAGTCTTTGCTATTGTGAATAGTGCCACAATAAACATACGTGTGCATCTGCCTTTATCATAGATGATTTATAAGCCTTTGGGTATATGCCCAGTAATGGGATTGCTGGGTCAAATGGTATTTCTAGTTCTAGATCCTTGAGGAATTGCCACACTGTCTTCCACAACGGTTGAACTAATTTACACTTCCACCAACAGTGTAAAAGCACTCTTATTTTTCCACAACCTCTCCAGTATCTGTTGTTTCCTGACTTTTTAATGATCCCAATTCTAACTGCTGTGAGATGGTATCTCATTGTGGTTTTGATTTGCATTTTTCTAATGACCAGTGATGATGAGCATTGTTTCTTATGTCTGTTGGCTGCATAAATGTCTTCTTTTGAGAAGTGTCTGTTCATATCCTTTGCCCGTTTTTTGTTGGGGTTGTTTTATTTCTTGTAAATTTGTTTAAAGTTCTTTATGGATTCTGGATATTAGCCCTTTGTCAAAAGGATAGATTGAAAAATTTTCTCCCATTCTGTAGGTTGCCTGTTCACTCTGATGATAGTTTCTTTTGCTGTGCAGAAGCTCTTTAGTTGACTTAGATCCAATTTGTCAATTTTGGCTTTTGTTGTCATTGCTTTTGGTGTTTTAGACATGAAGTCTTTGCCCATGCCTATGTCCTGAATGTTATTGCCCAGGTTTTCTTCTAGGATTTTTATGGTCCTACGTCTTACAGTTAAGTCTTTGATCCATCTTGAGTTGATTTTTGTGTCAGGTGTAAGGAAGGGGTCCAGTTTCAGTTTTCTGCATATGGTTAGCCAGTTTTCCCAACACCATTTATTAAATAGGGAATCTTTTCCCCAATGCTTGTGTGTGTCAAGTTTGTCAAAGATCAGATGGTGACAGATGTGTGGTGTTATTTCTGAGGCCTCTGTTCTGTTCCATTGGTCTATATATCTGTTTTGGTACCAGTACCATGCTGTTTTGGTTACTGGAGTCTTGTAGTAAAGTTTGAAGTCAGGTAGCATGATGCCTCTGGCTTTGTTCTTCTTGCCCAGGATTGTCTTGGCTATGCAGGCTCTTTCTTGTTTCCATATGAAGTTTAAAGTAGTTTTTTCCAATTCTGTGAAGAAAGTGAGTGGTAGCTTGATGGGGATAGCATTAAATCTGTAGATTACTTTGGGCAGTAAGGCCATTTTTACAATACTGATTCTTCCTATCCATGAGCATGGAATGTTTTTCCATTTGTTTGTGTCCTCTCTTATTTCTTTGAGCAGTGGTTTGTAGTTCTCCTTGAAGAGGTCCTTCACATCCCTTGTAAGTTGGATTCCTAGCTATTTTATTCTCTTAGTAGCAATTGAGAATGGGAGTTAACTCATGATTTGGCTCTCTGTTTGTCTGTTATTGGTGTATAGGAATGCTTGTGATTTTTGCACATTGATTTTGCATCTTGAGATTTTGCTGAAGTTGCTTATCAGCTTAAGGAGATTTTGGGCTGAGACGATGGGGTTTTCTAAATATACAATCATGTCATCTGCAAACAGAGACAATTTGACTTCCTCTCTACTTCTTTGAATACCTTTATTGCCTTCTCTTGCCTGATTGCCCTGGCCAGAACTTCCAATACTATGTTGAATAGGAGTGGTGAGAGAGGGCATCCTTGTGCTGGTTTTCAAAGGGAATGCTCCCAGGTTTACACATTCAGTATGATACTGGTTGTGGGTTTGTCATAAATAGCTCTTATTATGTTGAGATATGTTCCATCAATAACTAGTTTATGAGAGTTTTTAGCATGAAAGGCTGTTGAATTTTGTCAAAGGCCTTTTCTGCATCTATTGAGATAATCATGTGGTTTTTGTCATTGGTTCTGTTTATGTGATGGATTATGTCTATTGATTTGCATATGTTGAACCAGCCTTGCATCCCAGGGATGAAGCCCACTTGATTATGGTGGATAAGCTTTTTGATGTGCTGCTGGATTCGGTTTGCCAGTATTTTATTGAGGATTTTCCCATAGATGTTCATCAGGGATATTGGCCTAAAATTCTCTTTTTTTTGTTGTGTCTCTGCCAAGCTTTGGTATTAGGATGATGCTGGCCTCATAAAATGAGTTAGTGAGGATTCCCTCTATTTCTATTGATCAGAATAGTTTCAGAAGGAATGATACCAGCTCCTCTTTGTACCTCTGGTAGAATTCAGCTGTGAATCGGTCTGGTCCTGGACTTTTTTTTGTTAGTAGGCTGTTAATTATTGCCTCAATTTCAGAACTTGTTATTGGTCTATTCAGAGGTTCAACTTCTTCCTCGTTTAGTCTTGGGAGGGTGTATGTGTCCAGGAATTTATCAATTTCTTTTAGATTTTCTAGTTTATTTGCATAGAGGTGTTTATAGTATTCTCTGATCATAGTGTGTATTTCTGTGGGATTGGTGGTGATACCCACTTTATCATTTTTTAATGAGTCTATTTGATTCTTCTCTCTTTTCTTGTTAGTCTTGCTAGCAGTCTATTTTGTTGATCTTTTCAAAAACCAGCTCCTGTATTCACTGATTTTTTGAAGGGCTTTTTGTGTCTCTATCTCCTTCAGTTCTTCTCTGATCTTAGCTATTTCTTGTCTTCTGCTAGCTTTTGAATTTGTTTGCTCTTGCTTCTTTAGTTCTTTTAATTGTGATGTTAGGGTATCAATTTTAGATCTCTCCTGCTTTCTCCTGTGGGCATATAGTGCTATAAATTTCCCTCTACACACTGCTTTCAATGTTTCCCAGAGATTCTGGTACGTTGTATCTTTGTTCTCATTGGCTTCAAAGAACATCTTTATTTCTGCCTTCATTTCATTATTTACCCAGTAGTCGTTCAGGAGCAGGTTGTTCAGTTTCCATGTAGCTGTGTGGTTTTGAGTGAGATTCTTAATCCTGAGTTCTAATTTGATTGCACTGTAGTCTGAGATGGAGTTTGTTGTGATTTCTGTTCTTTTAGATTTACTGAGGAGTGTTTTACTTCCAATTATGTGGTCAATTTTAGAATAAGTGCGATGTGGTGCTGAGAAGAAAGTATATTCTGTTGATTTGGGGTGGAGAGTTCTGTAGATGTCTATTAGGTCTGCTTGGCTCAGAGCTGAGTTCAAGTCGTGGATATCCCTGTTAATTTTCTGTCTCATTGTTCTGTCTAATATTGACAGTGGGGTGTTAAAGTCTCCCATTATTATTGTGTGGGAGTCTAAGTTTCTTTGTAGGTCTTTAAGAACTTGCTTTATGAATCGCGGTGCTCCTCTATTGGGTGCATATATATTTAGGATAGTTTGCTCTTCTTGTTGAATTGATCCCTTTACCATTATGTAATGGACTTCTTTGTCCTTTTGATCTTTGTTGGGTTAAAGTCTGTTTTATTAGAGAACAGAATTGCAACCCCTGCTTTTTCTTGCTTTCTATTTTCTTGGTAGATCTTTCTCCATCCCTTTATTTTGAGCCTGTGTGTGTCTTTGCATGCGAGATAGGTCTCCTGAATACAGAACACAGATGGGTCTTGACTCTTTATCCAATTTGCCAGTCTTTGTCTCTTAATTGGAGCATTTAGCCCATTTACATTTAAGGTTAATATTGTTATGTGTGAATTTGATCCTTTCATTGTGATGCTAGCTGGTTATTTCACCCATTAATTGATACAGTTTCTTCATAGTGTCGATGGTCTTTACAATTTGGCATGTTTTTGCAGTGGCTGGTACCAGTTGTTCCTTTCCATGTTTCATGCTTCCTTCAGGAGCTCTTGTAAGGCAGGCCTGGGGGTGACAAAAATCTCTCAGCATTTGCTTGTCTGCGAAGGATTTTGTTTTTCCTTCACTTATGAAGCTTAGTTTGGCTGGATATGAAATTCTGCGTTGAAAATTCTTTTCTTTAAGAATGTTGAATATTGGCCCCCACTCTCTTCTGGCTTGTAGGGTTTCTGCAGAGAGATCTGCTGTTAGTCTGATGGGCTTCCCTTTGTGGGTAACACCACCTTTCTCTCTGGCTGCCCTTAACATTTTTTTCTTCATTTCAACCTAGGTGAATCTGACAATTATGTGTCTTGGGGTTGCTTTCCTCGAGGAGTATCTTTGTGGTGTTCTCTGTATTTCCTGAATTTGAATGTTGGCCTGCCTTGCTAGATTGGGGAAGTTTTCCTGGATAATATCCTGAAGAGTGTTTTCTAACTTGGTTCCATTCCCCCCGTGACTTTCAGGTACACTAATCAAATGTAAATTTGGTCTTTTCACATAGTCCCGTATTTCTTGGAGGCTTTGTTCATTTCTTTTCACTCTTTTATCTCTAATCTTGTCTTCTTGCTTCATTTCATTAACTTGATATTCAATCACTGATATCCTTTCTTCCACTTGATTGAATAGGCTATTGAAGCTTGTGTATGCTTTATGAAGTTCTCGTACTGTGGTTTTCAGCTCCATCAGGTCATTTAAGCTCTTCTCTACACTGGCTATTCTAGTTAGCCATTCGTCTAACCTTTTTTCAAGATTTTTAGCTTCCTTGAGATGGTTTAGAACAATGCTCCTTTAGCTCAGAGAAGTTTATTATTACCAACCTTCTGAAGCCTACTTCTGTCAACTCGTCAAACTCATTCTCTGTCCAGTTTTGTTCCCTTGCTGGTGAGGAGTTGTGTTCCTTTGGAGGAGAAGAGGCGTTCTGGTTTTTAGAATTTCTAGACTTTCTGCTCTGGTTTCTCCTCATTTTGTGGTTTTATCTACCTTTGGTCTTTGATGTTGGTGACCTACATATGAGGTTTTGGTGTGGATGTCCTTTTTGTTGATGTTGATGCTATTCCTTTCTGTTTGTTAGTTTTCCTTCTAACAGACAGGCCCCTCAGCTGCAGGTCTGTTGCAGTTTGCTGGAGGTCCACTCCAGACCCTGTTTGCCTGGGTTTCACCAGCAGAGGCTGCAGAACAGCAAACATTTCTGCCTGATCCTTTCTCTGGAGGCTTCATTCCAGAAGGGTGCCTGACTGTATGAGGTGTCTGTCGGCCCCTACTGGGAGGTGTCTCCCAGTCAGGCTACACGGGGGTCAGGGACCCACTTGAGGAGGCAGTCTGACCATTATCAGAGCTCATACGCTGTGCTGGGAGAACTACTGCTCTCTTGAGAGCTGTCGGGCAGGGACGTTTAAGTCTGGAGAAGTTGTCTGCTGCCTTTTGTTCATATATGCCCTGCCCCCAGAGGTGGAATCTAGAGAGGCAGTAGGCCTTGTTAAGCTACAGTGGGCTCTGCCCAGTTCAAGCTTCCCTGCAGCTTTGTTTACATTGTGAGGATAGAACTGCCTACTGAAGCCTCAGCAATGGCGGACATCCCTCCCAAGCTCCCACGTCCCAGGTCGATTTCAGACTGCTGTGCTATCAGTGAGCAAGGCTCCATGGGTATGGGACCTGCCAAGACAGGCACAGAAGGGGATATCCTGGTCTGCCAATTGCGAAGACCATGGGAAAAGTGCAATATTTGGGCAGGAGTGTACTGTTCCTCCAGGTACAGTCACTCATGGCTTCCCTTGGCTAGGAAAGGGAAATCCCCCAACCCCCTGTGCTTCCCGGGTAAGGTGATGCCCCGCCCTGCTTCCACTCGCCCACCATGGGCTTCACCCACTGTACAACCAGTCCCAATGAGATGAACCAGGTACCTCAGTTGGAAATGCAGAAATCACCCATCTTCTGTGTCAATCTCACTGGGAACTATAGACCAGAGCTGTTCCTATTTGGCCATCTTCAGTTTAATTTTTTAAACATTTATTTATTTTTATCTACCTACAATTTTAGTAAAATAAATAAAGTAAGGGCCTAGTTTGTTTCATTTTTTGATGGCTCCAATTTTGGAATAATCACTATTCCTCCATTTATTTGATATGCCTAATTCATTGTATGCCAAATGCCAACATACCTTTGAGTCTATTTCGAAATTTTGGTCCATACCATTGACTTGTGTATTCATGTGCTAGTAGCACAGAATTTTATCATTTGTGCTTGTGCCAGTTAATTAAAACCAGCTGCTTTGTAGCTCTCACTCTACACTTTATTGCCCTGTTGGAGATACTGGAGCTGGCTCCTGTAAGCTAGTAGATTTTCGCTTGCCAGTAGAGAGTGCTGGAAGGTCACCATAGTAAGGATGCTTCTCTTCCTGGTTCCTTGTAATTTTCTTGCAGTGGCCAGTAGCATGTGGGTCACCCAGTGATGCTCACCTTCAGGCTTGCCAGGCCTGGTCCTTGCTTCCTTGCCCTGCTCTCTGTACTCTGCCTGACAGCTATGAACTAACTCTGGTCTGGGGAAAACTCAGGGCTAGAGCAGGGACATACTTATACTGAATTTTGGTACTTATCCAATGTTCAAATTTAACTGGAAATATTTTGTTTTTGTTTGTTTGTTTTTGGCTAAATCTGGCAGCTCTACCCAGAAGATGCTCCCTTTATTGAGGCACTGAGAAATAAACTAGAGAGAAGAGTACCAGCATCCTTGAAAATTCTAGGGTTGTTCCCCCTTTGTAGGCAGAGTATTGTCATTGGGGGTTTTGATTTGAAATAGGAGTTTCCTGATTTCAGTGAGGACAATGACACCCAGCGTAGCAGAGGCCCGCAGCAGCACTTAACAGCCAAACACAAGGGTTGGTGGGGGGCGGGGGGTGCATCTACCACAAAGGACAGCAAAAAGTCCTGGTAATCAGAATGTGTTATTCTGCAGGATCCTTGGTGGTAGCTAATTGATCACAGTGCCCCTAAGAACAAAACAGATGGGCAATTTACTAGAGTATTGGTTGATCTATATAATATTAAAAAGTCTGTAGCTATGTTTGTCAAAAACCTGACTTGAGTTACCACAGTGGAGAATCATAGCCTCCACTCAGTTTTCAGATCTAAGTCAATTCATAAACCCCAAATCCTTTTTGATTAAAAAGGGGTCTGAGTCTTGTTGCCTCATTGAGAATTGAAAGTACATAAATGTAAATCTTTCTCCAAGCTTTTCTTAGAGGACCTATGGTGATTTTGTACCGGAGAAAAAGAAATACCCAGATCTTTGAGAAGATTACTTGGATACTCACTCTGAATTGTCTACTTTCTGGGGACCTAAAATGCCACTGTGGCCTGTCTGTCAAACAGAGAGATTATGATTGCAGGTAATAGACGGAGTCTTAGCTCAAGTTGGCTCAAAGACTTACATTGTATTTATTTGCCCAGTTTTTGAATGTAGATTGGAATAGACATACTTTGTTACTGGCAGAATTCCCATATTGGATCTCAGACCTTGGAACTTTCTTCCACTTCCTACCAAGATTGTGAACCAAAAGCAATACTGTACCCCACCTCCCAAATAGTTGAAATTAATGCCACCATTAAAGACTTGAAAGAAGTAAGGACAGTAGTCTATCACAACCCCATTTGACTCATCTGTTTGGCCTGCACGGAAGTCAAAGGATCTCAGAGAATGACTGTGGACTATCGCAAACTTAATCAGGGAGTGACTCCAATTGCAGTTTAAGATGATTAATTTTATATGTCAACTACTCCGAGTTAAAAGTTGTCAAGGCAGCTGGTGAAACATTGTTTCTAAGTGTGTCTGTGAGGGTGTTTCCAGAAATTAGCATTTGAATCAATAAAATGAGTAAAGAAGATAGTCGACACCAGTGTTAGTGAACTTCATCCAATCTGTTCAGGGCCAAATAGAACAAAAAGGCAGAAGAAGGGTGAATTCTTTCTCTCCTTGAGCTGGGACATCTGTCTCCTGCCCTTGGGCTGGTCCTTGGGCCTTCAGAGTCAAGGACTTACACAAGTGGCACCCTCCTTCCTTCTGGTTCTTATGCCTTCAGCCTGGAACTGGGAGTTATACCATGTTACACTTGTCCTCAGGCCTTTCAGATTTATATTGAATTGCATCACTGGCTTTCCTGGTTCTTCAGCTTGCGTATGGCATATTATGGGACTTTTTGGGACCCATAATTAAATCTCATGAGCCAATTTCCATAATCAATCCTATTGGTTCTGTTTCTCTGGAGAACCCCAGGGAATACACAGGTGCTATCCCAAATATACTATTTTTACTGCATAAAGTGAATGGTGTCTCTAGTACTTGTTTTCCAGCCTTAACATGGAAAATATATTTTCCTCCATATCAATTTTCAAGGATCATCCAAAGCAGTTTGCTTTTACCTGGTGTGGTATTGTTCACATTCAAAGCCTTGCTTTAGGGCTATGTCAGTTTTCCTGCTCTCTGCAATACTACAGTCTGGAGAGATCTTGATCATTTTTGCATTTCAGAAACCATCACATTGGTTCACTATTTTGATGACACTATGTTAATTGAATATGATGCACAACAGACAGCAATCACTTAGGAAGACATGTGAGAACTATAGAGTGGAAAAAAAGGTACAATACTCGATGGGCCTTTTTGTATTTTGGAGGCATTATATGCCGGATTTGAGTGTGCTTCTTTGATCCATATAGAGTCACATAAAAAACCTTATGATTCACCAGATCCAATGATACTTGAAGTGTATGTGACAAATAGAGATACTGTGTGGATCTTCTGGCAGGCATTAATGGGAAAGTCACAGAGAATACCTGTAGGATTTTGGAGCACTTTTTTTTTTTTCAGATAACTATTTCCATTTTGAGAAACAGCTTCTGTCTTTATACTAAGCTTAGAAGAGAGATAGAATCTCTACCATGGGACGTCAGGTAACTATGTGTTCTGAGCTTTCCATTATGAACTGGGTGTTTCTGACACACCTAGCTATAAGGTTGACTGGGCAAGAAGCAATATATAATCAAGTGGAAATAAAATATAAAAGACCAGGCTTGGGCAGAGCCAATAAGTAAACTGAGCAGGTGACTCAGAACCTTTTAACCTGGGTTAGGGTTGCATCATCTCTCCCTCAAGTTATGACTTTGGCCTCCTGGGATGTTCCAAACCACCAACTATCTGAAGAAGAAAAAAAAAATCTGACTTATGGATGGGTCTGCACATTATGTTGGCCCTATGCAAGTGTGGACAGCTATAATACTACAGTCACACTCAGAGGTAACCCTACAGGATTATAATAAAGGAAAATCCTCCCAGTGGGCAGAACTTTAAGCAGTAAATTTAATTATCCACTTTTCCAGTAGTAAGAGATGGCCAGAAACAAAAAACTAATGTATTCACAGGCAATGGCTAACTGCTTGGATAAAGGTCAGTGACTTAGAAGGAACAAGGTTGAGAAACTGGTGACAAAGAAGTCTAGGGAAGATATGTGGTTAGACTAAAGATAGTGAATGGGCACAGATGGTGAAGGTATTTGTATGCCATGTAAATGGTTATCAAAGGACATTCACTTCAAAGGAGGTCTTAACAATCAAGTGAAGAAAAATGGCACACTCCATGTATGTCAGTCAGCCTCATTCCTTGGCCATTTCAGTTGCTGTTTAATGGGCCTATGAAATAAGCGGTCATGGTGATATGGATAGAGGCTATGTATGGGCTTAACGGTATAGACTTCTTACTAAGGCTGACCTGTCTAACATTACTAATGACTGCCTAATCTATCAACAGCAGAGACCAACACAGCCCTGATATGGCATCACTACCTGGAGAAACTGGCAAATCACTTGGTGGCACATTGATTAGACCTCTTCCATCATGGAGAGGCAGAGATTTATTTCTATTGGAATGAAAAAAATTCAGTATATGGATTTGCCTTCCTTGCAAATAATGATTCTGGCAGCCCTACTATCTGTAAACTCACAGAAAGAATGCCTTTGTCAAGGCATTCCCCATATCATTGCTTCATTTCATATCTAGGAAAGTCCAGCAATGAGGCTATGTCCATAGGGCTAACATACCCACCATGTGGAAATGCAGATTCTTATTAAAAGTTTGCTTGGTTTGCTGAATACTTATGAGATTCTTGCTTCCAACCAAGATAGAGTAACACTGATTGGATTTATCCTCCTGCATGAAATAATTAAGAGACCAGATAAAATATATAAAACAATGGTTTTCTAGACATTGGACATCAGACAACAAAAGACAGTGATCTTTGAGAGATGAGAAAGAAAGTCAGCTCTACAGTTGCCCCAGCTTACTTCCTGGAGACAATTACCAAGGTGTATTTTCTTGGAGAATTGACCTCTTTATCATTAGATAATGCCCCGTTTGTCATTAATAATCTTAATTGTTCTGAAGTCTCCTTTCTTTTAAATTAATATAGCAATTCCTACTTAATTTTGCTTAGTGTTATTACAATATATCTCTCTTCATAACTTTACTTTTAGTCTATCTGGGTTTTTATATTTAAAGCAAGTTTCTTGTGGGAAATATAGTTGTGTTTTTTTTTTATCCACTCCTAAACTCTCTGGTTTTTAATTGCTGTACTTAGACCATTCACATTGAAGGTGATTATCGATATGTTGGGTTAATATCTACCATATTTTTAACTCTTTTCTACTCATTGCACTTATTTTTCTAAATCTCCTTTTATCTTTTGTGGTTTTGATTAGAATTTTATATTATTCAATTTTTATCTCTCAGCTTATCAATTATACTTCTTTTTTATTGTTTTAATGGTTTCCTTAAAATTATAATATAAATTTACAACTAATCTAATCCCAGTTTTACATAACACTATACCACTTCACAGATAGTACAGGAACTGTACTTGTTCTCAGATAACATGATCATCTATATAAAAAATCCCAAAGAGTCATCATCAACAAGTCATTCTAGTCCTTCCAGAACTAAAAAGTGATTATAACAATGTGGCTGGAATCGAGGTTAATATACAAATGTAATTGCTTTTCTTTATACCAGCAATGAACAATTGGAATTTGAAATTAAAAACACAATAACATTTACATGAGCATAAAATGAAATATGTATAAATCTAGCAAAATATGTACAGGATCTATATGCCTACAACTAAAAAATAATAGAAAACAACAAAGAATATCTAAATAAATGGAGAGATAGTCCATGTTCATGGATTGGAAGACTCGATGTTGTCAAGATATCAGTTTTTCCCCATTTGCTCTACAGACTCAATGCAATCACAATAAAATCTCAGCAAGCTGTTTTTAGTTATTGACACACTAATTCTAAAGTTTATATGGAAAGGCAAAGACCCAGAATAGCCAACACAACATTGAAGAAGAAGCAAGGTGGAGGACTGACATTACCTCACTTCAAGACTCACTGTAAAGCTACAGTGACCAAGAGAGTATGGTATTGGGTACTGGCAAAAGAATAGACAGATAGATAAATAGAACAGAATAGAGAGCCCAGAAACAGATTCATACAAATATAACCAACTGATCCTTGACATAGGAGCAAAGGTAATTTAATAGAGAAAGAATAATCTTTTCAACAAGTGGTATTGAAACAATTAGATGTCCAAGTGCAAACAAACAAAAACAAACTCAAATGGATCATAGGCATACATGTAAAATTAAAACCATTAAACTTCTAGAAGATAATGTAGGGGAAATTCTGGGTGATTTTGGGTTTGTCAATAAATTTTTACATACACCAAAAGCACAGACTATGAAAAAAACCATCGATTAGTTGGACTTATTAAAACTAAAATTTCTGTTCTGTAAAAGACACTTTATTTATTTATTTTTTATTATACTTTAAGTTCCGGGGTACATGTGCAGAATGTGCAGGTTCGTTACATAGGTATACATGTGCCATGGTGGTTTGCTGCATCCATCAACCCATCATCTAGGTTTAAGCCCCACATGTATTAGGTATTTCTCCTAATGTTATCCCTCCCCTTGCCCCCCAAGCCCCACAGGCCCCAGTGTGTGATGTTCCCCTCCCTGTGTCCATGTGTTCTCATTGTTCAACTCCCACTTATGAGTGAGAACATGTGGTGCTTGGTTTTCTGTTCCTGTGTTAGTTTGCTGAGAATGATGGTTTCCAGCTTCATTCATGTCCCTGCAAAGGACACGAACTCATTCTTTTTATGGCTGCATAGTATTCCATGGTGTATATGTGCCACATTTTCTTTATCCAGTCTATCATTGATGGGCATTTGGGTTGGTTCCGAGTGTTTATTATTGTAAAAAGAGCTGCAATAAACATATGTGTGCATGTGTCTTTATAGTAGAATGATTGATAATCCTTTGGGTATATATCCAGTAATGGGATGGCTGGGTCAAATGTTATTTCTGGTTCTAGATCCTTGAGGAATCACCATACTGTCTTCCACAATGGTTGAACTAATTTATACTCCCACCAACAGTAAAAGTGTTCCTATTTCTCCACATCCTCTCCAGCATCTGTTTCCTGACTTTTTAATGATTGCCATTCTAACTAGTGTGAGATGGCATCTCATCATGGTTTTGATTTGCATTTCTTTAATGACCAGTGATAATGAGCTTTTTTTCGTATGTTTGTTGGAAAAGACACTGTTAATTGAATGAAAAGACAAGCCATAGACTAGTTGTAAAACATATGTCTTATAAATAACTTGTATCTAAAATATATAAATAACTCTTAAAAATTAAACAATAAGAAAACAAAATAGAACAAAAGTTTAAATGGGCAAAATATAAGAACATATATCTCATGAAAGAAAATACACACATCTTTGGTGCCTTATGGCAAATAATCATATGAAAAGATGTTCAAATCATTTGTCATTAAAAGATTGCAATTAAAACAGCCATTAGATACCACTACACACCCATTAGAATAGCTAAAATAAAAAAACTGACAATACCAAATGCTGGTGAGGATGTGGAACAATATGAACTCTCATTCATTGCTAGTGGAATGCAAAATGGTAAAGCTACTTTGGAAGGCAGTTTGACAGTTTCTTACAAAACTAAAAATAGTTTTGTCTTTTTTTTTTTTTTTGAGACTAAGTCTTGCTGTCGCCCAGGCTGGAGTGCAGTGGCGCGATCTCGGCTCACTGCAGGCTCCGCCCCCCGGGGTTCACGCCATTCTTCTGCCTCAGCCTCCTGAGTAGTTGGGACTACAGGCACCCGCCACCTCGCCCGGCTAATTTTTTGTATTTTTAGTAGAGACGGGGTTTCACTGTGTTAGCCAGGATGGTCTCGATCTCCTGACCTCGTGATCCACCCGCCTCAGCCTCCCAAAGTGCTGGGATTACAGGCGTGAGCCACCGCGTCCGGCCTCCAAAAATAGTTTTGTCTTAACATATGATCCCGCAATTGCACTGCTAGGTATTTAGCCAATTGAATTTAAAAGCTGTCTACACAAAAACACGCACATGAATCTTCATAGCCACTTTACTAATAATTGCCAAAAACTGGAAGCAACCAAGATGTTCTTCTATAGATGAGCAGATAAACTCTGGTATATGCATACAAGGGAATATTATTCATCATTATAATTCGGAAATGAGATATCAAGCTCTAAAACAATGCCGAGAAAGCTTAAATAATATTGCTAAGTGAAAGAAATCAGTCTGAAATGGCTATATACTGTGTAATTTCAATTATGTGACATTCTGGAAAAGGAAAAAACTATACAAACGTAAAAACTCACTGGTTGCCAGAGGTTTAGGGGAAGAGACAGGAATGAATAGGTGAAACACAGTGGATTTTTGGGGCAGTGAAACTGTTCTGTATAATACTATAATGGTGAATACATGACCTGATGTGTTTGTCAAAACCTGTAGAGCTTTACAACATAAAGAACAAACCTTCATGTATGCAAATTAAAAACATCATTTAGGAGGTCAGGGGATTGAGTCTAGAAAAGAAATGGCCATTTCTAGGACTGGGGAAGAAAATATGCAATATGAACCTGAGCAGCCTAGCAACTTGTAGTGTCAAAAACAAAGAAGTGCTCAAATTTTTTTTTTTAAAAAAATGACAAACACATTGATGTATGTTAAAAGAATGCAAGAGTCAACTGAAAGAACTCTTAGTAGCCAAAGCTGGAACAATTTGAGCAAAAAATAAAGTAGTATTGGATTATAATCTAAAATATAAAATAGATATTCATGAGACCATAATGATACACATAAACGATTTCATAAATTAATTAATGAGAGAGGACACAAGTTTCTCATACAAAAGAATTTCAAGTAAGTTATGTAGATATTCCACTCTACAGGGAAGGAAACGTAACTCTACACTCCTTAGGATGTTCTGTGCATTGCGACTTCTTGCCAAAGAGCACATGGGAAAGGGGGAAAAAGGGTAACCTCATAGTGGACAAACCTGACAAAAACTACTTCAGCCAGGAGATCAAGGTCAACATCATCAGTGATCAATCTTGTTGATAGTATGTACAATGAAAAGGGCACTTTACTTCTGTAATTTTTCTCCCCCAAACCCATACCTCTATACTATGCATGAGAAAAATATCAGGCAGTTTCCAATAGAGGAGCATCCTACATCATAGCTGACCAATACTCCTCATAACTGTCAAGGTCATCAGAAACAACAAAAGTCTGAGAAACTACCGGAGCTTAGAGGAACTTGTGGAAACCTGAGAACCACAAGTTATGTAGTATCAAGGATGAGATCCGGAAACAGAAGAAGAACATTAAGTAAAAACTAAAGCAATCTAAATAAACTATGAATTTTAATTAATAATAGTGTATCAACATTGGTTTGCTCATTTTAAGAAATGTACTATCCTAAAGTAAGATGTTAATAATAGAGAAACTGTATATGTGGGGATATATGAGAGCTTTCTGTACTATTTGCTTATTTTTTCTATAAATCTAAAACTGCTCTAAAAATAAAGTCATTAATAAAAAGTTACTGCAAGAATAAAAATAAAGGTAAAATAAATACTGTTTCAGACATACAAAATCTGAAAGGATCCATAAACATCAGAAATGTGCGATAAGGAAAAAAAATGTTTTAAAGAGTCCTTTAGGCAGAAGGAGAATGATAACAGATGGAGATAGGGGTTATAAAAATAAATGAAAAGCAATACGACCAGTAACTACATGGGCTGACTTTTTTCCTTATGATTTAAATATTTAAAAAATATAATTAACTGTTTAAAAGAAAAAAATAGAAACAACACATTGTGGAGCTAATATGTATAAACAGATTTATAGCCCACAATAGCATAAGGCTAGGAGGGGAGAAATGGGAATATATTGTTATAAGATTCTTATACTACACATATTTGAAGCTATACTATGGTAAGATAAAGAGGTATACTATAAATACTAAAACAGCCATTAAACAAAGCTATGTCCAATAAGCCACCAAAGAAGAAAAAATAAAATCATGTAAATAATTAATTTATGATAAGGCAGAAAAAAATAAACTAAGGACAGATTGCCCAAATAGAAAACAAGGTGGTAGACTTAAACCCAACCATCTCAGTAGTCACATTAAATGTAAACGGTGTAAATACACCAATTGAAGCCAGCAATTGCAGGATTAGGTTTAAAAAGGAAGATCAAACTATGTGCTGTCCATGAGAAATCGATTCTTTTAGATTCACTTTTTATTTATTTATTATTGATACAAGGAAACTCACTTTTAATATAAGTGGTTCAGGGCAGGAGACAGGGATGAAGAGGTGAAACGCAGGGAATTTTTAGGGCAGTGAAACTGTTCTGTGTGATACTATTATGATGGATACATGACATGACATGTTTGTCAAAACCTATAGAACTTTACAAGACAGAGCAAAAATAAAAGGATGAAAAGCGATGGTTAAAAGTAAAAGGATGGAAAAGTGATGACATAGAAACATGAGTTGAAAGGAAGTTTGAATGGCTATATTAATATCAAAGTAAATTTCACAAAAAACAAAATTATTTAGAATAAAAACTGTCACTTCACAAAATAATAAAATGTCAATTAACTAAGAAGACATGCAATTCTAAATATTTATGCACTTAATAACAGAATAAAAGCTGCCACTTCAAACAATTGGCATGATATAAAGTTTGCATTACCCATTAGAATAGGCTCTAAGTGTGTTGTTTCAAGACTTTGACTCTTAAGTTTTTCGGTTTTTCTCAACAACTCACTATATCCCTGAACTTTGAACACTATGAGTCAGTTCTGCTGAATCTTAAAAAATGGTGATATTTTGACATTTGCTGTGATTGTCTTCATACATACTTTTATGAGAAAATACAAATAAGAGAGAATAGTCTGGATTTGTTTTAACTGCAAATGTTAGTCATTGATTTAGCAAGATCTTTATAATGAAAGTTCTGTGGTCTATTTCCTATACAATTCAGAGTGATATGCTGCTACCATATTGACCAAATATGAAGTGCTTCCTCTTTGGGTGACCTGATAGCAGCAGAATACCTCTCTGAGTCATTTGATATTGATTTTTGATCTTCACTTCCTGAGATTTTTTTTAAACCCCAAACTGCAAATTAGAGTAACTTGATATTTCTATGTCTTATGATGTGATACAGAGACAGTATCCCAAAGCTCATTTCATTTCTGAGGGAGCGGTGTGTGTGTGGGGGGGTCTTATGTATGAGTGAAGAGACAGTGTTTCAATGTTACATTTTCTGTTTTTTTTTTAATTTAAAAAAACAGATGTTGCAAAACAAGATTGAGGTTAGTCCAGGACCATTTTTAACTACTTGAACATCTCCAAATCTGCACATTAATTCTGACTATATTATCAATTCAGAAATTCAAGAGATGTTCCAAAGTTTAATAACATCTTCAAATGCTTTTAGGTAATTGGTCATTTACTTTGCTAGCCTAGTGTTTGTTGTTTTTAATCTGCATGCTTTTCAGTGATGTCCAAAGCAAGTTGATTTCCAAAAGGCTTTCCAAACCTTATCTTTTCTAACAGATAAATATGAGAAAAGCAAAATTCTTTTACTTTCAGATAGGTATGATATAAGGATCATATCCACATATTGCTACGTAGTTTCATACCTCTATCAATTACTATTCACTCACCTCCTTTCCTAGATGCTTCAAATTAACTGGTAATTGTATCCCTTTAAAGAGCCCATCCCTAGAACTTGACACTGCTCTTGATAACCTATGTGGAGGTTTGAAAGGAAGCTACTCGCGGGAAGGCTTGAAGGACACCAGGTGACCTGGTTTGTCTAACAAACAGTTTTTCTTTTGCTGGCTGTTTAACCAGTCTTTGCCTTGTGTGTAGATTGCATGCTCTGACTGGGGTTTTCAGAGGGGTGGGAGAGAAAACAGATAGAGCCTGCCTACTAGAGAGGTGGAGAAGAATGAGGCCAAGTGAAAGAGAGGGCTGAAAGCATGAAAGCTACTGCAGGGAGATATTTTAGGGGAGGAGTTGACAGGATCAATATGGATATAAAGGATGCTTTTGCTACATGATATACAATATAATTTTGCTCCCCCCCTCAAAAACATTAGCAAATATAAAAATTAGGTATCTACAGTTTTGATGGGGAAAATGTGCTGAGACTGGTCTTGGGAAAAAAGAACCATGGCCCAAGTGACCGAGTGACAATCAGATTACTCCTGGAAGCAGCACTTCTAAAACAAAGGAAGAGAAAGTTATCCACCCTTTGTTTTTCTGCCGCTTCAAAGATGGCAGAGTCTATAGTGACATGGAGAACAGTGAAATGAGATGAGGTTAACCTCTTTGGAGAGGAAATGATGAGTCAGTTGCCATGGGAGTTGAAAAGATAAGTTTTTTTTTTCTCTTCCTGTGTTGCTCACAGAAGTATAGTAACTGAAGTGTTTTAATAAAAAGTTCTCATCTCAAGGCCATCAATGGCTCATCATACACGTATGTGACTCCAGCAATACAAATTAGATGGTTTTTCAAATCATAGCACAACTGAAGGGGAACAGAGAGTACTTGGAAAGCTTAAATGGGGGCAGGAGGGGTAGTCTATTGCTTCAACTTTAGTAAAATGTGTTCAGACATTTTAATAAAATCTGCTGAAAACAGGCAGACTGGTTTTATATCTTTTGGTAAAGAATCCAGTTCAAATAGAGTTGTGAGTAAGAGTAGCTTTTGGGCGAAGTGAAGGATGGTAACTGAGTTGGGTGAAGAGGATATGGGACAGAGCTCAGCAAGGGTGGGCTTCAGTCTGGCATGAAGCCAACAAGGCAGCAGGCAGTCAGGGAAGTTCAAATATTCCAGCCACTGTATTGAAAGCTTCTTTTCTTTAGAAGCAGCCTCCATATTTTAGTCGTATTTGTATTTCTCCAAGACCATACATAATTAAGTGCTTAATTTGAGCACTGGGTAGATTCAAATTATAAGAGAATTAGAGTTCTGGGTGCTCATAGGAGAAGATAGCTTGGCTTAATAACTTTTATCAGTGGAAATGAGATCAGAAGTTCCCATGCCTGCCCCATATCTGATTTAAATCACACGTTATATTCTTACTTGCTTCCTTCTTTCTATAAAAAAAATTTATACTGTTACAAATATCCCTCCATCAAAATGTCAGACCATTACCTACTCAATTATTTGGGAGGGGAGCATTTCTCATGGTATTATCCCAAATTATGATTAGAATTTCCAAGCTGTCATAATGCACAGATTTAATAGGACAGCTCAAAAAAGATTTACTTGAGAAATGTGATGAATATAGAGAAAGAAAAATGTATCATCACTCTGGAAATCCATGGATTTTCTTCAACTGCCATACCTGTACCTTACTCTTTTCCACTTCTATAATTACCTCTCCTTCCTTACTTCTATGCGCCTATTAATCCTCTACAGACCAACTTGCATCACCATCACTCCAGTAAAATTTTCTTGTCAAAGACATCATTGATCTCCATGTCGCAAATACACCAGGCATGTCTACAACTTCATCTATTCAACATCTCACTGCCTTTGGATACTGTTGTTCCACTGTCCTCCTCCTTTTATTTTCTTTTGGAGACGGAGTTTTGCTCTTGTCGCCCAGGCTGGAGTACAGTGGCACGATCTCGGCTCACCGTAACCTCCACCTCTCAGGTTCAAGTGATTCTCCTGCTTCAGCCTCCCTAGTAACTGGGATTACAGGCGTCTCTCACCACGCCTGGCTAATTTTTTGTATTTTTAGCAGAGATGGGATTTCATCATGTTGGGCAGGCTAGTCTTGAACTCCTGACCTCAGGTGATTCACCCGCCTAGGCCTCCCAAAGTGCTGGGATTACAGGCCTGAGCCACTGCACCCAGCCCTCCTCCTCCTTTTTCTTTAAAAAAAAAAAAAAAAAAAAAAAAACCTTAAATATTTAACATATGGTTATTTAACATATAGTTAAAAGATTTAAATGTACTAAAGGGCTCCTCATAACAAAACAACAGTATCTTCAATTGTCGGTTTTAACAAATAAAAGTAGGTACCACTGAGGACATACTTAGGTTTAAAAAGTGTTTATTTGGCCAGGTGCAGTGGCTCACGCCTGTAATCCCAGCACTTTGGGAGGCCGAGGCGGGAGGATCACGAGGTCAGGAGATCGAGACCAACCTGGCTAACACGGTGAAACCCCGTCTCTACCAAAAATACAAAAAATTAGCCGGGCTTGGTGGCGGGCGCCTGTAGTCCCAGCTACTCGAGAGGCTGAGGCAGGAGAATGGCGTTAACCCAGGAGGCGGAGCTTGCAGTGAGCCGAGATCGCGCCACTGCACTCCAGCCTGGGCGACAGAGCGAGACTCCGTCTCAAAAAAAAAAAAAAAAAAAAAAAAAAATTGTTTATTTACATAAAACTCAAATTTAGCTGAGTCTCCTATATTTTACCTGGCAACTCATGCCACCATGTCCTATGCCTGTTCTTCCTCCCCAGAGGCAATATTTTCTAATTTTAAAAAGCTGTTTGTTCACTTAGCTCCATATTTCTAAATAACATTTTTAAAATACTGATTTTTTACATTTTATCTTTGCTTCCACAATGATAAATGAAAAGTTAGCTCCCTTATATTCTTCCCATTTCCCTCTTCCTTATGCTTTCAGTATTCGCTGTGCCAATTATTGTTTCCTTACAATATTTAGCAAAATGCCAACACTGTCATATTCTTATTACATCAACCTTAGGTAACATTCTTTGACTTTTGCTAAGGTGGGGAAATTAGGCTTCTGCCCACGTTTTCTTTTTTCCACTGGTTCCTCTCATTCTCTGCTTTCTGTATTTATTGAATTTACAAGGTTGATACTATATGCCATTTGTTCTGTAAGAGTAATTAGGCCTACAAGTTGATTCTAAAAACTGAAAGTCAATGAAATGTTTACATTATTGTGGCTTTGTAAATATTGTTCCCTGAAGAGCCAATAATGCCTACTGTAGTTTTCTTTTTCTTTCTTTCTTTCCCTTTCTCTTTCTTTCTTTCTTTATTCCTTTTCTTTCTTTCCTTCCTTCTTTCCTTCTTTCTTTCTTTTCTTTCTTTCTCCTTCCTTCCCTCCCTCCCTCCTTCCTTCCTTCTTTCCTTCTTTCTTTTCTTTCTTTCTTTCTTTCTTCTTTCTTTCTTTCTTTCTTTCTTTCTTTCTTTCTTTCTTTCTTTCTTTCTTTCTTTCTTTCTCTCTCTCTCTCTCTCTCTCTCTCTCCTTCCTTCCTTCCTTCCTTCCTTCCTCTCTCTCTCTCTTTCTTTCTTTGATGAAGTCTCACTTTGCCGCCCAGGCTGGAGTGCAGTGGCATGATCTCAGCTCACTACAACCTCTGCCTCCTGGGTTCAAGGGATTCTCCTGCCTCAGCCTCCTGAGTAGCTGGGATTACAGGCACGCACCACTACACCTGGCTAATTTTTGTATTTTTAGTAGAGATGGGGTTTCGCCATGTTGGTCAGACTGGTTTTGAACTCTTGACCTCGTAATCCGCCCACCTCAGCCTCCCAAAGTGGTGGGATTACAGCCTATTTTTCTTTTATACTTCACCGAAACAGGACAAGTAACGGTTTCTTAAAGGTTACCTGTGATATGGAATCTGACATCATATAGTTGCAGTTTTCATACTCTGTTACATTTAAATCCATCAATCTATCTCATACTTTAAATAGATTTTTGCTCGTGTATGATTTTGTGACATCATGCATTGGTTATTTGGAAAATGTCGATTCAATGTGATTTGCAGATCCTCCAAATGTTGACACATTTCATTTTACACTATCAAAAGATAACATTTGTTACTATTACTACTGAGCTCATCAGAAAAACTTTAAGTATTAGGAACCTGTCAGGTTCATACTGGTGGGTGCAAATATTCCAAAATTCTAATTTCTGCTTGAAAGTTTATATTTTATCATTGACAATATACACTGTCAATTGTTTTCTTGGAAGTGACAGGCTCATTTAATTTATTTTAGGAAATGTCTGCTAAAACTTTAAGTTTGACTAACCATAGTCTAGCAATTGTCCAATCAATTAAAAATGGTGTAGGATGGCCAAAGTATCTAATTCAGCTCACAACTCAAACAATTGCACAAGTGCCTATCCCTGGGTACACTCACATATTTGAGTAGACTGTAGTTTATGCACACTTCTTGTTTTGACACAGAGAATATTAAAAAAATATATTCAAGAGTCAGGATTAATAAAGTTAATATTTTTGCTGCTTCATCAATGACCATCTGAATGAAAAGTGGCATTTTGTTTTTTTCTATGGAAGTGCATGGCCGAAAATTTGGAGCCTACATGTACTGCTTGGTACCACCATGCCGTGGTTTGCTAAAGTATCTGCAATTTTTCTAAGTGTCAGCAGTTTTGGCCACCATTGCTTATGCTCCATCAGTGCGAATCTCGAAGCAGTGAAAAAGGCATATTATGTCTTAATATTATTATAAAATAGCTTTGATTTTAGACTCCCTGAAAAGTTATTGGTGTTCTCCAGGGATTCATGGGACACAATCAGGGAACTATTAGTCTAGTTTGGTACTGGAGACTTTCCTCTGTGGGCCTTCTTTTTTCTCTCTGAGCTCTAATCCAGAGATTTTCCTTGGTAGTTCTGCATTACAGCTGTTGCTTTCAGGATTCCAGGTTATCTTTTTGTTGTTTCTTACCTCTTTGTTTTCTTACAGCACAAAATTTATATGTTAGTAAATTTTTCTGAGTCCTTGCATATATAAAAGTTCATTCATTCCATCTTTACACATGAAGGGTTAGCTGAACATGGAATTATAGTTTGAAAATAATTTCTACTAAAAATTTCTCATTGCTCTGTTGTCTTCTAGTGCTCACTGTTGCTATTTTGTCGGCAAGAAGATGATTCTATTTTTATTTTTATTTTTATTTTTTTTTTTTTGAGACCAGGTCTCCCTCTGTCACCCAGGCTGGAGTGCAGTGGCACAATCATGGCTCACTGCAGCCTCAACCTTCCAGGCTCAAGCAATCCTCCCACCTCAGCCTCTCGAGTAGCTGGGACTACAGGTGTGCACCACCATCCTGGCTGATTTTTTAATTAAAAACAATTTTTTTTTGAGATGGAGTTTTGCTCTTATTGTCAGGCTGGAGTGCAATGGCACGATCTCAGCTCACTGCAACCTCTGCCTCCGAGGTTCAAGTGATTCTCCTGCTTCAGCCACCCAAGTAGCTGGGATTACAGGTGTGCACCACCACACCTGGCTAATTTTTGTATTTTTAGCAGAGACAGGATTTCACCATGTTGGCCACGCTGGTCTTGAACTCCTGATCTCAGGTGATCTGCCTGCCATGGCCTCCCAAAGTGCTGAGATTCCAGGTGTGGGCCACGATGCCTGGCCAATTTTTAAATTTTTTGTATGGACAGGGTCTCACTATGTTGCCCAGGCTGGTCTCAAACTCCTAGGCTCAAGTGATCCTCCGGCCTTGGCCTCCCAAAATGCTGGGATTACAGGCATGCGCCACCATGCTCTGACTGAGAGGTGATTCTTGATTCTTTGTAAGTTGTTTCCTTTACACCCTGATTGTGAAAGAATTTCAGACCTTGTTTATACCCTTAGTGATGCTAAATTTCAACAAGATGTGCAACATCTTGTGCAAACAAAGACAAGAGTCTTTGTTTCTCATTCATCACAATAAGCCCTCAGTAGGCCCTTTAAATCTGCAGTCAGGCCTCCCAGTTGTTTGAAATATCCTTGCATTATGTCTTTGATAATTTATTTTCTATCATTTTTTTTTCTGGAACTTCCATTAGTCAGTTGTTGGAACACTTGGAAATATCCTTTGGTTTTCAGTCTACATGTCTAACTTCGTTATTTTGAGATGGGGAGGTCTTGCTTTGTTGCCTAGCCTGGACTCAAACTCCTGGGCTCAAGCAATTCTCTTGCCTCAGGCTCCCAAGTGGCTGGGATTACAGGTGCATGCCACTACGCCTGCTCTAACTTTTATTTTTAAGTATTTTCTATCTCTTTGACTTTTTGTCCTACTTTCTGAGTACAGTTCCCATTGAATTTTCCTTTTGTTGAATTTTTTATTTTGAAGTCACATTTTAATAGTCAAGACATCTTTCTTAGGCTTTGAGGGTTCCTTTTTTCAGAGCAAACTTTTCTTGTGTTATGAGGCAATATTTTCTTAAATCTCTCTGCAGACATGAAAGAAAGTTTAATGAAGTTTCTTTTCTATTCCATATGTTAAATTTTCACTTCCTCCAGTGTCATCTTTACCTGTTGATTTATCTTGATCTTTTTCTTTTACGTAGGAGGCTTTCCTTAAAAAAATCTTGTGATCTTAAATTGTCTATTTATCTTTAGGAATGAGACACTAAAAAGTTAATTGAAAGCTGTTAGTACATGGGTAGGCCTTGCCAACTTATAGATTTTACATTAAAGTGCTTCTTAGGAAGGTAGATGTTATTTATACTAGGCAATCTCTAGAAGCTGGAGAGTGTAGGTCTCAGTTTCTATGGAGGATTTTTCTTTTGTGTCAGAAATTCAAAATGCGGGGGTGAGTGTGGTGGTATACCAACAGTTATGTTCATTCCCTTCCAATCAATCTCCCTGTTTCCAGCCCAAGTCTTGCTTCTATTCTTTCACCGGTGGCATGTTCTGGACTGCTCCAGGGCTGCACAGGACAGAATGGGTCTCTTCTTAAGCCTGCCACCCCTATGTGTTCTGTGAGCTGTGGCCTCCTCTGTCACACTCAATCACTCTTCCATCTGCTTTCCATCCTCTAGAAATCATTGACATGAAGCCATTGTGATGGCTTGTCTCCTGATGTCTTTGTTGTTGTGGTTTTTGTCTTTAAAAAAATTATTTGCAGTGGGGTGCAGTGACTCATGCCTGTAATCCCAGTACTTTGGGAAGCTAAGGCTAGCATATCACTTGAGCTCAGTAATTCCAGACCAGCCTGGGCAACATGGCAAAGCCCCATCTGTATACAAAATACAAAAATTATCTAGGCATGGTGGTGCATGCCTGTAGTACCAGCTACTAGGGAGGCTGAGGTGGCAGGATCACCTAAGCCCAGGGAGGTCAATGTTATAGTGAGCCAGGATTGTGCCACTGTACTCCAGCCTGGGAGACAGAGTAAGAGCCATTCTCAAGAGAAAATTTTTAAAAAAAGTTGCTATTTTTTGCTAGAGTCTTGGTATAGAAAGGGGAGAAATGCATGTGCTCATCATTCCACCATTCTGAACTGGTCCCTCTCTCCCTTCCTTTGGCTTCTCAAAGAAGCCGTTCCTCCAGTTTTTCTCCTCCTGGGCTGACTCTTCTGTGGGCTCCTACTTCTGCACTGATAGCTCAATATCTGAGTTTCTTCTCTGTACTCTTTTCCTGGGCAATCTTTCACTACATTGTTTTAAAGTGTTTATGGACATGCTAACAGGTCTCTACTGTGCATTGCCCTGACCTTATTTGTGGACTCCAGACTCTTTATCCAATTGCCTACTTGACATTTCCACTTCAATGTTTCATAGATATTTCAATTATTGGTTTCCAGTATCACCCTCTCCAATATAGTGCCTGTATTCAGGCTTCTCTAGCTCAGTAAAGGACTCTTTACCTCTGCAGGGTCTTTTCACATCCTGTTTCCTCTTCCTGGAATACTGTTTTCTTCTCTATTTGCATGGCTTCTCATCCTTCCTATGGTTCCACCTCCTTCTCCATTTACAAGCCTCCTCCCCAGAGAAGCCTTCCGTGATTACCCTACCTAAGGCTGCTCCCTTCCTCCCTCCCTCCCTCCCACGTTAGTCTGTCTCTTGACACTCTGTTATTAAACCTTATAGAACTTTACAAATTTGAAATTATTATGTTTATTTCTTTTTCTCTTTCTTATTAGATAGTGAGGTCCACTGCAGGTAGGAACTGTTTGGTCATATTTATCAGCTTTTCCAACACTAGCGTGGTGCTGGACACATAGGAAGAACTCACCAAATATATATAGAATGGCTGTATTCTTCCATTCTCACGGTTCTATGAAAAAACACCCAAGACTGGGTAATTTATAAATAAGAGAGGTTTAATTGACTCACAGTTCTGAATGGCTGGGAAGGCCTCAGGAAACTTACAATCATGGCAGAAGGCACCTCTCCACAGGGTGGCGAAAGACAGAATGAATGCCCAGCAAAGGGGAAGCCCCTCATAAAACCATTATATCTCGTGAGAACTGACTCACTATCACAAGGATATCACAGGATGGGGGAAACTGCCCCCACGATTCAGTTATCTCCATCTAGTCCCTCCCATGACACGTGGGGATTATTGGAACTACAATAAAGATGAGATCTGAGTGGAGATATAACCGAACCATATAAATGGGTCAAAATAAATAAATGCTGAAATCTCAAAAAGCTTATTTATAATCATCTGAAACTTGCCTTAAACAGGTCTCAAAAATACTGTAACAACTCATTGTATTGCTTATTTAATTTTTTAAACTGGAAGCCTAAACACGGCTCAATTAAAATGTACAATTTTTATCTATCAATTATACTGCAATAAGACTGGCAAACAAACAAAAAAGAAACCAAAAAAAAAAAACCCAATGATTATAATGCTTATGAACACAGCTTAGACCAGAAAACAATATGAGTACCTTTTAACTGGCATTTATCACTTCCTGAATGACTCCTAACAGTCTATAGGCTTATAGCTCCAACTAAATTTTCTCTTAGTTTCTTCCTTTTATCCTTACTTGACCCAACTTGATGAAATTAACAAGGTTTGTTTGATAAGAGCCACAAATACTCAGCTTAAAATGAATTATGAATCATGACACCACCTGAGAACACAGGAATAATAAAGAGGCAAGAGTTTCCTGCAAAACCCAGACAGCTCTCTGTATTTCACTCCTTTAAACCTGCCAAATAAATGTCACCAAATAGATCAGATGGATTGAGAAGATCTCACTGTCAGGAGGAGTCGTAGTCACCAGGTTTATGTCAATTGTCCTGCTACAGATTCTTGGCTTAATTCCCAACACTCACTTCTTCGGGGAAGAAACAGGGACAAAAACTGGATTATGCAGAGAAATACGACTTGAGAAATGACAGGCAGAATAAGATACTATTCATGACTGTGGATGTGATATTTTGTGTGGTCTAGTCATCACTACAAGAGCCTTCTATTATCTCCTGGTACTAGAAATAATCACTTGTGCCAACCTTACAAATGCTATTAGCTAATGTCTTACATGCTATAATTTTTGGTTTTAATGAAAACAATTCTCAGAAATTATCATAATACCCTATTTCTGATGTAGTAATAAGAGCTATTTCTGTGTAGTAATCAGATCTTGTCTTATCACATCCAAGGGAAAGCAACTGCTTGGGGTGGGCATCTATTCTTGTCCCCCACCATCTTGTGAGCCAACTGAAGCCTTTTCAGTATCCTCCTGCAGGCTGCTCCATCACATGGGGATATTGCTCACAGGAAATACTTACCTTGTAAGGCCTTCTTCTGGTCCTAGGGGAGGTGTAAATGCAAGTAGGAGGGGCCCAGTGGAAGGGGGGCCAATGGTTGCCTGGAGAGGTGACTATGACAGAGCCACAGGTGGGGAGGAAGTTGTGCTAATTAATTGGATCTGATTCTCTGAGTCCCTTGATCTAAGCCCAGGATGACACTGTCTCCCTCAACATGCTCTGGCTAAGCTTAAAAATGCTTTATTATGAATGAGGCTGAATGAGTTTGAGCTCTGAAGTCAGACCACCTAGATTTGAATACTAGCTCTGCCAATTCCTAGCTGTATGACTTTAACAAGTCATTTAGCCTCTCTGAATGTTAATATTCTCATCTGAAAATGTGCATAAACTTGGAATCTGTCCAAGAAACTTAATTGTCTTTGTGACAATGAAGTGAAAAACTTCTTAAAACTGTGGCAACATACAATGAATACTAAATAAATAGTATTAGTTGCTATGGACTTTATGGCTATCTTCCCATCATTCATCCCCTTTTCTCTTGGAAATGACGCCACTCTTGTTTGGGTTTGCATCCCTACCCCTAGAAGGTCTTTGTAAGTTTAAATGAAGCTCTACACACTCTTGGCTCAAAATGCCTCTGGTTCTAGTCATGGGGGCCCTGGCTCAAGCCCAGCTTAATCAGCATAGTCCCACCTCATGGCCATGGATATTGGCTCTAGAATGGGCTTGTGCTCAAATTTGGTTTGATGAGATTTAAGGTGATTGTTTGAGACTTCTGGGAAAGAAGTGTTCTTGCTTTTCTGAGAGGTTTCAGAAGGGCAGTGGCATTATTATTGTTGCTATTACTATTACATTATTAATTGTGTATTACTATTCTAGGTTTTCTTAACGATACTGACATTAGCTTGTATCACCTATGAGCCTGCTGTAGAGGGAGGAGTCAGAACTGCTCACAAAATAGACAGGGATTTACTGAACTTCTCCATGAGCAAAGGGAAGGGACAAATTCAGAATCTCCACAGGACACCCCACATTTAGGACCTTTGAGATCAGAGGGTGAAAGGAAAAAAAATCTTGGGACTCCAAACTCACTATGCTAACAGAAAACATTAAGCTTGGAAACTGAGTCATGCAAAAGCTGCCTTCTTTTTGTTCCTAAACAGATAGCTGGAGTGATAGAAGGCCACACATCTCCCCAGGTGGCCTCCCTCACAAGTTACTCACAAGGAAATTCCTCATTGGCCCCCTAAAACACAGTTCTGTTGAATCTCACCTTGATAATGTAAATGTGTAGCTTATCTTCACAGATACAGAATGAAGACAGACTAGAAATCATCCCTCCACCTACCCTGAGATAAATGTATATTTAACTCCTGTTCTCTATGCTTACTTTATCCTATGTAAAATGCAGATCTACTGAGCACCAGATGAATGTATAATTGACTGCTTCTCTCCCTGCTCCTTTCACAGGTAACATGTGGACTCAGTGAGTGCTAAGACAACCTCACAAGAATGTGACCACTTGCCTCACTACCTACCCCTGCCACTCCCACCCCCATTTTCCTTTTCTCCTTCTCCTGCTGCTCTTTGCCCTTTAAACATTGAAATCCTCAAAACCCTCTTTGGAAAAAGCACAGGCCACAGATCCTACTATAACGTGTGTCTCTTTTTCCTGGGTGTGTCCTCAACCTTGGCAAAATCAACCTCTAAGTTGATTGAGATCTGTCTCAGACACTTTGGCTTACAAGTGTTAAGGCACAGAGCAACCTGGGGTCCAGTGTTGCCTCCCAAGAGCCTTTCTGAGAATGCTTCACTAATTTTTAATGGCAATAGGGCAGCAAGTTATGTGACTGAATGGGTTCAGAACATGTTACCCCCAAATATGCCACTTTGGCATATTGACTATATTGAAGTAAAGGAAATTGAGAACAAACCAGTGAAGGAAAAGCTCTTTATTTCCCCATCAACTACCTAAAAGAAAGTATAAGTTTCCCCTTTGGTAGAGGAGATTTATATTTATAAAGAAAACTTTTATTAGTAAAGGTACTGTACCAGGAAAAGAACTACTTAGAGAAAAGTTTATCACCTGAGAGACTTTTATCTACATTACAAGGCATCCTTTATTCACCATACCTTTCCTACCTCTACCTTCCCATAATTTATCTGCACCTTCCTCCCTGCTCTCCAAATCCCCAAACCCCTATTCCTTCCTATAGCTCAGAATGCTATATAAGTCTCAGTCATCTGGCTGCTTCCTGGAGTCTCATGTATTTGTGGGACTGCCATGGATACATACAAAATTAAAATTATTTTTCTCCTGTTACTTTGTCTTATGTTAATTTAATTCTTAGAACAGCCACAGAACCTAGAAGGGTAGAAGAAAAAATCTCTTGAGAACACTGCAGTTGTGAAACCTGTTATTTGAAACCCAGTTATGAGGTACTAGTGCAGGCATCACCAACCGATGGCATGTGTGCCAATTACCAGACGGAACAGTTTTCATTGTCAGGGGGATCAATTGCCACCCCACTCTCACTTACACCCACACTCTGGACCAAAGTTCCCTCTGGAAGGAACTATCACTAGACAATAAAAACAGCAGCTGACGAATGTCTCCAGCCTCATGTTGACAATTAGGTTTATCCACCTTTGGAAGACAACCTCAGCACGCCAATTTTCAAAGATTGCCAACCTTTGCAGCACAGCGCAGCAAAGCTAACTCACATTTACAGTTTTTTTGTTGTTGTTTGGTTTCCTATGATGCTTATATTTTTCTTTAACTTAACTAAATGGTAAGTAGGATAATCATTTATACTTGATTATCCAGAAACACCGGATTACAATTCGTTGGCAAAAGTAAAGACCTCTAAAAGTATTTAACATATAGATAATATTTAAGTAGAGAGAGAAAGAAAATAATCAAGCCTGATTCGAAACAGCCTTTTGGAAAACGCTTCATGAATTTTTAACTGCAAGAGGGCAGGAACTGGTTTTTATGACTCAGCTGAAGGATGGTTCCTCGTAACCCACTGTTTTCATTTAAAATGTACAAAAAGAACATTACCTACTAAATCATCAATATCACTGGCTGTAACACCTTGGGTTTCCCTTGGAGACTTGGCTCTGGCATATAAATCTGTAAGAAGCCTCAGATACAGGGAAAGAACCATCATGAGAGCCAATGGAGAGCAATCCCTCCATCTGCACCCCAACTTTGCCAAAGAGAGAGCTTTGCCCCAGATCTGGTTTCTAAGTACTGTATGTAATTCAGCTCAAACAAAAAAATCCTGGCTCACGTATTGCAGCAGCCATTATGATCTGACAAAGCATCAGTGAAATGACCAGCTCTCTAAGCAATGTAACACACCTGTGATCCATGTCACAGAATAGACCTGCCCTCAAGGAGTTTACAGCCTAAAATGTGACTGTGTGGCATTACATCCATGTAGAAAAACAGAACACATGAAGAGCCAAGGAAGCAAGATGAGGAGTGAAGACAAATCACTCTTCAGTAATCAATATCATTCCCACTTCCGTCTTGGAGCCTCAGAGACAACAGAGCTAGGCAAGAACATTTCACAAGGTTAATACCCAGGAGGCCTGAGCTCTACTTGAGCTCTACCCTTTATAGCAAGAATCAATATTAACCAACATGTGGGCTTAAAACATTGTGTTTGAAAAGTAAGATTCTCCCTAAGCTTCTGTCTGCCTGTGGTGGTGGGAAATACATCTTTGGTCTCATTTTTGGGGGCCACCTCTACTTCCCTAGTATTAAATTGCAGTCTCAACTGACTGGTAGATCCAGAATATAGGGGCAGGGTGCTCTAGTTTTGGGTTCCCCTTGCTCATGCTCTCTGAGAAATAGGCAGCTTGGGCATAGGAACCATTTCCAAGGTTGGGAGATGCTTCAAGGCCAATATCCCACTTCCCGGGCCATAACACATGGCCGTCCCCATATGGGATGTGTGGGTGTCCCAGAGTGCCAAGCATGAGCATGGTGGCCCTGGTCTCCACTCCCTGCTGGAATGCTGAGTCCCTGACCCCTTCAGCCTCCAGGAAGTATTAAAGCCCCTCTACTTCTCAAATTGACCCAAGTTTGCTTTATTCAGACTTTGAAGTTTCCTTCCACTTTCAGATACTTCACTGTCATTGTCTTCCTGAGCTTATGCCTTGAAAACAAATCAGAAACCAGTTTTATCTGCCAGATACCTGGCAACTTCTGCTTTTGGCCTCAAAACTCAAGAGTCTATTAGGCATGGGAACACACGGCTTAGTGGCCTTTTCAGTATGAGGAAGGGAACTGTATGAACAGTATGAGAATGACATGCGAATCACATTCTCAGTACGTCGTCCTGTCACACATTTGTCTGTGTGACCCAAGAAATTCAATGATCTATCCCTGCTCCCTGTACTAGTTTTAAATCCATAGAAAGGCAGGACAAAAGAAACCTGTATCTTCTTGCAGAGATTCCCAGCTATCCTCACATGTATACTCTTGTTTTCTTCCTTGTAGAACTGCTGATTAAGCTGGAGACGGGGATACTGGTAATAGACACTACATTTCCCAGCTTCTTTTGCAGCTAATTGTGGCATTCATTGCAGCCAAGTTTTGCCCAATGGGAGGTTAAGTGGAAATGTGTGTAAATTCTATGTATGTTAAGTGTCCTCAAGAAGGGACACATCTTTCTTTGTCCTTCCTTTTTCCTGGTGGCTGGAATGCAGTTACAGTGCCCACGGCTCCAACAGCAACCCAGGGCCATGCAGTGGACACTGCATGTTGAATGTGGAAGAGCAGAAGGACTGATATAGTCCTGGCTGTGACCAACTCACAGAGCTTCACAATCAGCCCTGCACTGCCTGCCTGCAGACTTCTTCCACCTTAGCTATTATCTTTAAGATAAACATTGTTATGAGCGATCCCAGCTGATATTTCTCAAGTGGCTGAGGAGCCTCCCGGCATGGAAGGCATCCTAAGCAAAGAGAGAGTCGGGCACACAAGCTTAGTGTGGTCACTGGGGCAAGTGGGGTGAGTCTGAGGATACTGAACATGTGGCACTTAGCTTATTTCCAAAACTTGACTCTCTTGGTTTCAAATAACAATATGAGAAGAGTCTGAAAGTTAAAATGAAACTCATGTTTCTTAAGATATTTGGTGAGATTGGGAACACCTTCCACACAGCTTGGGGTCCTGCATGGCATCCCTATGGGGAGCAAGAGGAGAGAGTGTTGGTGGTGGCAGTGGCTCTAGGACCAGTCAGCAGCAGTGCCATGTGTGGGCACACCAGGCAGCACCTCCTCCTGGCACCAGTAACTCTCACAGGTGAGGAAAGCTTTCAAGGCAACAGGAGGCTGAGCCAATGGATGGAGGTTTTCCAGTAGCACTGGGAGCACTACAGGTGGCATAGCTGCCCTTTGACCAAAAACCTGGACAGCAAAAGTCATTCCTCTTCAGCAGCAGGCAACTGCGGAGGTGAGGAGGGGCCAGGAGAAATGGTGGATGCTGAATGAATGCTGAAATAACTTATTACTTTGAAATATGTTCAGTATCCTCAGACTCACCCCACTCGCCCCAGTGACCACACTAAGCTTGGGTGCCCGACTCTCCCTTTACTTAGGATGACTTCCATGTCGGGAGGCTCCTCAGCCACTTGAGAAATATCCGCTGGGATCACTCATAACTATGTTTATTTTAAAGATAAGAGCTAATTTCTCTCGGGTGGAACAAGTCTGCAGGCAGGCAGGCAGTGCAGGGCTGATTGCAAAGCTCTGTGGGGACCCTCCAGAAATACCTGCGAATGGAATGGAAAGTTTTGCAAAAAGTTTGAGGTCCTATGATGGTTAGTGGGGGTCAGCACTAGAGAAAGTTTATTATCATTAACATGACCCCTTTTCACCCTGAGGTTCAGGAGGCCCAGGAAAAGCATAGGCTACATTTTCTTAAAGTCTCTTTACAGATGACTATTGTTTTTTTTACTGTGCAACATTCATTTTACCAATATACGGACTTGACATAGGCTACAGCGTCCTAAAACTGTTGTAAATTGGTTAATAGAGATTTGCCTAGAAGAAACAAACAATGTCTTATGTATAGACTGTGTAGGAGGTAATAAGTAGGTGATGGTTCTGACATGGGATTCTACTAGAAGTGGGAAAAAAACACTCCAAGGACACATAATTTTCTACATTGTAAAAGTAACAAAAATGGAGAGTGGGTGGCTAGCCAAGAAAGCAAATGTGTTTATTTAGAAGAGGCGCTTGACAATAAAAGTACCCAATCCGATTTGAGAATTTTGAGAATTAAGGCCTTGAATCCTCCCTTCTGAAGAAACATTAAATAAACAGAGGTTTGACCTTTCTCTAGTCATTTTTTTTTTTTGAGACAGAGTCTTGCTCTGTCGCCCAGGCTGGAGTGCAGTAGCACGAGCTCGGCTCGCTGCAAGCTCCACCTCCAGGGTTCATACCATTCTCCTGCCTGAGCCTCCCAAGTAGCTGGGACTACAGGTGCCCGCCACCACGCCTGGCTAATTTTTTTGTATTTTTAGTAGAGATGGGGTTTCACCATGTTAGCCAGGATGGTCTCGATCTGACCTCATGATCTGCCTGCCTCGGCCTCCCAAAGTGCTGGGATTACAGTCCGGAGCCACCGCACCCGGCCTAGTCATTTTATATAGCACAGTGAAGAGCTGCACAAATCCATTCATTCATAAGTTCATTACATCAAACATTACTTGGTTATCTGCTATATTCTAGGAATTATGTGCCATATGAAAGCAGAGAAAATTCAAAGATGAGTAAAATATAATTCTTATCCTTCAAGAACTCAAGGTCTATTGAGTGAGGAGAGAGAAAGAGTGAGAGACAAATAAATAAATCATTGCAATATCATGTGATAAATGAATCTAAGTGACTATGTGGGAACAAGAGTCACAAGTCTTATGGGGAACATGTGACATGTGGGGATATGTGATCTTTGAGTTTGGTCATGAACAAAATAGAAGACTTTATTAAAGACACACAAGTCAGGTAGGGCATTGCATACTAGGCCTCGAGAAACTATGGAGAACATTACTTTGGGAACGTGAGAAAGAGTTTGGTGTGCCTGGAGCAATGGGAGAAGGACTGGGGACCTGGTAAGGTGAGGCCAGAAGGACAGATGGGGCCAGCCTGCAGAGTACTGTGTGCCATGCTGAGGAATTGGACTCATGCTTTTACTAGTGGTGACTCTTTGAAGGGTTTTAAGCAGCAGAGTGAGATGATCAAATTGGCTTAGTTTGACAGGTGTTCAATCAACACTTACTGAGTTCCTATTTGGTGTTGAGCACTGTTCTAGGGATCAAAAGAAGAGCACACCTCAGGGAACTCACAGTCCATGGAAGAGGCAAACATAACATGCTGGGGTAGTGGTCTATACAAGATGTGTTGGGCTTAGCGCAGCCTGAATCTTCTGAATCTTCCAAAGATTCAGAAGAGGTTCCAAGAGGCCCTAAACTGAGTCTTGAAGGACTCATGTAACTAATTGGTGTTTTCTACTACAATGGGATTTCATGGAATTTTAATAGAGCTCCTGGCACCTAGTAAACATTATAGAGGTAGCTATTAAATTAAATATACTTTAAAAATAAGAATGAAGTCAACTTGCTCCATTCAGGGTCTGGAATGGTGCCTGTACATAGTAGGTGGATTCTGTCATGCACAGTAGGTGGATTATGTTATAGCAATGAAATGATGACAAAGAACTACGAATTTCAATATTTAGAATGGCATAACCAGATAGTTAGACATTTATTCAGTAAAAGAGATTTGAGAGGGGGAAAAACCAGAATCTAACATGTCAACATGTTTTCCTTCTTGGTTATGCAGGGAGCACACACACATATACATAGACACACACAGGTACACAGACACACACACACAGACACACACACATACACACCTAGCCACAAACACACACAGACACACACACACTGACACAAACACACACACTGACACACAGACATACATACACTCAGAGTCAGGTCTGGTTGAGGTGAAGCATTCCTTTTGGACATTATGAGTTGAGGCCCCTGTGGGGCATCTGAGTGTATGTGTTCAGAACATTGTTGGAAATACAAATCTGAACTGAAGAAAGGAGCAGAGGACATTGTAGGAAGACAGCAGACAGAGCACATTCTCCATTCTCTCCCTCCCACCCTCGGACATAGCAGAAGCAAATAGAAAGTAAAATAAATCCAAATCAGTGTTGGGAAACAGAATGGGAGATGCTTAGGGACTAGAAATAATGAGAAACCTCTGAAAGATAAAAGATGCATTGTATTTAAGAAAATCACAGCTGGCCTAAAACTCAGGCAAAAAAGGGAATGGTTTTGAGGGAGTCTCAAGTACAAAACCTGGACGTATGAAGACTAGGAGGGGATCTTGGACATCAGGGTGCTTTGTTGAGGATATTATGGGAGTAGCCAAGGGGTTGGACAACTTTTTTCCAAAAAGGGATTTAAATACAAAAACATTCATATAACACAGTGAGACAGAATGCAAATAAATAGTTTTTTTAAAAAGGGAAAGAGAAAATAAGGATTAGAAAGTAAGGCCAGGTGCAGTGGCTCATGCCTGTAATTCTAGTACTTTGGAAGGCCAAGGTGGGTGGGTCACCTGAGGTTGGGAGTTTGAGACCAGGCTGGCCAACATGGCGAAACCCCATCCCTTCTACAAATACAAAAATTAGCAAAGCATGATCACGAGCACCTGTAGTCCCAACTACTCGGGAGGCTGAGGCAGGAGAATCGCTTGAACCCGGGAGATGTAAGCTGCAGTGAGCTGAGATCATGCCACTGCACTCCAGCCTGGACAACAGAGTGAGACACCATCTTGAAGAAAAAAAGTAAGACGGAGCTAGGTGTGGAGTATATTAAAAATCATGCCATGAAATTCTATGCATTTGCTAGATAGAGGTGGTCACATATTTTGCGACAAACTTTCAATTAAAAGGAAAATGAAAAGGAAAACAATTACACAACTGACAGCATCCAAAGACTTAAAGACAAAATTAGCTGCTTGCAATTTGATTTACACAAGCCGAGTCTGGAATTCTGTTCACCTTCAGAGCACCCATTGGGTTAGATATGGTGGACAAAATGAACCACCAGCTGCAGCATATTTGCTTGGTGCCAGCCTCTATACCTGTTTTCTAATTTAATATTCATAATAACTTGGTCCTGTTTTGGTCCCAAACCAGTGGGCTTTACATTGTCTTTTATTTCTTTTCAGAGAAAGATGGTTCTATATATTTCACTCTCTGCCAAGTACTCATCTGTGCAAAATGAAGGTTGACCCTCTGTGTATCAATAATCTGTGAAGAAATCTTCCAGAAAATTTGAATCAAAGGACATTAACTAAAATTATTGATACTCACAGCCATTCTTTTTTTTGTGGGTGTGAGACAGTTTCGCTCTGTCACCCAGGCTGGAGGGCTGTGGCGCGATCTCAGCTCACTACATCCTCTGCCTCCCGGGTTTAAGCAATTCTCTGCCTCAGCCTCTGCCTCCCGGGTTTAAGCAATTCTCTGCCTCAGCCTCCTGCCTCCTGAGTAGCTGGGATTACAGGCACCCACCACCATGACTAGCTAATTTTTTAAAAATATTTTTAGTAGAAATGGGGTTTCACCATCTTGGCCAGGCTGATCTTGAACTCCTGACCCCATGATCCACCCGCCTCGGCCTCCTAAAGTGCTGGGATTACAGGCCCCTCACAGCGATTCTTTAAGACTACAATAAACTCTTTTGATGCCTGCTGTTGAGCAGGGTTCAATATTACTCCTTCTCATGAAAGGTTGGTTGGCCCCAAACAAAGCCTGCTACGGTCACCAGGAATCCCATGTATAAACCTTTGCAATCATTATAACTGCTTGGCCATGGGATGCTGTCCACAGGTGTTCTGTGAGGATATACAGCTTATAGGGAAGACTCAGTGTTATTGTAAATGGGTCCCACCCTTGAGTCAATTCATCTGAAAGCTCAAATGTACATTTTAGGGTAAAATTTATTCAAAGCTGATCACAATTGTGTGTACACTGAAGTAGGAAGGTGTTGAAGCACGAGTCTCTCACCCTCCCAGATATCCCATAATCTAATTGATATGCTAATGCATTTCTTTTCTTTTTGGCTAGCTAATGTGTTCTTTGTAAATATGAATCTCAGTGATATAATATCTGTAGAGGAGGAAGAGGGAAGGGTATGAGGTTCAAGTTGATGTTAATCTATAAATACTAGCTAAAATGTGTATAGATGACTAGAATTACATATCGTCATCCTAGTGTTAGTCTTCACTACTATGTTTTTTTCTCCCAAATTTAGATGTAAAATACTTCAGAGACAAAGACTTCATCTTCTCATCAGAGTGTGATATTTAAGAATGTGGGCTCTGCCAACAGACTACCTGATTTGAATCCTGGCTTCACCATTTTTTAGCTGTGTGCCCCTGGGCAAGGTGATTAACTTCTCTATGTTTCAGTTTCTTTGTTGGTAGAATGGGAATAATATCTGCTTTACCTTATAAGTGTTGTTCAGCTTCTATGACATAATATTCACAAAGGGCTTAACACAGTCTCTGTAATGTGGTAAGCATTTTAATAAAGACATGCTGTCATTATTATTGTATCACAACGCTATAGAACTTGTTATTATAACAATGGTAGATGCCAATGTGAATGAATGAGGGAAAGAGTGAATGGGAATCACCTCCAATCCTATAGTATTTTAGTAGCTGATGGAGCACACCCACCTGACCCTCTAAACTTGGTTCTCCCTGAAGGTGTTTTCCTGCTCATCGATGGAGCAATAATGAGCACAGACACATTTCACACTGTCAACTTGCTTTAGCATCCTCCAGCCTTCTGACACAACTCGTCTCCAGCTACAATGAGTGCCAGCTCCATTTATGTATCCTCCTTCCCAAATCTCCTCTATATCTGATTTCACATGGAAATAATCACAGTCAGAGTGTTTATGGAAGTCTCTATGGCAACAATCCATTCTCTGGTCTCCACGGTGACACTTGCAAACACTTATAACCTCTCAAATTCATTTTGTTTATTTGAAACGTCTCCTGATTTGATTTATCAGCCTAAGCCATGCATAACAACACAAATCTACTTCTTTCCAAGCATAAAAAGGAAAGAGATGGGAGAGAAAATGAAGTGAAATAATATTTAGGTCATGTCTTATATGGGAAACCAAAGCTAGCATTTGTATTTCATTGCTTAAATAAGTAAGGAACATGTAATTAGTACTTAAACATATATACAAATTGTCTTTTAACAGTAGAAAAACTAGATTCTTAGTTAAAAAAAAAAAGATGTGTAGAACAAACATTACTGAGTTAGTAATCAGAAGATCTGAAATCTAGATCTACTTTTAAGAAATCCAACCATTCCAAGACTGAAGATTTTCTTGGCTTATGAGACTGTAACTGCTAAAACCAGGAGAGAGCTGGGGAAATCGAGATGATTGCTCACCCTAGTGTGCACACTGGAAACAGTCGGCTGATACCTCCATCCTCATCTTCGTCATGTCATTGAGGGGTTAAAGAAAATCATTGCTGTGGTTCCTTTCAGATCTAATGTTTTGGGAGTCTAAAAAGTAGAGCTGGGCATTTTCCCCAGTAGCATCCTATTTCACTGTGAGAATAGTGTGTCATATTTCCAAAATACAAATGCATGTTAGAAGTAGAAGTGCGTTTCTTTTAGAGCTGAGTCAAATAACTTGTCAAGTCGTGAACTCTAGCCAACTGACTTAATCATACACATTCTTCTTCATTGTTCCCCAGCATTTTCATCAAACAAGGACAATTTTTTGATAGCGGGGAGAGGGAGTTAAGAGTGAATTAATTGCATTTCTTCTTTAAAAACATTGTGTCATTTAGGGCACATCATCCTGCCATTGCAAAACAACTCTAACAACCATTAAGAAACTAACTGACATGTAGACTTTTTCACCTTCCTAATTCTGCATGATAAATGAGAATGGATGTCAAAAGATGCATCAACATGCTTCTTTGTTCCATAGTAATTAAAAAACCAACATGCCAAAAATGTAAGAAATTATTCCAAACAACTCTCATTTTTTTTTTATTTTCACATAACTGGAAAGTTTACCACGTTATTCAGGAGTGTGGGAGATCGTTGAGCTGAGCAGAGATGTTTTGAACAGAGCAATGTATTGGTTTTTCCATTTCAGTTCACAGCATTTGTATGTCCCTTGAAACAATTTTCACTTGAAGAAAAATAATTGCTTTTATAGAAAGAATATGCACATGATTATTTTTGCCCTCTGAAATGCATGGCCACCATCTAAGGAGATGCTTTATTCTTCATAGATAATTCTTCTGCAACTTAGTGACTCTGATGCAAAATCATTATTGATATTCTTGGGTATGAAAAACCAAGGTGGGTAGAGGCGATCAAGCACTGAAATTTGTGGTCAAGGGCTATAAGGTGAGTGGTGTAGGGCCATAAGGTGAGAGAATAGACTATGTCTCACTAGAAGTCTAGAAGAATGCTTTAATAGGAGAGTTTATCAGTGGTTCCACCCAAGATTTCCTACAGAAGATGTTGGAGGAATGAGGACTTTGGACTCTTGTTTTGATCCAATACAGAATTTAAAGAAGGGTGAATTGGTCTCAGGGCAGGGAAAGTGTACGAGTCGAACACTTGTACCCATTGCCAGAGTCTCTTCAGGAGCAGGGAGGAAGGGGAAGAAATGCTCTGGCTTTTCCCTGTCTCTTGCTCTCTGGTACCCAACCCATTCACTAAACCTTGCTGCAAGGCAGAAGGCAAGGGAGCCTGGGAAACATCATTTCCTAAAATGCAGAGTGGAACTGAAAAGGGCAGGAGTGAGTCTAGGAGAAAACAGAAATATTACTGGCACTGAGGCTGAAATAAATTAGGGATTGCTTTTCCTCTCACAGAAAAGACGTCTGGAAGATATTGGACGTGAATACTGTGGCTCCAAGATAGCACCAGGAAGCCAAACCTCTCTGTCTTTCTGCTTTACCACTCACACTGTGTAGCTGCCATTGTCAAGATCACTTTATGGTCCCAAAATGACTGCTGTTGTGCCATTTATCACGCTCACCTTTCAAGCAGGAAACAGGCTAGATGGACAGGACACAAAAAACAAACAAACAAACAATCAAACATTGTGGGAACAATATTGTTCCCCAATATTTTCATCCCCAGGACTACCAACTTATGTCTAATTAGCTATTCCTGTTGACAAAATCAGCTGAAAAGTGTTATTTTTCAGCTGGGCAAATTGTCCTGGGTTTTTCATTTTTGAAGCACTCCCATCCTTCTGCGTTTAAGAAAAGAGAAGATTGGGTATTGGGCAAACCACGGACAATCTCTACCACAGAAAAAGAGAAAGATTGACATTTAAGAAATAGCACTGGCCGTGCACAGTGGTTTACACCTATAATTCCAGCACTTAGGGAGGACAGGGTGGGCAGATCACCTGAGACCAGAAGTTTGAGACCAGCTGGGAAACATGGCAAGATGCTGTCCCTACTAAAAATACAAAAATTAGCTGGCCATGGTGGCGCACACCTGAAATCCCAGCTACTTGGGAGGCTGAGGCATGAGAATCGCTTGAACCCTGGAGGTGGAGGTTGCAGTGAGCAGAGATTGTGCCACTGCACTCCAGCCTGGGCCTGGGCAATAGAGCGAGACACTGTCTGAAACAAAAAACAAACAAACAAACAAACAAACAAGCAAGAGGAAATAGCACAAACACAATAGAGTGGCTGGGGGGCATCTCAGACACAGGCATAAGTCTCATGATACAGTAGGATCCAAGGCAGGGAGTGCTGGGTTAAGGGTGGGGGTTATAATTTTATATAGCTCTATTTAAATTTGAGTAGAAATCTGCAGAAATGATTAAATTTGAGTATAGTTTTGATCAACTACAAGTAAGATTGGGTTCTCTCTCTAGTAATAGAATACCCTTCCAGATATTTGGATATATAAAAGAAATATCATTCATTCATTCATTCACTTATTAGAAATAATAAGCAAATACTTGGGCAGGCACTGTGGTAGGTTCTGGGTGTAAGGGTGAATAGACAGAGTTATGCCTGCCCTCCTCAAGCTTACATTCATTTTTGCAGGCTCCTTAACCTCTGGTCCAGCACTCATAAATGAATAACCTGTGAACCACGTACTTAATTTGTTTGTCCTACGTAATGTTAACTAATGCAGTATGAAAAAATATTTAAACTAACTGATAGCAATTATGGGTTGAATTGTGCCCCTAAAAATATGCGTTGAAGTCCTTAGCCCCCAATACCTCAGAATGTGACCTTATTTAGAAATAGGGTCAGTGCAGGTGTAGTTATTAAGATGAGGTCATACTGGAGCACAGAGGGCCTTTCATCCAACGTGACTGGTGTTCTTGTAAACAGAAGAGAAGAGGCACTGACACCTACACATACAACAGAAAAGTATTCTGTGACAGCCAAGGCACAGATTGGACTCATGCAGCTGCAAACCAAGGAATGGCAAGGATTGTTGACCACTGCCAGAAGCTAGAAGGCAAGAAAGGATTCTATCCACAGTCCTAGAGAAAGCATGGTCCTGCAGACATCTTGATGTGGGGCTTCTAACCTCTAGGACGGCGAGAGAATAAATATCTGTTATTTTAAGCTGCCCAGTTTGTGGTACTTTGTTATGGCAACCCTAGGAAACAAATAAGCTAAGATTTTTCAAAAAAATCAGGACTTTTTATATAAAAATTCAGACTTTCATTTTCTCTTGGAACAGAGCAGATCTGGCAAGACTGGCAATGAGGGTGGAGCCGAGTAACTACCATCTTCTCCAGAGGTAGCACTTGACTGGCTTACTTTTCTGTGGCTCTTATAGGAATTTGTATTTATACCCAGTTGCCTTTAGCTACATTGTCTGCTTCTGGCCACAGTCTTGCTTAATGCACCTGACCAGTGACTTATTTGTTGTTAGGGGGTAACTGATTTACCCAAATCTCAGTGGAGATTTCCCTGCCCATCCTAGTCAAGGGTATCACCCCTGCACTCTTTTCCCTGCTTTGTATTTCCCCATGGAACCCATCTATCTGTCTATTTATTTTAACTTCTGTGCTTTTTATTGTCTGTCTCCTCCTGCTAGAATATAAACTCTCCAAGGACAGATATGTGTTTGTTCTGTTCGCTGTGGTAGCCCCAGTGCCTACAGCAGTGGCTTGCTCATGAATACAGAAGCTACAGGATGCAAAAACTGGGATAAATTTCAGAAATCCACTAATGCAACCCCCACTAACCAGGCTGGCAGAGGGAACAAGACTTGACAAAGGTCATACAACCAATTAGCAGCCGAATGAGTGATAATCAGGACCCGAGAATGAATGATAATCAGGACCCAAATGAGTGATAAGCAGATTTTCTGTCCCCAAGTCCCATGATTGTTCTGTGGTTTCAGGCTGCCTCCCTGCTCATGTAGTCATAGTGCTTGGATCTTAAGTACAGAAATATCAAGATGGTAATAGAGAAATGATAGCCATTATGTATTATGTCTAATTACTCATCTGCTACATGTTTTCAGAACAAAACTGAAAAAAATCTTCGTTTGTGTTCCTAATATCTGAAAAGGTGACAGGAGATTTACTTCCTCTTTCATGATTATTCATACTAAAGATTTAATTACTGATATTAATACTAAGTATTTAATTGTTATGGCTTAGTAAATACTTTAACTTCAGCTTTGGAAAGGAACATGGCTGATATCTTGATAGTCACATTTTGTGTTTCTTGTTAATGAGGTAGTAATAAAAGACTACATTCCACCCACAAGATTTGAAGTATAATATGATGCTAGAAAATCAAATGATGGTTTTTCATTAGTTAACTCACCCAATTTTTATAGGAAAGATCTGTCTAGTTATTAAAAGGAGAATACCAAGTCACAAAGAGACCACTATCCGTCAGTCATTCATCTATTTAACAAAACTTAATGAGGTTATACTATGTGCCATATATCTCCAGTCATAAGCCCTACTACCCTTCTAGGACTTATGTCTTAGAGCCATGTTTTCCGAAGTGGCCTACTGATTGAGGGTGGGAAGCACTTGCAAAATATACAGGTTTATAAGCTCCAGCCTAGACCTACAGAATCACAATCTCAGGGAAAGAATCAGAAATTGTATGTCTACCAAGCATGCAAGTTCATTTTTACTAGGCATGCATTGGTAACAGTTTTAGTGGAAGAAATCAACATTAATCAAGTTTATACTAATACATGTGCAATTTCTAAAATAAGTACTATGGAAAACTGTATACAGTGATTGTTCATTTACTGTTCAGTATATATTTATTGAGCACCTCCTTTATATCAAACACTGCTTTAGTGCTAGAGATACAACTGCAAACAAAGCAGATTAAAATTTCTGCACTCACAGAACTTTCATTTTAGTGAGGAAAACAGACAATGAACACATACTCAAATGGGATAGTCTCATATGGTTTTCAATGCCATTTCCTTTTGAGAAGGCTTTCTGTGCCAGGTAACCGGGCCAGGAGGAAAAGAAAGACAAGAGCAAGAGGTTGGATGTGAAGGACTTCGTTTCTCTGCTGCTCTGGGGACCAAGCTTCGGAGGATGAGAGAGAAGCACTCAGATAAATCTAGGGTGATTTTGGAACCAAAGTCTTGATTTGTCTTTCTCTAGGTCATTCTGGAAAGATTGCATGCTTCTCAGAGAAGCCCAGAGGCTAGTGTTGAGCTACTATCTCCAACAGAGCAATTAGGAGTAGAGTAAAATTGGCTAAGAAAGGTGCTTGAAGGATAGCATAAAATGTCCTTTCTATTCCACTGATTCTCCAAGACTTTCCCCTGGAGTGTTGGGATCTAGAAGTTCCTGCATGTCTGGGAGAGGAGGGGTTAGGAGAGGGGTGGTGGCATGCAGAAATAGCTGAGAGTACTTGCTGGTGAAATATAACACAATATGCTAGCATCATACTATATTTCAAACCTTGTGGATAGAATATAGTCTTTGTGGATGGGGTGCAGTGGCTCACGCCTGTAATCCCAGCACTTTGGGAGGCCGAGGCAGGTAGATCACGAGATCAAGAGATCGAGACCATCCTGGCCAACATGATGAAACCCGTCTCTACTAAAAATACAAAAATTAGCCAGGCGTGGTGGCGGGCGCCTGTAGTCCCAGCTACTCAGGAGGCTGAGGCAGGAGAATCACTTGAACCCGGGAGGCAGAGGTTGCAGTGAGCTGAGATCGCACCACTGCACTCCAGCCTGGTGACAGAGCGAGATTCCGTCTAAAAAAATAAATAAAGAATATAGTCTTTGTTTTTTTGTATGTGTTTTTTGTTTTGTTTTGTTGTTTTACTAACTCATGAAGGAGAAACACAAAGGCTATGGGAGGAGCAATGTGACAGTGGCTGAGAGCCACAGTGTGGACCACACAAGCCAGGAGTGGATTAGAATCAGAGAGAGGAGAGAGGGACAGTTTTAGGCTGGAAGAGACTTGTAAAAAATGATGAATGTTTTCAAAGATACACATAAATTAAATAGTATAATAAACCCCACATACACCTCACTCATATTCTAGATTTTTCTCAGTCTTGTTTTTTCTATAATCCACCCCTTTTTTTGGATAGAATATTTAATATCAAATATCAGACATAATGTCATTTTATTCGTACAAACGTCAGTGTGCATGTCAAAAAATATAGGCAATTTTAACCATTACCACAGTGCTGTTATCACATCTTAAACAATTAACAATTGTTTCAAGAATTATCTAATATACAGTTCATATTAAATGTCCCTGATTGTTTTGGATTGCCTTTCTGCAGTTGGCTTGTTTGAATGGGGATTTAATCCACATACTGCATTTTGTTATTATGTCTCTTAAGTGTCTTTTAATCTAGAGCAGTCCCCTTGTATCATCAAGAGTAGGAACTTAAGAACAAAACAAGATCGGTGGGAAAAAAACAAACCATTATCCTATTTTGCTCACCAGAGCTTCAGCGTAGATATTCTCACCCTGCTACAATAATAAGAAACATTAATAATCGTGGAGAATATCATCAAACTGGAAGGTTACTTTAGGAAATTTTCCTGGGTGAATTGTATTTACTGAAAAGCAGCTAGAATCTACTGGAGCAAAGACTCTTATTCAGGAAATATTTTTATGCACTATTTCCAAAGGCCATTGGATGAATGTGCCCCTCAATTTCTCAGTTGCCTTCCTATAAATCCTGCAAGACTCATCAGCAGCACCTACTCTGACTCACAGACTATTACAGCTTATTGAGAAATAACTTGGACTTCCCAGAAGACTAATTTACGTCAGCAAGCAAAAGGATAATCACAACTATAAATCTTAAATCTATCCATGTGTACAGCTGGGTTAAAAAAATTCAATAGTATATTGTGACTTTCTACCAAAAGAGGACTTTGATTTCTTATTTTTTTAAAAAAAAATCCACAACGTTATAAAAGTCCTCCAACTTTATTGCTGTTTCTTTCCTGCTACTGTGTAGGGTAAGACCGTGTAAATTACAGCTAAAGGACCAAAGTTCATTGTTAGCATCTCTTTGTTCTGGTTTAGAGGTTGTTGGGAAACCAGAGAACAATTATTTTAAAGAAAAACAACAGAAGTTAGACAACGGTACAAATACATACAGAGAAATTTCTCACATGAAAAAGCATTATCAGTCTTGATTTGTGTAAATTCCGTTTTAGAAATTGAATTCATTCCTTCTTATTGATTTCTTGGTTAATTGCCACAAAAGTGCCTCTGGGAATGATTCCTAAAAGTTGTGATTAAAATGATCTCCTGAAATGCAGACTGTTCCCATAGCCAATCCAGGTTATTCCCCTCCATGCTCATGTTATATTTCTTTGGCCAAAGATGGATTATTTATAGCAGAAGCACCAGAGCTCAAAGCATCCTGCTTACCTTTTGTTGTCGAGGTAACAACTTAGATTTTTCCCCCTTTGGTTGAAAGGTCAGATTTCTGGTGGTATGAGTCACAGAGCTCAGGGGGATTTTAAAAATTGAGATAGTACTTTTTCAAAGACAAATTAAAATTCAGAGCCTTATACACATCCAGACCATTTAAAATTGGATTTGAACCACTAGATAGTTTACAATAATTAACCCTGACACCTCCGTTGTTGTGCTGCAGGGAAGCATGGATCAGTCACTTCACCGGTTGCAAAGACCTATTCCTCAGATTGTAGCCCTCTTGGCTATTTACTGGGTCTGTTCTTTGCTGATCGTAATTGCTGTTTCTCTTTTGCACGATGTGTGACAGAGATTATTTAAAGTATTTTATCTTTAAATTACAGATTTAGAAACTTCAAAATTACAATGGAGAATATTTTAGGATTCACTTTGAAAGATAATTTTACACCTATGACAATGATATCACTTACCTGTGGCCTGACGATTTTAAGCACATGTATTAACTGTTTAAATCGCTCTCAAAACAACCATCTGAAATAGAAAATGTTATTATTCTAAATTCCTCTTTACAAGCAAGGAAGTGAGACATAGATTGGATAAGCAACTTACTTCAGGTCACATGATTGGGAAGTAGCAAAGGCAATATTTTCTCCCCTCCATTTTAGTTAATAAGTCTGCACCCTTAACTACTCTGCCATGTTTCACTTTACAAGCTTATGACTCTAATTAAGACCCAGGAAGAAACAAAGGTGGCATTATTCTCAGGAGGGATGGAAGGGGAACTGTGCCTTCCTGAGACCCTCCAACTTCCACAATACCTCCTCCCCGATGTAGCGCCTCTCTAACCCCATGCCTAACCTGTACTAGCCAATAAGACTGTCTATGGGCCTTTAAGAGAATTTTTCTTTACAAGCTGCATTCTCCCAATCACATATCTAGGGTAAGAAGAGAGTTGAACAAAATTCCAGAAATTCACTTTATGGACTCCCCAAAATTCAACTGGGTGTCTCAAATTTTAAAGTGTGGTGAATTCAGTATGCTTTAAGTTGCATGCATGGTGACTGCAATCTACTCCTATTATAATCGTAGCTACAATTTATTAAACACATATGAAGTACTAGGTACTCTGAATGAATTATCTTTCATCTTTACCACATCCCTGGGAGAGGCAGCCAATCCAATTGTGAAGGAACTGAGAATCAGGGAAACAAGGACGTTGCCTGAGTCACACGCTGGGAAGGGACAGAGTCAGGATTAGAATTTGGGCCTGGCTTGCTCCAAAGTCCGTTCTCCTTTTGCAGCATCATTTTCTCATTTAAAACACAAAACAAAACACAACAAAAAAACACACCAGGTGTAATGACTCACTTCTGTAATCTCAGCACTTTGGGTGGCCAAGGTGGGAGGATCCCTTAAGGCTAGGAGTTCAAGACCAGCCTGGGCAACTTAGCAAGACCCTGTCTCTACATAACATAAAATAATAATAATAATAATAATAATAATAATAATAATAATAATGTCAGGGATATAACTAGTTTAGTGGCACAATCCAATGTTATTCAAAGAGAACTCTAGAAACAAAGTTTTGAGAATTTAGATGTGTGTTAGGGCTTTGTGAAATGAATTGGCACCTTCTACTGACGGTAAACTATGATCATGAAAGGGAGTGGATTAAAAAATTTTGATACAAACTCAGATTTACAATAAGTGCTAGTGTTTCTTTGCTATGTGTGAATGGCTTTTCATAATTACTGGAAAGCCTACCCCACTCTTGACAATAACCTTTGCATCCGAGGCTTACAAATACAGGCCCAGGAGGACAGAGCACCCTGGGTAATTTTCAGAGTCCTATTTAGGTGAGGAAAATAGTCATAGACTCATCCTTTCTCCCTAAAGTCAGAAGTAACCCCTGATTTCTGCAGCATCTCCCAGCTCTAATATTCAGAAAGGGCTCAACAACGCTAAGGAGTTTCATTCAGCGAAAACTATTCTTCTGGTGCTCTCCACAGACCTACACAAAGTGGGTTCATTCCCATTTATAAAAGTTTGTTGAGATCCTGGGAACACCTGACTCATATGTATTCATGATCTGTTTAACCACAGGTAAGATTCGACTGGATGCTCTGGTTTTGTACATCAAAGAAAAAATGGTTACAAAGTGATGACTTATTACACAGATTTGGATGAAGCTCAGGGTAAGTCACTTTGGCCCCTCAAGCATGGCAGCCTGATGTAACACAGGGTAGAGTGAATATTTAGTTTACGTGCCCCTTTTCTCCCAACCTCTTCTCCCCGACGTGAATGCAGCTGGCTCCTTCTCATCCCCAGGTCTCAGCTTGGATTTCCCTTCCGAGGGTGCTGACTTGAGCATTCGGGCCAATACAGGAGTGTTTTGTCATCCTCCCCGAGGGCTCTGGTTTCTCATCCCCTCCACCCTCACCCCACCCTCATCATAATTTGCAATTATGTATTTATTTGTGTGTTTATTTGGCTATGGTGTGCCTACTCAATAGTTTGCACACTTTAGTGAGGGCAGAGGCCATATCTGCTCTTCAATAGCAATCTTTAGGAGTTTGGCTCCTGGACAAAACCTGTGTGTGATTTTCCAGGCCTCATATGGAAGCTGCCCTCCCCACACCAGGCTTAGTGTATGGGCCCATGCATTGCAGCCTCTGAGGGAATTGCAGTCAAAGCCTCAGGCCCCCTGGCCAGCCTTGTTCTTAGACGTATCTGCATTCCTAGCCCAGGAAGCCTCTATGTGGAGGTCTTTTTACTGGGGTCCTTCAGTAGAGACTTTCTCGGGTGCCACTGCTGAGACCTCCTCATAGTGGGAGGAGGAGACCTCCTCATAGTGGGAGGAGAAGCCTCTCCACTCTGACTCAGTACTTTCCCACATTAGCTCTTTCCCTTCCTCTCCCCTCCCCCTGGTTCCATAAGATGGCAGGAATCTTTGGTCAGGACTCCCTTGATAGTGAGACAGTTCCCTACATATGTGTTGATCCATCTGACCCTCACTGGTGTCATTCCACAGAGAAAAATGAAACAGAAAGGGGGTTGGTGCTTCCTCCAACTTCCTCTTGCTAATACTCTTATAGTAAGGGATTATAGGTTTGATTGTTACTTTCATTTGAGCTTAATTGTCTTAATCAGCTGCTCTGATACTTGGTGCCTCAGCTTAGCTCTTTAAAACATTAGTAGGTGCTCAATAAATATTATGCAAAAGATTGAACAAATGAACCAAGAATCTCTTCAGGAATTCTGCTAAGTACTTCAATCATTCCATGAACATTTTTGAAATACCTACTATGTGCCTGGCACTGTTCTAGGTTCTTGGGATCTATACAAATATTCCTGCCATCAAAGAGCTTGTGTTATGTGCAGCCTCTCATTATCCCACTTCATCCTCACAGCTACCCTGACGGGGAAAAATGGAAAACTAGAAAGGTTCATAATTTGCTTAAGAACATAAAACTTGTAGGTAGCAGAAATAAAATTGGAAAAATCTCTTCTTTCTCTAGTGCCATGGCCTTGTCATCCCAAACCACCAGGGCAGAGTTTAGCTTCTTTTCTGATCCCAGGGATCTAGAATCCTCAGGTACTCCAAGGTCAGGGAAATCCTGGTCTATCACTTCCCAGGCATTCAGAAGGCTGTTAGAAGGAGGCTGAGGAAACCCATAAGGTGCCCTGTTGATGAAGCCTGTGGATGTAGCTTCCACCCAGCTGGCGGCAGTAGGACTGACAAGGCCTGTGCACCCAAAACCCTTCTGCTCTTACCTCTTCAGGAGCAGCCTCAACTGGGTCCTTTTAGCCTGAGATCTCTGAAAGAGGCCCCTTCAGGCTCAGTGCACAGAAGCAGGGCACAGAAAGTGGAGGCAAAAGAACTGAGAACCAGTGGTGATTCTATGCCTTTCCTTTGTCAGCAGAGTTCTAAAAAAGGCCCTTCTCTATGGGCTAAAGATTCAGCAGTGACAGAAGAGGATTTAATAATATTCCTTTTCCTTAGATTTTATTTATTTTTATTATTTTTTTTGAGACGGAGTCCCACTCTGTTGCCCAGGCTGGAGTGCAGTGGCGGGTCTCGGCTCACTGCAACCTCCACCTCCCGGGTTCAAGTGATTCTCCTGCATCAGCCTCCTGAGTAGCTGGGATTACAGGCACCCGCCACCATGCCCGGCTAAAGTTCTACTACTTTTATTGCTCATGATTCTATGTCTAAAAACTTTGCTAAATTATGCTCAAAATTTTTATTTATTCTTTGAGATTGGGTGATTTCATGGCCAATACAACCTTGAAAATGAGGCGTGGTTTTATTTTTTAACATTTTGAAGTTTGGCAGCTTTTTAGAAAGCTAAGCACATGCTAACCATTTGATCCAGCAGTTCGGCTCCTTTACATTTACCCAAGAGAAATGTAAACATGTGTCCACACAAAGGCTTATATTGAAATGTTCATAGCAGAGACACTATAGTCAAAAACTGGAAATACATCAATGATCCATCAACTGGTGAACGCATAAACAAAATGTGATCTACCCACAATGGCCACACTGGTAGCTGACTATTAAAAAATAACAAAATACTCATATGAGCAACAACGTGAATGAACCTCAAAAACACACTAGACACAAAGGCTACATATTGTGTTATTCCATTTATACGAAATTTCTAGAAATGGCAAAACAACAGATACAGAAAGCACATCATTTGTTGCCTGGATTTGAGGTGGGAGCAGAAATCAACAGCAAATGGCAAGAGGGAATTTTGGAGATGATGAGACTTTGGGGAAAGTGGACTGTGGTGACAGTTGCACAACTGTGTGTACCGTTACCAAATCTTGTCAAATTGTACATTTCAAGTGGGTGACTTTTATGGTTATATTATACCTCAATAAATCTATGAGAAGGGGGAAGAGGAATACGTTGTTTAGGCAGTGGTCTGTCTTTAAGATGAACAAAAAAACACGTTAGGTTAAAAAAAAAAAAAAAGTATTCTAAGCACAAACGATTTCCTTGGGATACGATTGCAAATTTAAAATCTGCTCATGAGGAAATTAATATTTGCTCAAACACAGTGATCATCTGACATTTCAAGCTGGTTCCTGTGTGGGTGGAAATGTGCAAGCACATCTGTGTTACCTCTTGGAATTCTTTGGAGGACTTTTTTTTGACAGGATCACAGGATAAACTGCCATCGTGTATGGGAAATGAGAAAAGAGACAATATCTGTGCTGAACTGGATGTGCCGGTGAGGTCTTTTTGAAAAAGCTGATGGGGCCAGATAGCGCTGGGGAGAGGGTGGAGAGTGATAAGGTAGGACTGGCAGCAAGATTCGAATTCTCCTCCCTCCAGCTGGCCTGCTGAGAGGACCAATGGACATAAGAAACAAAGCATGTCATAGGCCGTGCATTCAAACAATATCAATCGGCCCTCAGAGAAAGCACACAATGGTCAAGGTGGCATTTCAATAAAGCAGACAGCTGCCTTCTGGCCTGCATGTCAGCCTCCCTGCAGCCTGGAGAGTCACTTCTCTCTCTGTGGGAAAGCCTGCTGGAGGCATATTGGCTACAAGATGAGGTTTCTTTTTCCATTTTCTTCTTCTTTTTTGCAAAAATCAGCTTGAAGCTCGTTAATGTCAGGAATGAGAGTGAAGCGCTCTTACGAAATATGAAAGGTGGGGTGCAGGCCAGGGAAAGGACTAAAAGGGTGGAGGTGTTGGAAAGGTGGGATAAAAGCATGGTGGAGGGGAAGGCGTGAGCCCTGTCATTTGGGCTGCTGCGCTTGGGCTTCTATTCCCTCAAGTGAGACTATCAGAAGGAGTCCGCATTTTTCAATAGAGCAGCACGACATTAAGCGGATGGTTTCTGAACACTGGCACTTCAGACTGTGAGGTCTCTGTGGGTGGGTTTTATGCCGTGCTCTTTGGTTGCTGGAATAGAAATCCCACGGGAATCGTGTAGCAGCAGCAGACTTTGTGGATAGCAAAGAGGATTATGTGAGGTGGGTAAGAGCTTTCTTTCCCCCTTTCTTCTCTTTTCTTTTTCTTTTTAATGGGGGCATTCAATTTCCCAGAGAAATGGAACCATGTCTTCACAGCCAAAGAAAAAAGGGAGGTTTAAGGCAGAGCTCAAATAATTCAGGCCAAAGAGGATTTGTGCTGGCCACCCCCTTTCACCTTCACCTTACATAGGAGAATATATTGTGAACAAGTACTTCTGAGGCAAAAAGGAGGAAAATGAGCCAAGAATAAAAACAAACAATTCATGGGTAAGGACATATAAGTGAAAATCAATATAGGAAAAGGCTTGAAACTCCTAGTAACTAGTGAAATACAAACTAAAGCAAACATGAGATACCAGTTTTTACATTTCTAATTTAAAAAGATTGAAAGGTATTACAGTACTCTGAAGACAAGGAGCAGGCCTTCCATATATTGCTTGTGGGAATGTAAATTACAGTAGCCTTTTAGTAAGGCAACCAACAACTAGCTTTTTAAGCTTAAAAAGAAATCAGAAAAGACCCCCAAGTCCTCCTCTTTGCAATTAAACTCACAGAAATGAAAAGCACCAGCTTGTTGGATGGCAGAAAAACTGGAAACAACCCAAAGCCATGAACCATGAATCAAAGAGGGATGAAGAATTATAGGGCATCTGTATTATAGAGTGCCATGTGGATATTTAAAGAAGTGAGTTGGAGTCATATTGATTAATCTGGCAAAAATTTCCATAGTCTTTTATGCTTGCAAATGTTTCTAAGTAATACATGTAGTAGATCTAATATTTAGTAAAAAACATAAACTCCCACCTCACCCCCAAAAGCAGATAGAGGTCAATGTTTAGATGGATAGAAGAAAGAAAGAAAGAAAGAAAGAAAGAAAGAAAGAAAGAAAGAAAGAAAGACTAGGTAACTTGCTAACCTTGATTATCTTAACAGAGTAGGATGGGGGAAAAGCATTAATTTTTTTTATACATCTTTGAATTGTTCATTTGTGACAAAGAACATGCACTGTTTTTTAATTAAACAATTTCTTTAATCTTTAATTTTAAGAAATAAAAAATTAATTAAAATTAAAGAATTTTTAAAAATTAAAATCCTTTAATTAAAAAAGAAATACTGCTATGAACTCAGTCCTGTCCTGAGATCCTGTTTCTGCTATCAAACAGCTTACAACCTAGTTCAAATAATAATATAAACAAAAGCAACCAGAGAAAAACAAATGACAATACACGTCAAGATATTCTTTGCCTTTGGAGGCTGGACAACAATGTGGGCCAAGGCAAGAGGGTAGAATTATGTGTTATTTTTATTTGATGGAAGAGAAGGTAGTCAGAGATTTGAAGTACAGGATTTATGTTATGAGTGCTGTGAGAGAAAAAAGGTTAAATCTACAGGGTGGAACTATCACATCAATCTTGCCAATTGTGTTTTTTTCAAATGTTCCAAATCTTTGCAGACTATTTTTTATGTGAGAAAAATAAAGTCCTGTGTACTTAATAACAGAGACATGCTCTGGGAAATGTGTTGTTAGATGACTTTGTTGTTGTAGGTATATCATAGGTGTACACCTCTTATACAAACCTAGATAATATAGCCTACTACACACCTACACACAATACGCTACAAAGCATGTTACTGTACTGAATACTGTAGACAATTGTAACAATTCACTAGGCAATAAGAATTTTTCAGCTCCATCATAATCCTATGGGATCACCGTTGTATATGTGGTCTGTCCTTGACTGAACTGTTATGTGGCACATGACTATACCAAAAGAAGTGTTTTAACATTTCCTGTTCTAATGGTGGATTTGTCCATTTCCTTTTGAATATTACTTAAATTGAGTGATGGGTTCATTGCATTACTTATCTCTGTTTATTCTACTTTAGAAAAAATGGGATTTATTTGGTGTATATAGAAACAAAACACATTTTCCTCTGGTCAATTTTTGCATTTTGTATTTTTGCAGCTATCACAAATGAAGAATTTTTATATCTTTCTGATGAAATGATCCTCTTATGATTGCATGGTTACCATTTCTATCCCTAGTAATGCTTTTTATCTTAAAGTAAATTTTGTCAGATATTAACGTTGTTCCACAAGTTTTTTTTGACTGATATTTAACTAGTATGAGATGATTATGCCTGTTTTATTTTTTAGGTATGTCTCTGACTAATTGTTTATAGATAAGAGTTTTTAAAAATCTATACTTCTAATCTTTAAATGAAGAGTTTAGCCCATGTACATTTATTGTGTTACTGACATATTTAAGTTTTTTTTGTCCTGTATTATTTAATATTTTATAGTTGTCTCAGGCCTTTTCATTCAGTAACCTCTTTCCTTGTCTGATGCCTCTGGTATCCGACCCATAACTTTTTAATCTAGATATGGCCATTCTGCCGAAGTTTTCAGGGTTTTCAGGTTGACGCCTCAGCCAGGCACTCTACCTGACTTTGTTAACTTTATTTTTATTTGCACTTGGTGCCACACTCTTCAGCCCACTCCACCTCCAGTCCCTGGGGCCACCATTTCTCTGGGAGGAGTAGCCAGGCATTTCTTGTCACCTAAGCTCTAGCCATTGGATTCATCTTCATTCCTGACTTTTGTAGTCAACATGATCTGACATTGTTCTTTAAAATATATCTCTTTTCCATCATCTATTTCCATGACTATTATCACAACCCACATTTAAGTTCTTAGCACTTCATAGTTACACATTTAACAGCTACGATCCCATTTCCCGAGACGGTGATTAGTTATACATTTAAGCACATGACTTTGTTCTGGCTAATGTTATGTAAGACAAAGTCACTGGGAGATTCTTAGAAAAGTTTTTCTCTGAGACAAAGGGACACATAAGGAGAGAAATTAGCCTTCCTGTGTTTGGAGGTGATTGCACACAAAAGCAATATCTGAAACTGAGACCAACCTCTGTGACCATAAGGGAACGAGCTTGAAGATGAAAATCAATATGGTGAAGAGCAGAAAGGTGGAAAAGCCTAGGTTATTGATGATGTCAGTCCTAGAACCAGTACAACTAGATCCAAATGTTGTTGACATCAATTACAGACAACATTCCTCTACCAACAGCACAAAACAAAGTAGCTTAGAATATGTGAGCAGCCACTATAGAGTAGAACTGTTAATAAATATATTACTATACAGTTAATTATACAGGCATACCTTGTTTTATTGTGCTTCTCTTTAATGTGCTTCGCAGATATTGCATTTTTTACAAATTGAAGGTTTATGGCAACCCTGCATTGAACAAGTCTATAGGCACACTTTTTCAACAGCATGTGTTTACTTTGTCTTTGCGTAACATTTTGGTAATTTTCAAAACATTGCAAAACGTTTTCATCATTATTTTATCTGTTATAGTGATCTGTGATCAGTGATCTTTGATGCTACTATTGTAATTTTTTTGGGGGGCCACAGACTGCTCCCATATGAGGCGGCGAACTTATCTGATAAATGTTGTGGGTGTTCTGACTGCTCCAAGGACCCGCCCCTCTCCTCTGGTCTCCCTATTCCCTGAGGCACACAATATTGAAATTAGGCCAGTTAATATCCCAACGATGACCTCTAAGTGTTCAAGTGAAAGGAAGACTCACATGTTGATCTAGCTTAAATCAAAAGCTAGAAATGATTAAGCTTAGTGAGGAAAGTTGTGTTGAAAGCTGAGATGGGCCGAAAGCTAGGCCTCTTGCACCAGTTAGCCAAGCTGTTGAAATGGCAACAAAGGATTTAGAAGGTTACAGAAATGTAGTTGATAAAGCAGCAGCAGGGTTCGAGAGGATTGACTCCAATTTTGAAATAAATTCTACTATGGGTAAATGCTATCCAACAGCATCACATAGTCCAGACAAATCTTTCACAAAAGGAAGAGTCAGTCAATAAGACAAACTTCGTTGTTGTCTTATTTTTAAAAATTGCCACAGCCACCTCAGTCTTCAGCAATCACCACCCTGATCAGTCAGTAGACATGAATGTGGAGGCAAGACCCTCCATCAGCAAAAAGATTACAACTCACAGAAGGCTCAGATAATTGTTAGCATCTTTTTAGCATAAAGTAGTTTTAAAATTAAGACACAGTTTTTTAAGACAAAATGCTATTGCACACCTAGTAGACTACACTATAGTGCAAATATAACTTTATATGCACTTGGAAACGAAAGTTCTTGTGACTTGCATTATTGCAATTGTTTATTGCAGTGGTCTGGAACCAAACCCAGAATATCTCAGAGGTATGCTCATATAAAGAAAAGTATAATGTCTAGAAAAGGATTGATGTTCATTTATATATTTTACCCAATTCTTCCACACTAGGGAACTCGTTAAAAAAGGTTTAGCAGGTGTGGTTAAGAGGACTATTTCTGGTTTGATTCTGTTCTTTTTTTAAATTTATTTTATTTTCATTTTAGTTTTGTTTAACCCTAAGCTTGCCAATGTTTTCTTTTTTTCTTTTTTCTTTTTTTTTTTTTTTCCTGCACAATGTTTATTAGAAATCTCTGGGATCAACATCTGTAAAGGAGAAGGGAAAGAAAGTGTTGGGTAGCTACATCCTAAACTGAGCCCACAGGAAAAATTTGGAAGAAGAATGGTCCTCCATAGTGGTCTTGAGTTCAAAAGAAAGAACTCGTCCTTTGTAGCCCCATGTCCATCAGTCACTGAATGTGAGCCATGTAGCCTTGGACCTGGAGGCTGGATTAACACAATTTCAGAGGGGCTGGCTATGAAAGGGTGGCAGCGGACATACTAGCAACAGTAAGGACAACAAGATGTTCATTGTTTCACTGAAGGAAAATCTGAATGGTGCATCACTAGTTAACAAGATAATTATTTACCACAAATAAAATGGTACAATTGTATTATCTTGATCTTTATTGCTTGACATATTTTATTACACACTGCTACTTTATTCAAGTCAGAGATCCATAGCCTTAAACCTGATATTGAATTCTAGAGGGAAAATGCAATTACATGCAATAGCAATTACATGGCTAAGAGCTAAGTAGCTAATTGGAGTTGAGGTTTATCCTTTCAAAGGAAATGGCCATACTGCCCAAGGTAATTTATAGATTCAATGCCATCCCCATCAAGCTACCAATGACTTTCTTCACAGAATTGGAAAAAACTACTTTAAAGTTCATATGGAACCAAAAAAGAGCCCACATTGCCAAGTCAATCCTAAGCCAAAAGAACAAAGCTGGAGGCATCACACTACCTGACTTCAAACTATACTACACAGCTACAGTAACCAAAACAGCATGGTACTGGTACCAAAACACAGATATAGACCAATGGAACAGAACAGAGCCCTCAGAAATAATGCCGCATATCTACAACCATCTGATCTTTGACAAACCTGACAAAAACAAGAAACAGGGAAAGGATTCCCTATTTAATAAATGGTGCTGGGAAAATTGGCTAGCCATATGTGGAAAGCTGAAATTGGATCCCTTTCTTACACCTTATACAAAAATGAATTCAACATGGATTAAAGACTTAAATGTTAGACCTAAAATCATAAAAACCCTAGAAGAAAACCTAGGCAATACCATTCAGGACATATGCATGGGCAAGGACTTCATGTCTAAAACACCAAAAGCAAGGGTAACAAAAGCCAAAATTGACAAATGGGATCTAATTAAACTAAAGAGCTTCTGCACAGCAAAAGAAACTACCATCAGAGTGAACAGGCAACCTGCAGAAGGGGAGAAAATTTTTGCAACCTACTCATCTGACAAAGGGCTAATATCCAGAATCTACAATGAACTCAAACAAATTTACAAGGAAAAAACAAACAGCCCCATCAAAAAGTGGGCAAAGGATATGAACAGACACTTCTGAAAAGAAGACATTTATGCAGCCAAAAGACACATGAAAAAATGCTCATCATCACTGGCAATCAGAGAAATGCAAATCAAAACCACAATGAGATACCATCTCACACCAGTTAGAATGGCAATCATTAAAAAGTCAGGAAACAACAGGTGCTGGAGAGGATGTGGAGAAATAGGAACACTTTTACACTGTTGGTGGGACTGTAAACTAGTTCAACCATTGTGGAAGTCAGTGTGGCGATTCCTCAGGGATCTACAACTAGAAATACCATTTGACTCAGCAATCCCATTACTGGGTATATACCCAAAGGATTATAAATCATGCTGCTATAAAGACACATGCACCCATATGTTTATTGCGGCACTATTCACAATAGCAAAGACTTGGAACCAAGCCAAATGTCCAACAATGATAAACTGGATTAAGAAAATGTGGCACATATACACCATGGAATACTATGTAGCCATAAAAAAGGATGAGTTCATGTCCTTTGAAGGGACATGGATGAAGCTGGAAACCATCATTCTCAGCAAACTATGGCAAGGACAAAAAACCAAACACCACATGTTATCACTCATAGGTGGGAATTGAACAATGAGAACACATGGACACAGGAAGGGGAGCATCACACACTGGGGCCTGTTGTGGGGTGGGGGGAGGGGGGAGGGATAGCATTTGGAGATATACCTAATGTTAAATGACGAGTTACTGGGTGCAGTACACCAACATGGCACATGTATGCATATGTAACTAACCTGCACGTCGTGCACATGTACTCTAAAACTTCAAGTATAATAAAAAAAAATACAGCACTAACACCCCTAAAAAAAAAGCAAAACAGTGTTTCTAGGTCTAATCTGTCTCCCAAATTGCAATAAATATGCTAATTCTAAAGACGAATATTTTCCATAAATAAAAAAGTTATTTGGGCAAGTAACCTAACCGGTTTCTTCATCTATAGAATAGATGATAATAGATGTTTCACAGTGCTGTATAAGCAGAAGTTCTATCCACACTTTCTTTAAAAGCTTGCCAATGTTTTCTTTCCTTGGACAGCATTTGTCTTATTTTGATATCCACCTGCAATCATATTAGAAACTTAGTAAAAACTACTTAGTGATTCCACTTTGCATTTGCAGCCTTATGACCAAAATGTTTTGAGTCTAAGCCTATCCATATGCCAGAAAAACTTCAGGAACTGTTAATGTCTCTTCTTTTACAGAAATTCCACCTCTATCTTGATGTAACAGGGTTGATCAAGAAAATTAGAAGCCGAGGGGCCAGAAAGCTAATTTCCTTAAATGCAACAAAAAGAAAAGTTTTTCCAACTACCCCTGTGCAATAAGAAATATTTCTTTCAAGTACCAATTTCTTCAACTGTACAATGAATTATAATTTGAAGATTTTTGAAAATAATAGAGTAACAACAAAATATGATAAAATTAAAACTATATGAAAATAGAGTAAATGGAATAATAATTCAAATAAAGACTAAAATAAAATGACATTTATTATGGATTTTGTAATCAGTACACAATTATATACTTAAATTTTACTTTATAGACATAAGATTACAGCCAAGGAGGTTAATTTCAAATTTTATGACCAGCCACTTGTATTTTTTTATCACATATGAAAATATTCACTCTTACTACTTTACTTCAAACAGTGACCTATAAATTTATTTAGACAATAATAATTAAAGGCCTTTTCTTTTTCAGGACAATAAAAAAATTAAAGGACATTGAAAATACTGCTAAAGAAACTTCACTTCTTGATTATGGCCTCTGCATTGAAGATCTGTAGCAATTATTTTAATTAATTTTCAAATCTTCCCACAGCCTCTCTGTTCAAAGAAATATTATCTTGAAATAATTTTTGTGAATACAAATCAAAAATTGATCCACAAGACAATTCTACTATAAAGACACATGCACACTTAGGTTTATTACAGCACTATTTACAATAGCAAAGACTTGGAACCAACCCAAATGCCCATCAATCATAGAGTGGACAAAGAAAATGTGGCACATATGCACCATGGAATACTATGCAGCCATAAAAAAGAAGGAGTTCATGTTCTTTGCAAGGACATGGATGAAGCTGGAAACCATCATTCTCAGCAAACTAACACAGGAACAGAAAACCAAACACCGCATGTTTTCACTCATAAGTGGAGCTGAACAATGAGAACACATGGACACAGGGAGGGGAACATCACACATCAGGGCCTATTGGGGAGTGGAGGGAAAGAGGAGGGAGAGCATTAGGACAACTACCTAATGCATGCGGGGCTTAAAACCTAGATGACGGGTTGATAGGTGCAGCAGACCACCATGGCGCATGTATACCTGTGTAACTAACCTGCATGTTCTGCACATACATCCCAGAACTTAAAGTAAAAAAAACAAAAAACAAAAAACAGTTGATCTACAAAACAGTATTACAAGTCACTTATTTTAACAAGTCTGCTAAATATTTTCTGCATGAGTTTTCTTGATTACAATATATTGATAACATGGACACACTTTTTTTTTTTTTTTTTTGAGACAGTCTCGCTCTGACGCCCAGGCTGGAGTGCAATGGTGCGATCTCCGATCTCGGCTCAGTACAACCTCCGCCTCCCGGGTTCAAGCGATTTTACTGCCTCAGCTTCCCGAGTAGCTGAGACTACAGGCGCCCACCAACACACCTGGCTAATTTTTTTGTATTTTTAGTAGAGACGGGGTTTCACTGTGTTAGCCAGGATGGTCTCGAGCTCCTGACCTCGTGATCCGCCCGCCTTGCCCTCCCAAAGTGCTGGGATTACAGGCGTGAGCTACTGCGCCCGGCCAACGCACTTTTAATATAACAGAATATTTAGTTACATCAGTTTCCCATCCACCTGCTAAAATCATTTAATGATTGTATTGGTCATTCCCACTGATTGGTGGGAACTCTTATACTAATGGTTCCCATAATTTCCACTGCATTATTTTTCTTGCCAGACTTAGTTCATTTGCAGCCTGAAGAATCGCTCTTCTATTGGGCCACCTTGAAGTTGGTCTTCTAGTTCTTTAACATCTGGTTCCACTTCAGCCATAGCCAGCTTATCATTTGTAATCTGTTCTGTATGCTTTTTATATGCTTCATTTTTAGGGATTTGCTAAAGAATATCAAGAGTCTTTGTGTACAATATTCTTAGCCTCTCATGTAGGCTCTTTCATAAAGCCAATGGTGTTCCTCAGTGTCTGATTCTGTTCTTGCTATTCCATGCTCTCCTTGCCACCATGTCTTTATATCAAAACTTTTACTATCATTTACAGGAAAAAATAAATCTCAACCTCAGCTTAAGTGATAACTCTTATTTTAAATTCTGGCTCTTTTAAAGTTATGGATAAGGAGGGGTCCTTCATACATACTGAAAGCTACCCACCACAAGTTACCATTACTTTTATATTGCATTGCTACAAGGTAGTTCATCGCCTCTGAGAAACTTGAGGTTCTTTTCTTGTTATCTGGGGAATGGTTCAGCCTCTGTTTGCTTGGAATTGCTTTTGTTGGGCTATCCCCAACTCTTCTCTGTCCTTTACCTCCATTCAATGAGGGATTAGAATAAGTTTATTTATTTATTTAGTTAGTTAGTTAGTTATTTTGAGACGGAGTCTTGTTCTGCTGCCCAGGCTGGAGTGCAGGGGCATGATCTTGCTCACTGCAGCCTCTGCCTCCCAGGTTCAAGCGATTCTCCTGCCTCAGCCTCCCAAGTAACTGTGATTACAGGTGTGCACCACCGTGAGTGACTAATTTTTGTTTTTTTAGTAGAGACAAGGTTTTGCCATATTGGCCAGCCTGGTCTCGAACTCCTGACCTCAGGTGATCCACCTTGTCCTCCCAAAGTGCTGGGATTACAGGCATGAGACACCGTTCCTGGCCTAAAATAAGTTTAGGCACTGCTGAAGAGAAAGAGCAGGCATGTTTTATATTTTGATGCTTTTCTTGGTTAATTTCAATGAATTTCTTCATTGCAAAGAAACATGGACTCTAAACTACTTCCTGTGTAACACCATTAAACCTCCTTCCTGCTGAGATTCAAGCCTGGAGTCTCACAGTACACCCAGCATGATGCTTGGGTTGGTGGGGATACATACTGGTTTAGAATTTCCAAGGGACTGAGCTACAGTGGAGTTTATTTTTGCAGCCTGCCCAACTTCCAACTGGGGAGTTGCAATTTAATTAGTGAAAAAGCTGAGCCACTTTTCCTTATTCTCTCTCTGTGAAGAGGCAAGATGGCGGTAGGACTAGATTGCAGGACAAAGGGACTCTTCACTCTATTCCTTACCTGGGAGGGCAAAGCACTTTATCTAGGGTGAAGAGGAGAAAAAAATGAACAAAAGTTCAACCTTAAAGAGAAGTGAAAATGGCATAAAAAATGTTATGAAACGAATATAAAAATGGTAATTCCAAAATAAAAATAGATCAGAGTTAGATATTTTTACATGTAGGAATCTGTGACTTCCTGAATGGTAACCACTTTTTCCATGGTTTAAAAAAATAAATCAGTGACTTATAAAGCACTGTTTCTATCCTCCAATTTAGGAAGAACATTTGGTGTATAGAAAATAAAATTATCTGTAGCTTTTATCTGTAGCTTTACTGTATTGACCTTTTAAAGTATTTTTTTGTTTGTTTTTGTAAAAACGGGGCCATTTTTATGTGACATAAACATTTTTAAAAGTGTTTTCACCACTCCCAAGTCAATCGTCCTGTTATTTTGGACTCTAACCTGCGTCATTTGATTTCACTGAAACGCTTGGGGCATCTCTATTGCTACATTGCTGTAATTAATCATTTCCTTTTCAGTTAATCTGGCATGGGGCCTCTCTTTAGCCAGACATAGATGTCTCCTCTTCTCAGCTCATATTTTTTAGTTTTATCTACTTCCATGTGTGTTCTCCATTGGAGTTTATTTTTGTCATTTGGTCATTCATTATGTGATGACAGGAGGGTGGGAAGAAAGGTAATTGGCTGGTAGGTGTCTTGATCAAGAGGAAATCCCGATCATATTTATTTTTAAGAAGAAGAAAAAGAAACCAGAATACACAAGAAATAACTTCCAAAGATTCAAATAACTAGGAGGAGAGCTTTCCTATGTAAGCGAAAAGCTTTGATGACAATGTTTTCTTAGGGGGCTAACATACTAAATAGAATAGAAATAGACCCCAGTAGCTGATATGAGTTGGATGCAAAACTTCCATAGAGTTTCAGGAAAAAAAATGCTTTTATTATAGAAAATGTAAAACATACAAAACTAGAGAGACTAATATATTGAGACAATAGAAAGTAATGAAATATACTCAAGACCCAACTTAAGCAATTGTCACTTTCCACGGATCTCTTAATTTTTTATCTTCTAAATAGGACTTCCCTGCAACTTCAACTGGTCAAACTTTAAGGGAATCAAAGCCTCCCTCAAACGAGGGTAAGTGGCAGCCTTGAAGATTCCTACAAAATGCTTTTTTAAAAGGTGAATTATTTTATTTAAGCATGCATGCATGCATACATAAAGACAAATACACAAATAAAATGTATAGCTCAAGGATCCTTTATTAACTACGTGTATCTCTGTGACTAACTCCTAGGTCAAGAAACAGAATATTACCAGCATCCCAGAGTCCCCCTGTGCCTTCTTCTAGTTATTAGCTCCTCTGGAGATGAATGTTATACTGGCTCTGTCCCAATACATTAGTTTTGCCTGTTTTAGAACTTCATATAAGTGATTGAATCGTATACTATGTACAAGGTTGCATCTGGCAACTTTCTCGCCAATTATGTTTGAGAGATTCATTGTAGTTTTAGTTCATCTTCATTGCATATAGTGCACCATTGTAGGGATACAGCACAATTTATTTATCATTCTACTGTTGATAGACATTGGGATTGTTTTTAATTTGGGGTTATTACAAATGCTGCTACTATGACTATTCCTATGCACATATTCCTATTTACATTCCTGTTGGGCATATATCTAGGGATGGAATTACTGTGTCACAGGAATATAATCAACTTAAATAAATACCGTCAGTTTTCTAACATGGTCATTTCTATTTACATTGCCACATGCGGTACATAACCTCATCAGGATATGGTATTGTTGGTCTTTTTAATTTTTTTTTTTTTTTTTTTTTTTTTTTTTTTTTTTGAGATGGAGTCTCGCTCTGTCCCCCAGGCTGGAGTGCAGTGGCGTGATCTCGGCTCACTGCAAGCTCCGCCTCCCGGGTTCACGCCATTCTCCTGCTTCAGCCTCCCGAGTAGCTGGGACTACAGGCGCCCGCCACCACACCCGGCTAAGTTTTTTTTTTGTATTTTTTAGTAGAGATGGGGTTTCACCGTGTTAGCCAGGATGGTCTCGATCTCCTGACCTCGTGATCCACCCGCCTCGGCCTCCCAAAGTGCTGGGATTACAGGCTTGAGCCACCGTGCCCGGCCTGGTCTTTTTAATTTATGTCACTCTGGTGAGTGTACAGATATATCACATGTACTTTTAATTTGCAATTTCTGGCTAATGAGGTTGAATACTTTCATGTTTCGATATTCTCTTTTGTAAAGTGCCTCTTTTGCTCTTTTGCCTATTTTTTTCTGTTGGTTTGTGTGTCTTTTCCTTATTGATTATAAGAGTTATATATTCTTGAAAAATATGAGCCATTTGTCAGACATTTGTGTTGCAAATACCATTTCCCACTGAATGACTTACCTTTTCATGGCCACTGGTTTTTTGTTTTGTTTTTTAGATAAATACAACTTTTTCATTTTTATTTTTAAAATTTCTGGTACCTTTTGTATCCTATTTAATAAACTTTCATTTATTCCAAAATAATCTCTCATGTTTTCTTCTGAAAGTTTTATTGTTTTGCACTTCATATTTAGATCTACAATTTATCTGGAGTTGATTTTTTTAGTAGTATCAGGTAGGAGGTTCAGATTTATGTTTTTCCTATATAGGTATGCAATTAATTTAACATAATTTGTTGTGATGACAAATCCCCACTTCTCTGCTATATGATTTTTGTCATTTGTATTCTTATATATGTGGGTCTGCTTCTGGACTCCCTATTCTATTCCATTAGCCTATTTGTATATGATTATGCCAATACTACACTGTTGCTCTAGCTTTATAATTTGCCTTGGCAGTGGATAGAACTCCTCTTCCAATTTTGCAGTTCTTCTTCTAGACTGACTATGACTTGCTATACTTAGTCCTTTGCATTTCACATGCATTTTGGATTACTATATCAATTTGTCTGTTTACATACACACACACACACACACACACACACAGACACACACATATACACACAACACCCCTCTGCTGAAATTTGTATTGGGATTGTATTGAGTATTTGGATCACTTGGTTAGGGGCCAGTTGGGTTCTTTGTGTATGGCAGGTGGGCAACTGCAGGCAGAGGAGGCTGGAAAGGTAAGTGGGCCTAGATAAGGCAGGGCACAAAAGAGGATGTTAGGTATTTTGAACTTTGTTCCAAGAACAGAGAGAAGCAGGGGAGTGTTGACAATTGTTGATCATACTTATATGGCCCTTGCCAGTGGTTGGCTTTGTGAAGCTAGAATTCTGCTTTGTAGAAGTGTAAAGCACCCAGAAAGCACATATGTCCAGATGTCATTTCTTACAAAGTCCAGTCTACAGCTGCATTATCCTCTTCATTACTATTTAAAATTACATAGAAGTGACTTCTAGAGGATGAAGTCCATCTCAAAAACATAGCTCCTTTCTTATTCACAGCCTCAAATTAATTGTTCTTAGACTAAGTGGTACTAATAACCCACAGTCAGTTTAATGGCCTCTGTATCTATGTGACAGGAATGCCGTCTCATAGCCCAGCTGTGTAGAGAGAGCAGGGCATCTTCACGGGGTTGTTGGAGCCTATTGTCTAAGTAGTATCTTTATAGCCTCTCAGCAAACAGGAAGAGCTACATCCCCTAGACAGCTGTGGTTTTTGATAGTCTTGGGGAGGGGGTCATGCTGGGAAAGACAGGAAGGAGAAGAGAAGCATGCAAATTGAGTCCTACATAACTTTTACATCCAATATGAGCCAGGATTCATATGTGCTCATATTGAGTGTCCCTGGGTCCTCTACCCTCTCCTGATTATGGATTTGTGTAGCATATGTAAGTCTGTGTATGCATATATATAATACATACAATTTTGAAAATGTAGAGAATTATACACGATTATCAACCAGGAGAGCTATTCCCTTCATAATCAATGAGGACATCACTCTCTGTGGTTGTGCATTACTCAATCAGCTCATTTGTAAATGCAGCCCTGCTGCCATTATGAATTTCTTTACTGATGGAAGAAGATGCCAGCCCAAGTTACTCTTCAGGCATCCTTTGATCTGCCTCAATTTGGCTTAAAAAGCAGAACAGAAATAATTGTGGTGATGAGTCTATTGGAACCTAAATCTACACGTCAAAAAACAAGACAAGAGTTTGTAATTATCCTCTTCAATCCTCTCTTTTCCTTAGTCTGTCCAAAGAGCTGGATGGCTGAGCATGTGCTGTGTAAACTGAAGGGGTTTTCCAGGAGCTTTCTGAATCCAATTACTAGTAACAAGTTCTTCTGAAGTCAAGTTTGCACAAAAGTGGTCAGATCTGGTGTCAAATCCAGGTCTCCATTCTATGCCCTCTTCCTTAAAGCCAAGTTGCCCTTTGTGGTCCTTGGTATCATTTCCTACATAAATATCTTGGTTTGTGCCATTTTCATTTATCATTGAAATTTTAGTAGAGTTGAGCCTCAAAAAGAGAGAGTTTGGATCTTGTTCTTATTTCTCCCCAAATGAGCATTTTTAATTTTCTGAGTAAATTTACTAAACTTTTCTTAATGCCAGGACATTGGGAAGAGAAGACTTTGTTCGGTTGTAGAAGATTCTGTTACATCCTTCCTCAAAGACAATGATTACCACTTACTCGTGGTGCATTTGCATACCTTCAAAAATCCAAGAAAGGAAACGGAGTCCTCTCCACTGAAGATCTACTCTAAGGGATCTGCTGCCTCCATTCAGACACAACTATCTGGAAGCTTCTCAAGACTGAAAAAAGTTACATCTCACTAGCTACACGACAATATGTAAAGTATTTGGCAATGTGCCTTGTTAAGCATTAAAGAAATGGCAGTTATTATTAAGCTGTCACTATTTTGAAGTTTTGCATTTTTTGACATTGAAAATATAAGATGAAACAAATAGTAAAATAAGGGAAGAGGAGGTTCATCAATGTATATTTTGCAAATACTTAGGGTTTTTTTTTAGCTGTTTCTTTTTAAAAATTCTGGATATCATTAAATGCTGGTGGTGACTTTTTATCATGCAGGAAGAAATATGTGAGTTCTATTTGTCACAGAACACTAAATCCCCAGGAAAAGGGACTACAATTCTCTAAGTCTCTTATGCTTACTTCAAACCTGTGTTAGACTATTGAGTTAAGGACAACTCTGTCCATACACACTGAATTAGCAAGCAAGTAACTTTTCTCTAAGGACTTGTTTTTCCCAACCTCACTTGATTCTGTTCTGAAGCATAAAGTTGCTTAATAATTACAGTAACAGATGATATTTTTAGCCATATGTCCAATTCTATTAAAATTTTATGAGTTAGTCACATTGTATAAAATTCCCATGAGTAAAGTTACATAAAAGCAATGGGAGGAGGTTATTAACGGTTAGTGGAATGCTGGAGAAAAATCTTACATAAAAATGTCTGCATTTTGTTCCTAATGTATAATGGCATATACCCCAGTCCTCTGCTTAACATTATGTGTTTGGTGCCCTTTCGTGATGCCACCCTGATTTACAGCAATGACAGAATAGAAATTGAGTTTCATTCACATGCTTTCAGAAGTCACACTCCAGAATAAAATTTTGGATCTGCCCTTATCTAAGTACTTTCTTCAAGAGGAATATTTAAATTATGGCTTAAAGAAGGTTCAAATTAACTGGAGAAATGTCACAAGGAGAGGCCAGTGGCTATCCAAAGCCCTCTGAAGTTGTTTAAACTTGAGTTATCCTTATCCTTGGTCTAGGAGTCTTGTTCCATAGGCATTAATGCCTGATTCAGTTAGTGTCTGAGAATAGATTTGTCTCATGGACCAACTCACTTTAACCCAAGCTCATGAGAGACCAATGTCTAAACATCAGATGGCTTATGTATTAATTTATGATGAAACTATAACTGATGTGGGAAATGGAAAAGGCATCAGAAGATCAGAAAGTATGGGATTCCGAAATAGTGATTTTATTGTATGTTAAATGTTATTATGCTATGATAGTATGATGTACTCATTCATATAAAATACACATATCTGCATTGTCTAGCCTCAAGGGAGAGTCTTGGAAATATTACCCATTATTTTACTATGTTGCAGAATAGGCCGTGGCTCTGTTGTATTTTTAAACACATATGGTATGGACATTCTGGTGGTGGGTGGGGAGGTCCAACCACAACCTGTAATATGTGGTGCAGAACTGCCCCACATATTACAGGATGTTTTTCTTTTCTGACCCCTACTACAGATTACAGTGATGCTCTCCAATCTTTACAACAACCAAAAGCGCCCTCACATACTCTTCACTGCCCCATGGGGGGAAGGAGTCTACTCCCAGTTAAGGTCCACAAGTGGGCCTCAGTTGGAAAGAGTCAAGAAATTATAAAACCTTTTCCTTTTACATAGCATGCACAATTTTTGATTGGCTTTTTTTCTTAGATTATTTGGCCTTGTGCTTCTCTTTCTTTAGATAATCTCTTAGAGGTCCATGTCATAGATATGATATGATAACCAGGGACGTCTCACAGGAGGCTACCTGGGGATCAGGATAGAGTACATGGAGAAGAATCAAGGAGCAGGCTCTAAGGGCCTGTGTTATCAATGTAAGTGCATCCTGGTACATTTTTTACTGGCAGAATCTGCCCCCCCAACACAAAAGATCCTACATAGAACTCCAGTGTAATCTTCAGACAAGAGTGAAGTGCTTTGGTAGAAATGCTGATGCAGTGGAGGGTAGGAGACAGCTGGAGGGAGACGCTCTGTCTGCTCAACTTCCTTGGCAGTCCCCCATGAGATAACTATATGAAACCTTAGTGTTCTAAGGATAACAATTTTAAAAACTCTGATCTAGGCTCATGCAGGGTTTGGTTGTTTCTGCTCATTAAGGTAGACAATGACACATGGATTTGAGGCCAAAACTCTACCTAGTAAAATGGTGTGTCTCTGTCTGGAGTGTGTGCTCAGGAGTTTCCAATGGCAGATGACAACTGTTTCTAGATCTGGGAATTCAGACTTGGCTACCTTTTCCTCAGAAGCATGAGGTTACTCCTGCATTGGGAAAGATTACTCCTCCCTTCCTGGGACCATGCTTCTGGGGCTGTACGTTGCCATACTAGTATCCTAAATTCTCTTTGGTGCTCTAGTGCACATCCCCACACCTTGCTCACTGCTGACTAGACACAGTAGTGTTTTTCATTATCTCTCTCCTACCTTTGAACACATTGTCTATTATTAGGGTGGGTTTTTATATAGCTGTCCTGATCTACTCTGTATTAATTTTGTTGTTTAACTTAGTAAAGGCAAATTGTATTTTTTTTGGACCTCTCTGGAAGTCCAGAGGCACTCCGCTGTGGTCTCAGGGACCACCAATCTAATTTCTGTAGTTGTCTCTAGGTACAATTAAAGGGAAAAATACAACAAAATCTAAGAGATCAAAAGAAAACCTTAACTTTTAGTTGTAGTGTGTCTTTGTACACCCCCAGTAATTGTAAGGTGAATGGTTCACAAATAAGGATGCTTCCATGAGTCCTGAGTGGTCTATTTTCAATACAGAAAGAAAAACTTTTGACTGGGGTGAAGCTGAAGAATTATATATTCTCTGAGCTCTCTCCCTTCCTCCCCAGAACAAGTACACTTTGGGTAGGCAACAAATAAATTAAACAGCTGATATGACTATTACCAAGAAGATTCTGCCATATCTTCTCTGACTTCTAAGGCCAGCCTGAGGCAAAACATGTTTTTCGTTAATGGTCCCAGGTTCGAACTATTCATATTTGGGTGTCTCTTCTCTCCCTTCTATCCTTTCTTCCACTTTTGGTACCCACTGCCTTGTTACTCTCTTCTTTAGACCACCAAATCGGCTCTATGATTTTTTACTTTTAGCTTTACTTTTTAATTTTAACCAAAAATATTTAAAATAAAATTGCAAGCTGATTATGTTAGCAGAATCTTAGGCATCAGGGAGTTGAATAAGAATTTTAAAGATGGTAATAACTTTCTAGAACTCTGAACATCACTTCATGTGAGGACTTACCATCTTTCTTTCCACACTTCAAAGAAGAGGAGTTGATGATCTGACTGGTCAACTTGGGCAACATTGACTTGTGAGTGTTCGTATTGTTCCTTCAGGTAAGACAGCACTCCCTAATCCACACTCACTTTTCAATCCATGAGACTTAGTGGGGCCATGGCCTATCCTCTGTGACATTTTGACCATTTCTCTCAACATGAATCAGAAGCTGCTCCACAGAACCTGAAAGCTCACTCCTTCCTTCTCTCAATTTTCTTACTCCATGCATTTACCCCAAGATTACAATATAAGAAGTGGTAGAAGTTCTGCTCAGAACTTAATTCTCAATTGTTTACTTCAATCTTTGCCTTCCAGAGAGCTCTACATTTGAATAGTGGATATGTGTGTAGCTATTGATGGGAGTGAACTTTACACTTACTTGGTTGTTGTTCTTTGCATAGAGTTCTCACAGGTACTTTTATTGACAGTACAGAGTAGGGGAGGAGAATTGTGGGAAGAGAGTAGCATTAATTGGCAGAGCAGGAATAGAAAAATCCTAGGTCTGTGATCATGCTAATGATGGCCCCCCAGCTCTACCATGATGTTATGAGCTCGTTGGAGTTCATTTTTCAACTGCAGAGTGTTTCAAGAGCTCAAGATATTCTCTAGTGAGAGAGAAAATTTCTCCTCTTTTTCTCTTACAATCACATAGGTTAGAAAGGGGAATTTAGTAAACCGAGATTAACCAAAAATAGTGAATATTCATAGAAACTGAGAATCATGAATGGTGGAAAAGTCCAGGCTTATAATTAATTAATATCAATTTACCATCTGTTCCAGATTGACTAACCCATCTGGTGTCTGCTGCCAGCTAGGATCAACACATCTTCCAGATGCCTCTGCTGAGTGTATTATTAAAGTTTGTACTTGATTTAAAAACAGATGTAGAAGGGCAAAGTATAGTGTTTAATCACAATTAAAATTGTGTTGGCTTTTACTTTTCCAACAACTCTAATCTAGTCATATGAAATCATTAGCTATGCTAAAAGTGTGCGTAAGAGTGACAACTGGAGTGTGTTGGGGAAACTTAGTCATAATGGCAGGCACAGCCATTGGTAATGGCAACCTTGGGTATAAGAGAGGAGTAGGCTTAGAGAAATTCAATCTCCTCATCAGAACCAGAGAGTTGTGGTCATGTAAAAAGGCTGGCAGGAGTCCTCAAAATCATGCTCACAATGACAGCTACAGACTTATTAAACAGGTGGCTATGCAGGTGCTGTCCTAGGTTCTGAAGTTTGGAGTACAAGAAGGTAGACACAGCACTAAGGATAGTTAATTGCTAGTAAGGCTTGAATCTGCCCCAAATAAGGCCTCATGGGAAGTTCACATAGGCGGTCAAGAGGCTGCGTGGTGTAGAGGGAACAGAACACTGAACTTGAAACATAGGATTAGGGTGTGAGTCTTGACTCAGCACTTCACTAGTTGATTTTGGAAAATCATTTAACTTCTCTGAGCTTGTCCTCTTATTTTTGAAGGGTTGTCACAAGAATCCCAATAAAATTCTTCATAAACTATAAATCAAGATAGAGCTATTTTATATTCTTTTAGAATGAGTCAAGATACAAATTGATTTTAATAATCAATCAACAAAAAGCCTATCATGTAAAGTATCCAAATTGTTATTTCATTAAAAGAAAAAACAATGAAAGATCAGATTGAAGCCAGACAACTTACAATGAAGCTCATCCATGAAAAGTGAAAAACTTTCCTGGAAATAAAAAGTCAGAATAATTCTTTGATAAATCCTTATTAATCATTATTATTAATGATAAATCTAAATCATTATTAATTTAGTGTTTTTTGAATTAACCTCACTTTTGTGAGATGGCCAGGTTAATACAGTGTGAATTTACTCTAGTAGATATTAATTGAGAACTTACTAGGTACAAAGTGCAGTGTTAGGCATGGAAAAGTGCATGACCGATACACATCCAGTATACATGGGCACAGCTATTTTACTTGTCTATGGTCAGCACCCGTTCTTATTTGTTGATGTTTGTTCCATACTGGTTGTTAAAGATTTTGACTATCATCTCTAGATAAAAGGATTAATACAACACAGTTTCTCATAGCCTTTGCCCACACCTGAGGTTCATAGACTCTAACTTACATTTACATTTCAATGGAAATTTATGACTTACTAGCTTGGCCCATATTTTCTTTAGTGTTGTTTTTTCTTTTGCTGACCATTGATATTTTCTTCTACTTGTTATTAAACATGAAATGATAAAATGTATAATATAGAAAACTTATTATCTTGACATGTTTACAAAATAAGTAACACTATTATTTTGTAGGCTGAGCCAAGAGCTCAGAAGTGATTGATGTATTTTCCAAGGAATAGTGACTAGGATGGTGAAGGAATTGAACCCATGTCTGTCTGACCTCAAATTTGGACCTTTAACCATTTCCTAGTGAATGTTTAACAGGATTTTTTCCCCGTCATGGGCTCCATTTTTCCTTGGGTTATACTCTACTTCTCTCTAGCACTTCAATTCTTCATCCATCAGATTGTAGTTCAGAATGGAAGGCCACGTTCACACAGTGAAAAGGAGGAACTTTCCTCTCTCACCACAGCCATGAAGATAAATGACAGTTATCCTATGACCAGACAGGAACATGACAATCACCAGATCAGAGTTGGTAGTGATCTGTTATCATCAATAAAGAGGAGTTTTTTTCTTCATTGCAAAATATTTTACTACAGAATGCATAGAATTCTGGGGGTTATGAGAACAGGTAAGACTCCCATGGGTATCTATATATCAAGGCACTAATGCCTATAAGCGCCATACAAAGCATAATAGACATCAGGATAATTCCTCTAAGAGACCTGGAGGAATAAGAGACAATTTTCATTATTGTATCCTTATTATAAGCTGGATACTAGATGGGGAATTTTCATTCATTGCTTCACATAATTAGGTGGCTTAAATTCATTTTTTACCCTTTTTATAGGCAGCCTTCTGACTTCAGTTTCATGGCAACTAACCATGTACTAACCTGTGCTAACCTTTTGGATGCTGGTATTTCTCATTGTCTTTTTCTTCTTCCCCAGTATGAGCAGGATTGTGTTTGAAAGATCATATTGACAGATTGCTTCCAGGGGATATTTTTAGTGCTATGGATAAGAAAATCTTCAGCAAAGGTCAGATCTTTCACTGTTTTAATTAAATTGCAGAGAAAAGAGATTATATCATAAGGGTGGCCAGCCAGCTAACTCTGCAGCAATATACACCAAGGCATCATAAATCTCCTTCATTACCATGCTCATGTAAGAGTGATGTGGGGCACCAAGGCCAGGTTTTAATTTAAAACGAGGCTTCATAATTACTTAGAGTTTTTTTAAGTTGTCAAGGGATATTTAATAATGTTTTATAGATCCACAGTGATTGTGATTATTACTTTTTATTGGTATAATACTTTATTACTTCCCCTGCAGGCATGAGTAAGCAACTTTTTTAAACAATAGGGTCTTGCCATTAGTTACTAAACACCACCAACTTAATCTTTTCTGTGACTACAAGAAGATATATGTCTTTATTGGAAGTTTTCAAAAGCATTTTCCCACTTATTTCCCTTTTCATGTGTTCTCCAGATGAGAAAGTTGTTTGAGTCCCTTTTGAAACCAAATGTCTTATACAGATTTTCTCATGAGAAAAGATGCTTTGCTCCCAGGGAGAGATCATGTTAAAGATAGTTCCTGAAGTGTTATGGCTATGACTAGACTGAAACATGGCTTGCTTTGTAAATGAATACATTCTCACTTAGGATACATCTGTTTCTTATTGGGCCACAAGCAAGCAACAATCCAGCTTTTCAATGATTCAGCTCAAATTGTCTCTTAGAGTGGGTAGGCAATAATGAATTTTAAAATTAGCTTTCTTGTGTTACAAATTAGATATCAACATATTTATTTAAAATGCTAGAAAATACCAAAACTGTGTTTAAAGGATCTAAAAGAAGGCTCTTATCTCAAGAGCTACCTGTGACATGGTTATTTGTGGGGTGTTTTTTTTAGTAGATTCACAGTCAGTATGCAAAGACAGAAGCAGCTGTGCAGTGTGACACATGAGAAATGGACATCAAGACTGTGTGGACACAGGACAATGCTATGATGAGTGAGTGTTAGTGATTATTTCTTCTAATGAGGAGCTCCTTTAAAAAAAAAAAAAACTTTGATTGAGAGCTTTTCTCTCCACATGCCAATTTAGCTGTAAGCCTGTCTCCTGAGAAGAGTGTGAAATGTATCCATTAGCTTCAATAACTTTAGCTTCAGTGACAATCTTGTTCTTTGGTTGGCTATCTGTGCTCTATAACCTGTCCCTTCCATAACTACTGCCCTAGTTCTTTCTTCACCTTTATGTCCAAAATACTTGAATTATTCCTGCTATCTCCATTTGCTCACCATCCTCTCTAATCCATTCTCTCCCTAATTTGGCTTATGCCTGTTCCATTTCACTGAAACTGCTTCAAAAGGTCACTGGTTGCTTCTCTGTAAAACTTAACAGTATAGACCACCCTGTTCTTCCTAAAGCACTTTATTCTTTTCGTTTCTATGGTACCACAATATCTGGGTTTCCTCCAACCTTTTAAACCACTCTTTCTTTGTCTTCTGGATGGAATTCTTGTCCTCTGCTAGTTTCTTACATGTAATTCTTGCTCAGAGTTCATTTCTAGGCCATATCTCACTTTCCCTGGTGATGTCATTCATCCCCATAACCTCAGTTTCTATTAAGTGTCAGTAATTTTCCTTTCTCTATCTCCAGTTTAGCCTATTCATGGAAGGAGCAGACCCATTGAGACAATGGTCTACAAGACATATCTACTTCAATATATGGCAGGGACTATAAAATCAATCTGTCTAGAATCGAGTACATCCTGTCTTTCCCAAGCCAGTCATCCAAACACACCCTATGTTCCTTATTCATAATAATTCAAAACAGATTACTACTATTCCTCTGAATGCCTCTACATTGTACTTATTTTCTGTATTCAATTCTACTCTTCCTGTTCCCATTTTACTACCATATTCCTGAACACCAAATTTCCCTGCCTGAACCTCCCCAATAGCATGCTAATTGTTCCAACCTGCCTTATTTCCCTACAGTTATGCTCCGTCCTACAGATAGAATCATCTTTCTTTACTGTAAATTTGATCATTTTATTTTCCCCACCGAAATGGTTAATGTTTTTCCAAAGCTCTTAGGATTAAATGCAAATTCTGTAACATGACTTAAAATTGCCTACTTGTTCTGGTCTCTTCTTAATTTTCCAGCTTCTTTTCTTGATAAACCCAGAATCCCCTCTCCCCACAGATCTGCCAAAGGGCTCAGCTTTCCCTCAACTTAGAGGATCTTCGTGTGCTGCTCCTGCTGCCTGGAGTGCTCTTGCCACCCTCCTTTGCCTGTTAAAATATTACTCTTCTTTAGGCCTCAGCTGTATTTTTCTTCCTATAATTTACTACAATTCCCACCTCACTCCATAGACTGTAAGGCCCATGGAGGCAAGGGACATTATCTACTCTTTAAGAGTGCCAGCCGGGTGCCATGGCTCACACCTGTAATCCCAGCACTTTGGGAGGCCAAGGAGGGCAGATCGCGAGGCCAAGAGATAAAGACAATCCTGGTGAACATGGTGAAACCCCGTCCCTACTCAAAACACAAAAATTAGCTGGGCATGGTGGTGCATGCCTATACTCCCAGCTACTGGGGAGGTTGAGGCAGGAGAATCGCTTGAACCTGGGAGGCAGAGGTTGCAGTGAGCTGAGATTGAGCCACCGCACTCCAGACTGGCAACATAGCAAGACTCCATCTCAAAAAAAAAAAAAAATAAGGAGTGCCTGGCCAATGGTAGTTACTCACTAGATATTTTTTGAATGATTGAGTATATTTCAAAGTCTAACTTCACAGCAACTTTATTCCAAACATCCTCACTATGCATGTTTCTACTTTCAAGGAGCTCTGTTGAGCTAGTGTCAAAAAGTTGATTGTCCACTAATTACATTAGATAATCAGATCCAGAAGCAGCTACCAGTGATATGAGTTCTTGTGTCAACATTGAACTCTGAGCTTTCAGTGGACTTGACAGAGATGAGTGTCCAAGTGCCGTGGGAAGAGCCTGTACTAAGCAGGTGTCAGCATGTAGGCTTCCAAATGCCCTCTATTCCTGGATGACTGGGAGACCTGATTTGGGCTCTGCCAGCTGCTCTCCTACTTTATGTGGCTCCTCCTCAGTGCTCACTTTCTACTGCTTTAATTACTATGATTGTTCTCCTCCCCAGTTACACCCAATTAGCACTTTATTTCTTTTCTCACCTCCTACCCTATGCACCACTTCATGTGTTCAATTGAGTCTATCAGTTATCCTGTGACCTGGCCAGTGCGCTCCCTATGTAATAGTGAAGAGACTAAGACTAGTTTTTAATTATATAGATATGCAGTGGCCGAGTTGAGCTTTGAGCTCCAATGTCAGTGCCCATTTTATGGTTTCTGGAGGGTGCAGACCCTTCCTACATATCATTGTCACCTGTCATGCTCAGGGCATGTGGTAAATACTTCTCATTAGGTAAAAGTCAGTAAAGAAATTCAGATGTTCGAAACAAGAGAGAATGGTCTTTCTACTTTATGTTAATCCATTTAATGTGGTTTCTTAAAGACTGTGTATAGGTATATTAAGCACCACCTGCAACCACAGCCAAATAATTAACCAACAGAAAGAGCAAAGAGTGAAAGGGTGTAAGGCTTTACCTTAACCAATGGTAAGGACTGTTGACCTTCCAGAGAAGTGACAGCACAGAAAAACAAGAATGGAGTGTGACAAGGAGGCTGGAAACAAATAATTGGGTATTTTTCACTTTACATCTGAATCCTATAGTTTGGTCAATATGCATTCTGCATCAAATGTGCATCATACAATGTCGGTGGACTATTTCAGACACACAAATTTAATGTGATTTAAAATGAGGCATGAAATGCACTTATTTTTAATCCTATAAGTTTTTTCACAGTAAGAATGAAATAAATATTTTTACTTCTTGCGGATACTATCACTCCCTATTGGGACTTTCTTAGGATAGATAATATACTCATTTATTTAAAGGTATGAGGAAAGGACTAACGCTTGATTTTGACAAAACAAATTGTAATAAATCGTGAAAATTGCGAGCTTTTAGACAATATTAATCTATCTAAAAAAGAGCAAGATATATAAGGATTTTAAGTAATCAATTATCCAGAAATATACTTATATCTCTGCTTAAAAGGAAATGCTTAAATTAGCCATGTGAATCAGGGGCATGAAAATGGATATTTGAACATTTGGTTTGTGTCTCTGGGTAGCATGTGTTTTTTAATGGCACTGCCTCTGGCCTAGTTATCACCTCCCAGTCTCTATATCTGAAGGTGTCTTCTTACCAAGGTTTGCTTGATGAGGAAAATCAACAAGCCTGTTTACCCTCCTACTCTCTGATCCTCTCTCATTCCCTTGATCCTCTTTTTAGAACCCTTGATTATAAGTTCCAACACGGCACTTGCAACCTGGATAATTAAGTCAGATTGGTGAGAGAAAATGAATATTCTCACCTGCAAAAGAAATGATGGGATAATGATGAGTAGAGAAAAAGGACATGTGGATTTTTGTGTTAACATGTCTTAAAATATCCCAGGAGTCACATTGAGAGCAAATATAATGTCCTAGGAGTACTGGACATCGTTATTGAATGTTGAAGCACTATGGGTCAAAATACCATGGTGACTGTGGTAAGAGTAATTGCTGATAACAATGTTTTGTTAAAGCAAATTGTGAAAGTGGTTGCTGAATTAGCCCTAGAAGTAACTACTGTGTAAGAAAGCTTAACAGAGTCACTAGTTAACCAAAGTTGATGGCTCAGTTAGGAAAATAAAAGAAAAACTGGATGGCAACACACACACACATGAGAGACCAGAAATGCCCCAGCTGTGTGTGTGTGTGTGTGTGTGCACGCGTGCGTGCATATATCTCTATTTCTCTCTACCTTGCATCTTTCTATATATCGCCTGATGAAATCTCATTAAACTGGTATAATAAGCATCCTACCTAGACCAAGGAAGCCCTGCAAGTTATCAGCAGACTCTATCTCTGCCTTATGAAACATTAAAAGTAATCTTTTGGATTTGCTAAGACTGTGATAATTTGTGTGTGTGTGTGTGTGTGTGTGTGTGTGTGTGTGTGTGTGTGTGTTTTGGCACATTGATCTACCAGTTAGTTACTAGATAGATCAACAACTCTGAAGGAAACAGAAAATTGATGTCTAGCTGAGATCTTTGGACTTAATTAAAAGGGCTCTGATAATAGCGCTGTATTTTTTTTTTTTTTTTTGCCATCCACATCATGACTGGTGTTGAAAGTATTTCCTGCTGTACTAAGACAAGAACCGTCAACTCGTGTAGAGATGACTGTGAAGTGCATGTGCAGGGAGATGTTTTAAGAGTGTTTGTGTACATGTGTGTGTTTGGGAGGATGAGAGAAAAGAAAGGTCTCAAATTTCATAATTCTCTTCCAGTGTATTGAAAGTTAAGATACTTTGTTAAGAACATGAGGACTGTCTTAAGGGATATGCATATGGCTACTCTTTCAGGCTAAGTATAGAGAAGTGGCTAGCCAAGGAACTGGGTGTATTTGAAACGTGCTTATAATTTTCCTTGCAGCTTACATTTAAGAACGTTTCATGTGTTTGGGTGTAAAAGCAAAGAACAAGAAAGGCCGAGTCAAAGAGTGATGTTGTTCTGTTCCAGCTTTTTAAGGAATTCCTGCCCACAGTTCTGCCTAAATATTTTCATAATTCCTAGTATCACTTTAGAAATATTGCTGGGAGGGCAGATAAGAGGTGAACTTGGCATCATATGACCATGAGACTTTTTCGAATGAATGTTGTTACAAAATAATAAAGTCATGCAAACAAGCATAAAAATGGAGAAAATGAATTTGGTGTAATCTAAAAATAAAGTCTTAAATATGAAAAAAATCAATAAAAATAATTCTAATGGAAAATGTAGCTGTATATTAAGTTTACTTTCTCTAGTCTCCAATGTGCACTAAAACAACAGCTTCTTTATTTTCGATGGCTGAACTGATTTTACTTAAGAGGTCCCTGCTAGCAGGGAAAAGATTTGCTGGTCAATAGCTTTTCAGTTTCTTCTAGTTTAAATTGCCTTGTTTCTGAATGTTCAACAGCTAGTGAAGAAGGGCCTCAACGGCCGCTTTTGGATGGCTTTCTTTTCCTGCTCAAGATGAAGCAATGGAGTCCTGGTATATGAAGGGAAACTATCTGCATTTCTACAGCAGGGCAACTGGAGTCTTAGATCCACTGACTGTCCTCTGGCTCCCCATTTCTCTCTTCTGTGATATGGCTGGTCTACTCTTTGCCTGCACGGGTGACCCGTGACCTGCAACAAGTCATTATTGCAATTTGAGAAGGTGAGCTGCCACCTACTCTTGGATCTGAAGTCCCAGCCACAGGTCCCCTCTTTTGTAGTCTCTTTTGTAGCAGCCTCTTATTCCATCCCCAAACCATTGCCAATTCACATCCCTTCACTGAAGGGCATGGAAACTTCCAGACCCCCTGCTTGTTACACATGGACTGAGTGATTTCGCCAAAATAATCTGTGTGCTTAATAGGGTAACCCCATACTGCTGCAAACCTCTACACAGAGGCTCTTTTACCTGACAACACCAGGGTACTCGGCCCATCTGGCCTGTTTTGCAATTTTCTGTCCTTGTACTATTTCACAGGAAAAGCTGCTGGGCTTGAAAGCTGCTAAAACATCAATACCCAGGTTTCTTTCTCATCGTTTGGTGCAAGACTGAAAGGACAACATTCAGAGATTGTCATTATTTATGTCTCTTTGAAACCAGAGCTAGGGCTTAATCTTAGTGGGATTTAGAGACTTTAGTTTCTCAGGTGCTGAGGGAGAAAAGTACCATGGTAATAACTCCTTATTAATTCATTTTCGATGAAGATGCTACCATGGGAAGCAAAGCCAGGAAGGCATGATCTCAGGTGTATCCGCAGTTACTCACTCAGTCTTGGTTCTTCATTTTTCCCCAGACTGGGATGAGGGGCCTCTCCGACAGAACCTCCACTGGCCAGCTGCACTCATGGCTCACTCTGGGGGCAGGGACGGATGAGGAGAGACTGACTAGGTGCTTTGCCATAGGTATGGCATGCCTGCTGCTTTTGGCCCAGTAGCCCCAACCAAAGGGCAAGAGAACAGGAGAGGCCCTACCTCCTTTTACCTTCTTCTCACCAAAACAACACAGTTTTACGTATTATTATTCTTATTATATTAATCAGCACAGAAAGGCTAAATAGCATAGTTATTTGTCTCTTTCCATAAGGCAGTCTGGCATAATCCAGACTTAGTTTCTGGTCCCCATGTTGACACCATCTCATTATTCAAAGGCAATCCCTGAGAATAAGTCCCTCGAGATATCCAAGACGGTATCTCATAGAGTACCTTGGCTGTTCCACTTTCTTCCTATGAATCTGTTTTTTACCATGCAGCCAGAAGGATCTGTCCAGAAGGCTGTTTACTCCCCTACTAGAATGCTGGTTACTCATGTGACAAGCAGGGGGCCTGGAAGTTTCCATGGCCTTCCGAGCTCTTCCTGGACACCCCACTGCACTCAGAATAAACCTGCCCATTGTCATCCACTGGCTGCTCAGCATCTGAGGCCTCGTCCCATGTTTGGAGGAGTTTCTTGATGAGAAGGAGAGCCACATTTTATGTCAGAAGTAATAAATGCCAAATATTCACACTTCCTTGTGGCTAGAATTTAGGCACACAACAGGCCCCACCCCTCACCCCCACCCCCCATCATTAGACACTGTTGCTCAGACTTTGAATATGGAGATGATACAAGCTTCTGTGGATGACACGGAAGTTCTAGGGCAGGAAAGTTCCTGGGCCCTCAGAGGCTAGGGTTTTGGTAGCAGTGGTGTTCTGTGTGTGGTGCAAGCGGGGTCAGTGCTTAGCTGTGGTGGCAACAGCAGCCTCATCGTCTCAGTTCTGCATCATAATTTGGACCTCGTTCCTGGCAGTCCTAGAAAATTCTGTGAGCTGCCCAAGAACATTTTAACACTCTCATTTTCTGCTTAAAATGGCCAAAGTTTGCTCCTAATTGCATCTTAAAGCCCTAACTGATCCACATGGCTTACAGGGTCTTTTAGGATTTCCCCCGCTTTCCTCCCCTGCTTCATCTCAGCCTAACTTCCCAATAGCAAGCTGCAGTTCAGCTATATTGGAAGTCTTTTCTCACCTGGCTCTTTCTTACCTCTCAGTCTCTCTAAATGCTCTGCCCTTTGTCTGAAAAACCCTCTGCACTGGGAGGACACTGACTCTTCCTCTGAGTTTCAGTTTTTGCATCACCATCATTGGGACAGTTTCTGTAGCAGAATCTGCTAGTTACCCACCTACATCCCCTCTTCCCTTCTGCTTTACTAACAGAACTCCCATTTTGTACAGACCAGTCATGCGCCCAGTCAGTTGTACTCACCTCCTAAGTCTCTCGGAAACCAGGAGAGACTGAATGGCCATGAGAATCAGTCCTGGCCAGTGACCTGTAAGGAGAAGCCTACCAGGTGTGGCCCATGGGATGCTATTGGTTTCCCGATATAGTCAGGCTCCATTCACATGTGTCTTTCCCCATTCCTTTCCTTCTTATCTGTAATGCAGAGGTGATGTCTGGTGTTGGCAGACATTCTGTGGCCATGAGAACAAGAGCCACACTGGAGGAGAAAGAAATCAGGGGGACCCTGGATTCTCAATGACTTCCTGGAACAGTTGCACCAGACATAAACTGC